>NW_025791780.1:0-300000 GCF_000001405.40 Homo sapiens | reverse complement strand
TTCCACACTTGGAGACCCTTCTCTGACACATTTACCAACAGATACTGAATTAAAATATTAACAAATTGAATCCAGCATTATCTGTAAAGCATAATGCACCATGAGTTAGGGGAGATTGCCTCGGGAATAAAAAATTAGTTAGGCATTGAAAAGTCAATTAAATGTAATATACCACATTAACAAAACAAAAAATACATGTAATCATCTCACTAGATGCAGAAGAAATATTGGACCAAATTTGCCATTCATTCGTGGTGTTTAAAAAATATCCCAGTAAGCTAAGAATAGAAGGAAAATTCCTCAGATGAATAATGGGCGTTTAAGAAAGTCCTACAACTAGCAATAGAGTTAATAGTGGAAGAATAAATATGTACCCTTTAATATTGGAGAAAAGTGCAAAATATCTGTCCTTACTTCTACATTTTACTGAAAGTCCTAGCTAGTGTCAGAAAGTAAGGAACGCATGAATGAAGAATAAATGGCATACTCACTTTAGAATAAGAAAAATATATTCGTTTGCAAGCAACATGATCAGATACACAAAAAATCCTAGTGTATCCACAAAAATAAGCATTATAAGTAAATGCAGCTATGTCACAGATTACAATATACAAAAATTAATTGTATTTCTATGTACTAGCATCAAAAAAATGGAAAATTAAATTACCACTTTCAATAGGTTTAAAACAAATGAAATATTTAGAGATAAACTTGTCAGTGTGCACAGGACTTGTACCTAGGAATCTACAAAAGATGGCTGAGAAAAACTCAGGAAAGCTTGACTAATTGGTGTTGTTTGACATATTTACAGATTGAAAAAGGTAATATTATTAAGATATCATTTTTTTCCCTCTGAGTTGATCTATAGATTTACTACAATCCCAACAAATATCCCAGCAGGAGATTTTTGTTTTGTTTGTTTTGTTTTCTTTTCTTTTTGTTTGTTTGTTTTTACAGAAATTGACAAGCTTATTCTGTAGGACCTAGAGTAACCTAAATAATTAGGAAAAGAAAAACAAAGTTAGAGGACTTACACCAGGTGATGTCAAGACTTATTATAAAGCTAAGGTAATCAAAATAATGTGGTATTGTCTCAAGGATACTTACCCAGATTGATGGAATAGAACAGATAGTCCAGAAACAGACCAACGTATGTGGTCAACTGATTTATGACAGAGGTAAAATGTTATTTAATGAGTTTTTTAAACAAATGGTCCCAGGCAACTGAGTATGGAAAAAATGATTCCCTACCCTTAACTCACATCCTATACAACAATTAAATCAAAATGGTTTATATACGTAAAGCTTCACGTTAAAGTTATCAAACTTGTAGAAGAAAAGAAGTCTGCACATATCTGATGTAGGCAAAGCTTTTTCAGAAGGAACCAGAAAAGCATGAGCCCTTACAAAAAAAGATACACTGGATTTCATAAAATATTAAAATGCTTTTTCTTTGAAAGACAATATTAAGAAAATGAAAAGGCAAGACATAGACTTGAAAAGAAATGTAATATATGTTATATGCACACATAGTTGTTATACAACATATGTGTTATGGATACACATATAACAAAGGACTTTTATGGAGAATATAGAACACATTTTAGAACTCAGTGATACAAACACTCAGTAAGGATAAGGGCAAAAAACTTGAGCAGGCATTTCACAAAATAAGATGCTTATATGGCCAATAAGGCACACTAAAAGATGTTCAACAACATTAATCAGTACAAAAATGCAAATTAAATCTATCAAGGATTAATAGGTAACAACAGATCTCAACTCCCCTGAATGGAGAAACAATTAGTAACACAGATACTAGATAAGTTACTTGAAGGATCAATCGATAAAAAGATACTTGGGCTTATTTCCAGGTTTGTGTTCTTAAAAAGTGATGCATTCAACAGAGCATTTGAGGTAACTGCTAATTAGGGACGGTACTTCCTTCTCTTTCATCTAATGGGAGAGTGAAATCAGATTAGAACTAGTGCTTTCCTAATGAGATCTTTTCTCTCTTTCTCAGGATCCCGACTCAGATTGAAAAAGCAGAGGATGGTCACTGCCTTCCAGGTCTGAGGCTGTCTCCCAGAAACTTCATTCCTCGCTTCGCCTTGGTAGGGAAGTTCCCGGAGGTGTTTGAAAAGCTGGAAACTTAAGTGGGACATGGAACGACATTTGTGTCCCGGTTATCAAAACAGGCAGAAAAGACAAATGCGGTGTGGGGGAATTGGCTCAAGCGGTAGAGCGCTTGCTTAGCATGCAAGAGGTAGCAGGATCGACGCCTGCACTCTCTAGCTTCTTTTAATCCCTAGGCTACCAATGGTATCTGGTAAATACTTTCAGCGGATTTACCGCTCTTTATTTGACTCAGTTTCATCTTGTTATGTACATTTTTTTTTTAAGGAAATTATACATAGCATTCCATGCAAAAGCAAAAAAGGAAGCGATTAGTCACAAGTGAGTTTTGCCAATACAGGTTTTGGGGCTTCAGCTCGAAGTTAATACAATGTATTTTTGTGGGGAAATCAAACTTTAGCCTTTTGGGTACAAAATATGAGGAACAGCCTGGAAATAGTGTCAGGAGGCAAAAGCAGGAGACTTGAATGTGCCAACCTTTTGCTTTTATTCACATTGACAACACATGGTCAGGTAGAGGATGAAAACGTGTCTTCTACCAGATTATCTGAGAGTTGGCCAGGCTCCCACCTTCACTTATACTCCTTCCTTACCTCTCTCCTGTGTAGGTAAGAGAGGTAAGGAGAGAGGTAAGGAAGGAGTATAAGTGAAGGTGGGAGCTAGCATATTAACTCTAGTGGTCGGATACACTCTCACTAAGAAAAGTGACATTTATTCCTTCTATTCATCTCTCTGAAAGCTCGTTCTGACAAAAATGTGCTCAAAATAAATGGGGACCTAGGTCTTCCTCTAATTTCCAAGATGAACCAAAACGTAAAAAAATGTATTTTTGAAATTGCAACACTATCCCCTATTTAAAGAAACTACATGAGGCGCTGTATTAACAACACATATGTTGACTAGCTCAACTGGCCCAAGCAGAGCTCAGAATGCTGGAGAGAGTGGTCTTTGGATAGATGACTCCAGGAAGCTCTTGTAGGTCCCTGGGACGTGCCCCTCTTTCCATCCTTCTTTCTTTCCCATCACTCAAATCTCTCTCTGACACCATTTGACTTCTCAGCATTGCCCTTTGTTAATCGTAATAGAAAGACAATGTTATTGATTACATGTTTTTCTATTTTATCTTCTTATTCATAAATGATCTCAAAAATGAATGTCATAAATAATAAACATGTTGTTGAATTTTTGTCCCATAGGAGCAGCCTCTTTCCTTCTCAGGATGTGCACTCCTAATAAACTGGGACCGTGAAGGAGGGACCTGAAGCTGCCCCAAACCACCTGCAGTTCCATGAAGGCCATGCCTCCACCCACTAATCACTCTGAAAGTAGTGCCCCTCCACTCTTCCCCAACCACATTTCCTTTTCAGGCAAAAACATTTCTATGGGTTTGTTAGACCCTAGCTTCTAATCCTTTCTTCAGTCTTTACTGATCTGAAGCCACTCTCTCCTTTGAGGCTTCTAAATTATCTGTATAGCCTTTCTCCATTCAGCAAATTTTCATCAGGCAAAAATCCTACTTGACGCTAGTTATACTCAGAGTAAAATAACTATGTTCCTGTCTTAAATGAGAATTCTTCACAGGTGGAAAGCAGATTTGGAATCCACTACAACTCCAAGGCAGTGGAGCTAATGTAGCCTCCCCTGGGCTACAGGGGAAGCCTTCTTCTGTGGGCCCGGGAATTGAAGAACTAGACAGGCATAAGAAGGACAAGTGTGGTGCCCAATGGAGCAAGAGAAGGGGGGAGGAAGGTGACAGGGAAGGGAAATGGCAGGAGAAGCACCTACACAGCAGACACGGTATAGCCTGCATCTGTTTTTCCTTTTGGCTGAGAGATCCCTGAGCTCTGTGGTGACAATTTTCCATAATTTTTCATATAAAAAATGAAGATTATAAACTATTTCTAGGCATTTTACCTGCATTACTATTAATATGTGTACAGCATCTAAAATAGGGTCTAGACGGCAATTGCACAGTACTATTACTTGCTATTGTTGTGGCACTTTCTATGTGGATCACTGGCCTCATCCACTGTGCCTGGTGCTGAAGAAGTGCTTCAGGAATGAATCCACAGATTGAGATGAAAATTCTCAAGCTTTCTCTTTCTCAACTCCTCCAAGGTTCTCCATCACTTTCTGAGTCCTACAGGAGGAAAGTGCTATTGAAGATGCGGCGCGTATGGCGTGAAGTTCTGGGGCTGGGAGAAGCTGCCCCACTACTTCCGGGCGGCCTTGCCTGCAGGGAGCAGGTGAGGATCACAGCTCTAGAGCGGGCTGGAATAGCTGTGCCCGCAAGCCAGGCAGTTCCGGGTGGTGCTTCTCCAACTGGAACGTGCTCTCTACTTCCGAGAGATGAAGAAGGCGAAATTGAGAAGTGAGGAGAGAGGTCTCCCTCATGACCTATTTTGGAAATCCGTATTCTTCACACTCTCAGGCTCGTAGAACTTTGCCCAAGGCAGTATCTGAGAAGCTCCGCCCTCAATCTTGTCCTGCCAGGGATTTGGCGGCCCAAAGTACCGGCAGGCTCCTGATAACCAGGAAAATGGGTGGGGGGTGGTGTATCCTCAGTGGGGAATTAGCTCAGGCGGTAGAGCGCTCGCTTAGCATGCGAGAGGTAGCGGAATCGACGCCCGCATTCTCCAGTTCCTTGTCCGGTTTATGTCTCTTGGTTTGTATACCCGCTTCTTTCTCCTGTTGACAACGGCGGTGCTTCTTACCTGGGAGAAGATCAGAGGAACCTGCCCCCTCCCCCGATCTCGTGTTTTACTGCTCCCCATGTAAGAGTCTTGTTGCCCCTGCTTCCATCCTCCCATGTTTTCCACTCCTGCCACAGGTTTGGCACTTCTAGCTACTCAGGTCTCAATGCAAATTTCCCGTCTTTAGACAAGTACAGCTAAAAGTGATGCCCACACGATCTCTCAATTCCTACTACATCTTCACAAATATCGTCTCCTCCAGAAAGTATGTCTTTAAGTTACTGGTTTGTTTTTCTCTCCCCTAGAGTGGGAGCTTCCTGAGTACCGAAACGCTGTCTATGTACACTGTGTTCAACTCGCTTCATCCCCATGCGTAGAGTTAAGGTTCTGTAAAATACGGTTACTGCCTTGAACAGATAAGGAAACAGGGAGATCAAAGACAGAGCAATACTTAAAAACATTATCCTGCCACATTTCTCAAATCTTAATAATAGCATTCACTAATGTTTTTGGTTTTTCTTTGTGCTTTCTCCATATCCCCTTATTATTATTATTATTTTACATTTGGCTGACCATTTTACACTTCTTTTTCAAATGACCAATCAGATTTTGCAATTTTCTAGTTAATTCCTGTGTTTCCTTCACCATTCTATTTTCTTTTTTTTTTTTCTTTTTCTTTTTTTTTTTCGGGCTTCTTCTTCTTCTTCTTCTTCTTCTTCTTCTTCTTCTTCTTCTTCTTCTTCTTCTTCTTCTTCCTTCTTATATTTAATGCACTGATTTCTTCTAATGTTTTGTAACTTGGGTATTAAAAGGTGTAATTTAAAATGAGAAAGCAGTTTCTACAGAGTCCTTAGAAATATGTCATTATAAGTCCCCATTTTCATTATATTCTAAGGAGCTCGAAGATATACTTTTGATTCTTTTCTAAACTGTGCATTCGAGAGTTAATCTCTTCTTGTTTACTTTTACGTTCATTCTTTCAATGTTATTTTCTAATTTTTGTGTATCATTTTGTTTATCAACACATAAATATGTACATTCACATAAGTATACGAGTTATATATACATGTATTTATGAATGGCAGCTGAACCACACATTAGTGCTAATATTGGTGACTAAAAGTTGGAGAACCAGACATTATGTACCTCATAAAGCGAAGCAATGGAAAGTGCACAAGCCCACCTATCAAATTGTCTTGTTAAAAGATTTGAAGCTGAATCTAAGTGAGCCTCTACTTGTAACTACCAGTTTACAAGAAATAGAGTAGGTGAAGAAACATGTCAAGGGGCAGGAAATAGATACAATGAAATAAATACAACATAGAGGTGTTTCTAAGGATAAAAGGCCCAGTTCCTTCAACAACTAACTGGCATTAACTCTTTATGATACTATAATGGTAAATATATGTCATTATACATTTGTTAAAAAAAAAAAAAACCCAGGATGTATAACACAAAGAGCAAACTGTAATGTAAACTGTGGACTTCAGTTAACAATAATGTATTAGTAATTACTGGTTTACCAGTTGTAACAAGTGTACCATACTGATGCAAGATGTTAATAATAGGGAAAATTGTAAGAGAGGGAGAGTGATGGAGTTTATGGAAATTCTATCTATTCTGGTCAATTTTTCTTTAAACCCAGAACTTCTCTAAAAAATAATGTCTATCAATTTTAAAAAATAATATCCATAAAAGAAAGACCAGGGACCTTTTATGGATGAAAAGAGTCTTAAAAAACATAAAAATCTGTAGATTTTACTTTATTATTTATAATCAGCCATTAAGAGAAATTTTTTTTGTATGGGTGACAATCAGAAAAAAAAGTTAATATTAGATCATATTTATGATCTATTACCAATTTGTTAACAACAAGTACATACACACATGCAAACATGGCCCTAAAATTTCCTAGTTCTCTCAAGCTATTGATTTCATCATTCTCTCTGCTGCTGAGTTCAAGAAAGTGAAATGCGTAATGGGTATCTCTCCTTTCCCACCTTCCTTCCAGTTCACAACCTAGTGCTGTCCACTTGCATGGGATGTTTCTTTTCCATCACAATGCTCTGAGATAACTAAGTCAAGGGAAGTTTGCGCAGCCCTCCAGACCCTCCAGATTTCAAAGGAAAGCCCACCGCTGCTGGTCTGGGGGAGCTGATGGCCTATTCATGGATGAGATGGACTAAGGACAGTGGGAAGCACAATGGACCAACAGCATTGTTGGAGGGGACTGCGTGAGGAAGCAGGAGCCTAAACAACACTCTCCAGATACTGCGTGAACACTGTCTCCAGAGGGGTCTTGTAGCATCAAAAATTAAAGCTAAATGTTGATTTCTTTCTGGTAATTATTTTGTTCAGCAACCTGGAAAAACGAACAAAAATTATCTCATTCCCTTTCCTATTTAAAGCCTGAAATATTTAATTAAAATGATAAAACTTAAAAAAAGTGCTTATTAGGCCAGGCTCGGTGGGAGGCCGAGGCGGGGGCGGGGCGAATCACTGGAGGCCAGGAGTTTGAGACCAGCCTGGCCAACATGGCGAAACCCCGTCTCTACTAAAAATACAAAATTAGCTGGACGTGGTAGCGCACGCCTGTAATCCCAGCTACTCGGGAGGCTGAGGCAGGAGAATCGCTTGAACCTGGAAGGTGGAGGTTACAGTGGATCGACATCGCACCACTGCACTCTCAAAAAAAAAAAAAAAAAAAAAAAAAAGTCTTTATTGAAAGTTTCAAACTTAAAAGTGCTCTCACATATAAATAAAATCATTTTCTCTATATACATGGTTTTTGCAAGTGTACATGTCTAGACACCCTAGGAATGGTGGTGCCGTGGTGTGAACGTGGAGCCTGGAATGGCCAGCCCCAAAACCTCCTCCTCATCAACTGTTGACTCGTCAACAGTCAGTCAGTAATCAAAACTTCCTTAAAATACAAAGAGCCGCAGAACATTCCGGGATATCTGTGCTACTTAATCTGGCAGTTCCTACTGTGTCTTGCCCCCGGTGTGACGTGCTCTCTTCCATGAAATTAATAACTGCAAACTGTAATGGGAACAATGCAATTGATTGTCTCCGCACTCTTGCCCAAAGCGTTCTCTGAGATGTTTGGTAGTTATTTGGGTCCTTACTTGACCTTCGTGGCCTTAAAACAAAGGGAACATGGCATTTGTGAATCTGAAAGAATTGTGATAATTTTCTCATTTCCTCCTGGCTGTGTGCATCACCCTGAGTTTGCGGAGGGATCAGCCCTTTTTCAGAGCCCCCTCACGTCCTGAGTATCATCCTCAGAATGTGGGGCTTGGGCTCAATTTGAAGAGGGTGTGAGGGAGAGCCAAAATGCAGGGATTGTCCCACAGTGCAGTCCTGCTTTGTAAACCCCTTCCTCTGACTAGCTTGATTTTAGTCTCTGAGAATGGATGGGGTGGGATGGCTTTTCAGTACTTTCTGCTGAGACATTTTTGTATATTCATTTCTCTCTCAAGGAGCCTCTGTAACAAAAGAGAAAAAACTGTCTCGGGTTCTGTGTGTGGCACATGAGTTTGAAGGATTTCTGAGACTATTGTTCAGGACTGGCGTTACAGATGAAATATAGATTCAGGACCAGTGACGGTGGGATCCTTGGCAGGCGGACATAACGCCTCGTTAAGGACAGACTGCCCACCACTCTCTTTCTTTCTTTCTCTCTTTCCGAAATCATTTTCTATAAATTCCACTGGGTATCAGAACCTTCCTTAGGCTGACTGGCGCTTCGCAGTCTCCTCTCCAAGCCCGGATCTATTCCCCAAAATTCTCTCGTTCATGCTTCTAGCTTCTCTTCTTAGCTTCTCTAGGTTCGCGTCATCGGCTTTCCTTGTTTCCCAGGTTGAATCCCCAGTTCCAAGCGGCTCCTGTAACAGGGAGTGGGAGCCCACCCTCCCACTCGCCGTGTAGCACTCTGCATCTCTGAGAAGAAAGTGACCACCCCAGCCCAGCACAGATTTTCTTCGTCTTTGAGCACCTGCTCGGAGTTCCCGCCCCTCGTCGCTCCTTGGTTTTCCCTCATTGCCTACATAGAGTCTGTTGGATGTCGGTCAAGGTATCCCCAGCCCCTGCCATGGGAACCGTTTGGGGAAAAACAGACCTGATTTATTTATACTTCAAAGATGCCCAATGATTCCCTGTCGTCTGTGTACCATAAAAATAAAAACAGATAAAAATAAGAAGATCAATGTATTCGACATCTACACCCAGGCGTACAGCTCTCAGATGATCAACTGGGAAGCGACTGTTGCCCACCCAGAGGGAAGAAAGGGGCAAAGCCGGAGGATGAGGACGCGGACCCTGCAGGCCGCTGCCTCCCAAGTGAGCGGGTTACAAATTCCGCTAACCCCAGCCCGCCACCCCGCTATTGGCTATTTGAGGCATGTGGGGGATTTTTCCGGACTAGAAGTCTTGTGTTCCACCTGGTTTTTCGGGACCACTCAACATTCCTGAGCTCCATCCCTGCCAAGGTGGAGCCAGCACAGGACTGCAGGCGGAGTCTCCAGACTCATCCGGAAACAGCCACTGCGCGGAGCCGGGAGCGCGTGTCAAACGAGCACCCACAGAAGCTCTGGGCCCGACACGGTTCCACTTGCTTGATATTTCAGAAAAGAAGGAATTATACCTCAGCTGTAAAGGGAATACGGGTTACAGCTATCACAAGTGCCGGGAAGGTAAGCGTTCACTTGCAAAAGCTGCCCTCTCTGAGGCTCGAACTCAGGACCTTCAGATTATGAGACTGACGCGCTGCCCGCTGCGCTAAGAGGGCGACGAAGTGCATCAACGCGCCAGCTTCCACAGGAATTTCCTAATTTCTTTCCCCAGGCGGGTTATTTTGGGACTTCAGTTTTCTTCGCCCAAGGTCGCTAGTTTTCCAAGATTATTTCCAATAGGCACGCGTAGGCTCCTTTTTAGCCCATCGGAAGAACCTCACAATCGGAAGCCATAGTGTACTGAACAATTATGCCTGACCTCATTCTCTATTGATCTGGATCTTCGTCCCCTCAGAGATATAAGGCAATAATTACTGTCCACAGTCTCCTTAGTTGGAATAGCGGGCTCTCACTAAATGCTAGTTGAATGAATGAAAAGCTCCCAAACATGCCTGCAGTTTACACTTACCTCTCTTAATTTAAATTTGCATTTCCACTTATGTCACCTGAGATAGTCCCCTCAAAATATCACCAACTGATTTTATGATGAGTCTTCATGTTTTCTTCACCTCTATGTTGCAAATACCCTATTAAAGATTTTATTCCCGTAATTTCATTTAGTCCAATTTATTTATTTATTTATTTGCCATAAATCTATACATCATTATCCCCATCTTACTGATGAAACTGAGGCTCAGCAGAACTAAATCCACAGCTGATAAGGGGCAAAACCAGATCTTGAAAGCAGATTTTGTTTTCCAAAAAGCGTGCTGCCCTCTTTCTCCCTCTAGATCATGTAATCTCCCCTTTTCCTCTCCACACCACCACACTCATTTGTTAAGCAAATAGCTATAGAATTTTAGATTCGTTGGTCCATTCAACAAACTTTAATTCACCACCTGCCATGTACCCGGCATTTATGCTCTAGATTTCCAAGGCATCCTTGGCCCTTTATCCCTCACATCCCTACAAACACCTTAAATCATTAGTTCTCGAAGTGCGGTGCCCAGACCCACCACATAATTCTCGAGGACACATTCCATTTCAGGTACTGTGCTACCCGAAGGCTTTGAGGATTCAGAGGAAATTGAGCCATCCCTGACCTCAGGAGCTGACAGGACAAACTGTCCTATCTGGTCCGGTTCCTATACTCTCAAACTTCCGGATTCTTATAAATGCATCTTCCTAAATATTTTATTTTGATACTGTAACTCCCATTCTGCACTAGTTTGCTAGGGCTGCCATAATAAATATCATAGACTGAGTGCCTTAACCAACAGAAAATTTTCTCAGTTCTGGAGGCTAGAAGGGTTGTTAGCTTTGGTTTCTCCTGAGGCCTCTCTCCTTGGCTCGCAGATGGTCACTTACCTTCTTGCTATATTCTCCCACGGTCTCTCTCTCTACACATGTTTCCATCTTTTCTTATAAGAACTCCTATTGGGAGTTAGGGTTTCGACATGAATTTGATGACAGGTGGGGCGGGACAAAATTCCACCATGACAGGCTCAAAGTTGTTTACATTTTCACCCTCATATTTGCAGTAGACTTTGTTACTGGAAAACACTACTTGCTTTTTTTTTTTTTTAACACGTATTTTAAAGCCCCTTAATTAAACAGACCATATACCTTTCCTTATCTAGGAATTCCCATTCCAGTGCCTGGTCCACACATCCATTATTTCTCCTCATCTCCATTCCTCAAGGCCCATTCTTGATTCTTTCATTCTTATTTGAAAGAATGTAGCATGGAGGAATGTAGCATACTAGTTTTTCCCTCGGAATTGCATGACTCATTGTCATGCAAATTACGCAGTCTCAGGTGTTCCTTTTAGCAACACAAAGTAGACTAAGGTGTGTACATTTTTGTACTTGTCAAATGTGGTTAGAATACCAAATGAGGTACTGCCTCACAGATCCCTGAGATGTCATTACTTGGCATAACAAAATCATAATATAGATATCATAATAATGCATAAGCAGACAGGAAAAAACCATAATAATAACAAAACTCATTAAGGGATAGCCACGTAAGTTTATCAGTTAGTTCTCTCTAAACTCTGTAATATGAATGTGGCCAATCTCTGGGATTTAATAATACAAAAAACATGTTTTGGTCTCCCAGTGTCATTTTAATCTTATTCAGTAGGATATATTCTTTCCCTATCTCCATATGAAGACATACACAGTTTTATGCCTCATCCCAGGCAATACAGTCTCAGTCTCAAAGTTAAGATGCTGAGCTCCATGTAACACTCTAAAATTTAAACTTGACATAAAGATCAGATCTCTTCCTTTACCTACTGGGCCTGTTGAGTCAGCTAAAACTATTTGGATAGTTTTCTAAGGAAAATGTTTCATCTCTCTTTTCTTACCCTAACATTCTACCATTTGTTAACCACTGTTCTGAGACTTCCGTGTTTCAATCGTGGTGGAAGATGAGTTAAAGCCAGGGAGGGGTGGTGGGGAGAATAATAAAGTTCTTACTTTTAAATGGTGTTGTCATTAGCCAGTGTCATGCTTTCCATTCAGCTGTTTGAATACGAATAATTTTTTTAATACGATCCATGATTGTGGATTCTCGTGTGCATTTCCCTTGATGATGATGTACTCTCCTGTACCCCCTTCTTTATGACTGCTTTTCCAGCCACTGCAAAACTCAAAGCTTCCTTTTGCTTCTTTTTCCTTAGTTACGTTCATCCTTCCACATAGCCCACTGGGACTGGCTCAAAGTTGACCTCATGCTAGTGCTCCCTCTCTCCTGATTCCCACACCTGTCTTGTGGGAAAGGCCTACATCTGGTTGTCCCTGAAAAGCCCTGGGACTACAGGCCAATCCCAATATAGAAGGAACTTCAGGCAGTCAATCTGCCCATTTCTCCCCTTTACATTTCTCATGCATCTAACTACCGTATCTCCCATATTTTGGTGCCAGTGATTGAACTTGTTGGCACCTGTATTAGTCCATTGTCACACTGCTATAAAGAACTACTGGAGACTGGGTAATTTATGAAGAAAAGAGGTTTCATTGACCCACAGTGCCACAGGCTGTATAGGAAGCATGGCTGGGAGGCCTCAAGAAACTTACAATCATGGCGGAAGGCGAAGGAGAAGCAAGCATGCCTTACCATGGCAGAGTCGGAGAGAAAGAGCAAAGGGGAAAGTGTTACACACTTTTCAACAACCAGATCTCAGGAGAACTCACTCATTGTCATGAGAACAGCATGAGGGAAATCTGTCTGGAACAGGTTTGTGAACCCATTGAGGTGTTCATCCAGTGCTGTTTCAGAGAAATCTCTATTTCAATCTATTCCTATACATTAGTTACTGAAAAACAACAGACAATCACAAAAACAAGTTGACCTTTTTGTGATCCTTGAGCCCAGTTGCGAAGGGCCCTCGTGACCGGGCCTCATGCCAAACAACTCGTTACAAAAAGAGCTAGGGTTCCAGACTGGGCTGAAGCTTCATGAGACTTCTCCTCGTCTGTGCGCAGACAGCTGGCCAACTCTGGAGCCCAGGCTGTTGCTTCCCGGTCTGTTGGTGAATCCTCCATAGTCTGGTGAGTGTGTATATACATATATATGTATATACTTTGAGAGGCCGAAGTGGGCAGATTACTTGAGGTCAGTAGTTTGAGACCAACCTGGACAGCGTAGCGAAACCCAGTATCCACTAAAAATTCAAATATTAGCCAGGCATGGTGGCATGCACCTGTAGTCCCAGCTACTTGGGAGGCTGAGGCAGGAGAATAGCTTGAATCCAGGAGGTGGAGGTTGCAGTGAGCCGAGATCACGCCACTGCACTCCAGACTGGGAAACAGAGCAAGACTCCGTCTCAAAAATAAATAAATAAATAAATAACGTTTTTTAAATTTAAGAATAGATGTTTGAGGAATCTTCTCAAAGAGGAAAAAAAGAGGACCTGCCTTATATTGGGGATTGTTTCATTATGGGACACCTTTAGAAGCAGCCTGGAGTGCAGCCTGGAGTGCATATAAATATATGTCTTTTTCCTTCCCGTTGCAATTTGCTTATTATATCAGTCTGCTTATTATTTCAATTTGCTTACTATATCATTTGCTTATTATATCTGCATTGCCATTTACGTGGGATAAAGGTTGTTTACCCTTAAAGGTATTGTGTGTGTGTCTTTTCTTCTCCCCTTACACGTCTTCCACACAGAACATGTACACTTGTATCTACAGGTGCATGTGTGTGTATGTAGACGTGATTGGACACATGTTTATGTATACATGTCTGTGTACACCACATGCATGTGTAAATGTATGTGTGTACACGTGTATGCATGTGTGTATGCATACAGGCATGTACACATATGCACAAAGGTATCTACACATACATGTGTATACATGCATGCATGTTTATGTATACATGCATGTACACCGTATGTATGTGTGTATGTATGTGTGTATTTGCTGACACATATGCATATGCATACATGCAAGTACATGCATGTACACACGTAGCTGCACATTCATATGTATGTATACATGTATATACACGTGCGTGCATGTGTGAGTGTATAAAGATATGTACACATGCATGTGCAAATGCATGTGGGTGTGTGTGCATGGATGTATGTGTATCCATGTATCGTGTACACAGTATGCATGCATGTATTTGTGTAGATATATGTGCAGATAGACATGTGCTCACATGTCTGCATGCATGTGTGTACATGTGTGTTTACCCACCTACGTGTGTATGCACATGTGTACTCATGCATGCACACACGTATGCATACATGTATGCATTGTGCACATGTGTGCACATATGTTTTTATGAATAATGTATATATACATACACGTATACACCATGTATACCAGCCTACAAATGCATCTGTGCACACACGTGAAAGCATGTGTATGCCTGAATACAAGTGTCCATATTTACATGTGCACATCCACACATACATGTCTACACACACACGTGTGTGCACACATGCATGTGCACACACAAAAATTTGTGTGCAAATACATGCATGCACACACATACATGCATGACATATATGTGTACATGGATATGTGGGTATACCTGCATGTGCATACACACGTGCACTTGCATACACAGATGCACCCATAATACATGTATATATACATACATGTTTACACACAAAAGCACGATGCATACATGTACTCAAACATATATCTGCATGCGCACGTACTTGTGCATACAAATGCACATGTCTACCCACACATGCATTCAGACGTCTGTGCACATGTATACATACACTTATACGTACAAACATACAAACACATATACACTCATACATGTGTGCACACTCACATATGTACACACATGCATGTGTACAAATACATGTGTGCGTCTGCATGCATTTGGGCATATTCATTGATTGTGTACACAGTATGTATGTGTCCATGTATGTGTGTATACGCATATGTGTAGATGCATATGTGTACATTAACATGCATGTACACTCATGTAAACATGCATCAACACATTTGTACACGTATTTATTCGTGTATCAGGTTTGTATACACGTACCTAAACATGCATGCGAGCATTCGTGCATGTATGTACACGAGAATGCATATGTGTATGCATACGTGTATGTACACATATAAGCACAGGCATCTACACGTGTGCGTGCGCACCTATGTGCACACTTATGTATACATGTATGTGCACGTGCATAAATGAATTAAGAAAGAAACAATTCACCCAAACAAGGAGGAAAAGATGAACATCTCAAGTACCTATGAGCATTTTTACATGCAGACCCCTTACTGACATTGGCCAAGACAGATGACAAGAGATCATCAAGGAGAGAGTTCATTAGAAGAAGATACTGCTAACATTAGAGAAACATAGCATCAATCACCCATAGCATGGATGCTGTTGAGCTTCCACCTGAAAAACAAACAACAACAACAACAAACCTGGCGGGTAGAAATAGGAACAGGTTTAGCATACATCCCTTCCTCCTTTTCCTGGGATCTGCATTGGGCCCCGTAAGCTTGGCATGAACCTAAGTGAATAAGACACCAAAGGACTGAAGTTTACCACTACCTTCAGAATTAGGACTCAGAGCCAGGAATTTCTTTAGACTACACAACCAGTCTATGCATATGGGAGGTTTTGGACTGTAGTTCACACTGGCTGCGCTTCCTTATGGAAACAGTGACTACAAGATGGAGGATATTAATGAAAGATAGCACACATCCATACTAAATGTCATAACAGCAAAAACCATAAGATAGTTACTGACAATGAGTCATGCAATTCCGAGGGAAAAACTAGTATGCTACATTCCTCCATGCTACATTCTTTCAAATAAGAATGAAAGAATCAAGAATGGGCCTTGAAGAATGAAGATGAGGAGAAATAATGGGTGTGTGGACCGCGCATTGGAGTGGGAATTCCTAGGTAAGGAAAGGTATATGGTCTGTTCAATTAAGGGACTCTAAAATACTTGTTAAAAAAAAAAAAAAAAGGAAGTAGTGCTTTCCAGTAACAAAGTCTACTGCAAATCTGAAGGTGGAAATTTAAACAACTTTGAGCCTGTTACGGTGGAATTTTGTCCTGCCCCACCCGTTACCAAATTCATGTCGAAACCCTAAATCCCAATAGGCGTTCTTATAAGAAAAGATGGAAATATGTGTAGAGAGAGAGACCATGCAAGAATACAGCAAGAAGGTAAGTGACCATCTGCGAGCCAAGGAGAGAGGCCTCAGGAGAAACCAAAGCTAACAACTCTTCTAGCATCCAGAACTGAGAAAATTTTCTGTTGGTTAAGCCACTCAGTCTGTGATATTTATTATGGCAGCCCTAGCAAACTAGTACAGAGCGGAAGAGTTACAGTATCAAAATAAAATATTTAGGAAAATGCATTTATAAGAATCCGGAAGTTTGAGAGTATAGGAACTGGACCAGATAGGACAGTTTGTCCTGTCAGCTCCTGAGGTCAGGGATGGCTCAATTTCTTCTGAATCCTCAAAGCCTTCGGGTAGGACAGTACCTGAAATGGAATGTGTCCTCGAGAATTATGTGGTGGGTCTGGGCACCGCACTTCGAGAACTAATGATTTAAGGTGTTTGTAGGGATGTGAGGGATAAAGGGCCAAGGATGCCTTGGAAATCTAGAACATAAATGTCGGGTACATGGCAAGTGGTGAATTAAAGTTTGTTGAATGGACCAACGAATCTAAAATTCTATAGCTATTTGCTTAACAAATGAGTGTGGTGGTGTGGAGAGGAAAAGGGGAGATTACATGATCTAGAGGGAGAAAGAGGGCAGCACGCTTTTTGGAAAACAAAATCTGCTTTCAAGATCTGGTTTTACCCCTTATCAGCTGTGGATTTAGTTCTGCTGAGCCTCAGTTTCATCAGTAAGATGGGGATAATGATGTATAGATTTATGGCAAATAAATAAATAAATAAATAAATAGGACTAAATGAAATTATGGGAATAAAGTATTTAATAGAGTATTTGCAACATAGAGGTGAAGAAAACATGAAGACTCATCATAAAATCAGTTGGTGATATTTTGAGGGGACTATCTCAGGTGACATAAGTGGAAATGCAAATTTAAATTAAGAGAGGTAAGTGTAAACTGCAGGCATGTTTGGGAGCTTTTCATTCATTCAACTAGCATTTAGTGAAAGCCCGCTATTCCAACTAAGGAGACTGTGGACAGTAATTATTGCCTTATATCTCTGAGGGGACGAAGATCCAGATCAATAGAGAATGAGGTCAGGCATAATTGTTCAGTACACTATGGCTTCCGATTGTGAGGTTCTTCCGATGGGCTAAAAAGGAGCCTACGCGTGCCTATTGGAAATAATCTTGGAGAACTAGCGACCCTGGGCGAAGAAAACTGAAGTCCCAAAATAGCCCACCTGGGGAAAGAAATTAGGAAATTCCTGTGGAAGCTGGCGCGTTGATGCACTTCGTCGCCCTCTTAGCGCAGCGGGCAGCGCGTCAGTCTCATAATCTGAAGGTCCTGAGTTCGAGCCTCAGAGAGGGCAGCTTTTGCAAGGAAAGCTTACCTTCCTGGTACTTGTTATAGCTGTAATCCACACTCCCTTTACAGCTAGGGTATAATTCCTTCTTTTCTAAAATATCAAGCATGTGGAATTGTGTCCGGCCCAGAGCTTTCCCACAGTAGCTGTCTAGGGGTGCGCTTTCGACACGCGCTCCCGGCTCCGCGCAGTGGCTGTTTCTGGATGAGTCTGGAGACTCCGCCTGCAGTCCTGTGCTGGCTCCACCTTGGCAGGGGTGGAGCTCAGGAATGTTGAGTGGTCCCGAAAATCCAGGTGGAACACAAGACTTCTAGTCCGGAAAAAAACCCCACATGCCTCAAATAGCCAATAGCGTGGTGGGGGGCTGGGGTTAGCGGAATTTGTAACCCGCTCACTTGGGAGGCAGCGGCCTGCAGGATCCACGTCTGCATTCTCCAGCTTTGTTCCTTTCTTCCCTCTGGGTGGGCTACCTTCGCTTCCCAGTTGATCACCTCAGAGCTGTACGCCTGGGTGTAGATGTCGAATACATTGATCTTATTTTTATCTGTTTTTATTTTTATGGTACACAGACGACAGGGAATCATTGGGCATCTTTGAAGTATAATAAATCGGATCTATTTTTCCCCAAATGGTTCCCATGGCAGGGGCTGGCGATACCTTGACCGACATCCAACAGACTGTATGTAGTCGATGAGGGAAAACCAAGGAGCGACGAGGGACAGGAACTCCGAGCAGGTGCTCAAAGAAAATCTGTGCTGTGCTGGGCTGGGGTGGTCACTTTCTTCTCAGAGATGCAGAGTGCTACACGGCGAGTGGGAGGGTGGGCTCCCACTCCCTGTTACAGGAGCCGAGGGAAGTTAATTTTATGACAAGAAGACCTCTCGGCTTCTTGTAACTGGGGATTCAACCTCGGAAAAAAGGAAAGCCGATGACGCGAACCTAGAGAAGCTAAAAAGAGAAGCTAGAAGCAGGAACGAGAGACTTTTGGGGAACAGATCCGGGCTTGGAGAGGAAATCGCAAAGCGTCAGTCAGCCGAAGGAAGGTTCTGATACCCAGCGGAATTTATAGAAAATAAATTCAGAAACAGAGAAAGAAGGAGAGTGGTGGGCAGTCTGTCCTTAACGAGGAGTTATATCCGCCTGTCAGGGATCCCATCGTCCCTGGTCCTGAATCTTATTGGCGTTTAATCTGTAACGCCAGTCCTGAACGACAGTCTCAGAAATCCTTCAAACTCATGTGCCACACACAGAAACCGAGATACTTTTTTCTCTTTTGTTATAGAGGCTCCTTGAGAGAGAAATGAATATACAAAAATGTCTCAGCAGAAAGTACTGAAAAGCAATCTGTGGGGAAAAGAAAGAGAGATCAGACTGTTACTGTGTCTATGTCGGAAGAAGTAGACAAAGAGACTCCATTTTGTTCTGTACTAAGAAAAATTCTTTTGCCTTGAGATGCTGTTAATCTGTAACCCTACCCCCAACCCTGTGCTCGCAGAAACATGTGCTGTGTCGACTCAAGGTTTAATGGATTTAGGGATATGCAGGATGTGTTTGTTAAACAAATGCTTGAAGGCAGCATGCTTGTTAAAACTCATCACCACTCCCTAATCTCAAGTACCCAGGGACACAAAACACTGTGGAAGGCCGCAGGGACCTCTGCCTAGGAAAGCCAGGTATTGTCCAAGATTTCTCCCCATGTACTATTCTGAAATATGGCCTGGTGGGAAGGGAAAGACCTGACCGTCCCCCAGCCGGACAGCCGTAAAGGGTCTGTGCTGAGGAGGATTAGTAAAAGAGGAAGTCCTCTTTGCAGTTGAGATAAGAGGAAGGCATCTGTCTCCTGCTCCTCCCTGGGCAATGGAATGTCTTGGTGTAAAACCCGATTGTATATTCTATCTACTGAGATAGGAGAAAACCGCCTTACGGCTGGAGGTGAGACATGCTGCCTGCAATACTGCTCTTTAATGCACTGAGATGTTTATGTATGTGCACATCAAAGCACAGCACTTTTTTCTTAACCTTGTATATGATACAGAGACATTTGTTCACATGTTTTCCTGCTGACCCTTTCCCCACCACTACCCTGTTGTCCTGCCACATCCCCCTCTCCGAGATGGTAGAGATAATGATCAATAAATACTGAGGGAACTCAGAGACCCGGGCTGCGCGGGTCCTCCGTAAGCTGAACACCGGTCCCCTGGGCCCACTTTTCTTTCTCTATACTTTGTCTCTTTTCTCAGTCTCTCGTCCCACCCGACGAGAAACGCCCACAGGTGTGGAGGGACAGGCCACCCTTTCACGATCCCACCCCATCCATTCTCAGAGCCTGAAATCAAGCTAGTCAGAGGAAGGGATTTACAGAGCGGGACTGCATTGTGGGACAATCCCTGCATTTTGGCTCTCCCTCACACCCTCTTCAGATTGGGCCCAAGCCTCACATTCTGAGGATGATACTCAGGACATGAGGGCGCCCTGAAAAAGGGCTGATCCCTCCGCAAACTCAGAGTGAGGCACACAGCCTGGAGGAAATGAGAAAATTATCACAAGTCTTTCAGATTCACAAATGCCATGTTCCCTTTGTTTTAAGGCCACGAAGGTCAAGTAAGGACCCAAATAACTACCAAACATCTCAGAGAACGCTTTGGGTAAGAGTGCGGAGACAATTGCCTTGTTCCCATTACAGTTTGCAGTTATTAATTTCATGGAAGAGAGCACGTCACACCGGGGGCAAGACACAGTAGGAACTGCCAGATTAAGTAGCACAGATATCCCGGAAAGTTTTGCGGCTCTTGTATTTTAAGGAAGTTATGATTACTGACTGACTGTTGATGAGTCAACAGTTGATGAGGAGGAGGTTTTGGGGCTGGCCATTCCAGGCTCCATGTTCACACCACGGCACCACCATTCCTAGGGTGTCTAGACATGTATAAGTGCAAAAACCGTGTATGTAGAGAAAATGATTTATTTAAATGTCACAGCACTTGTAAGTTTAAAAATTTCAATAAACACTTTTTGTTTTTGAGACTGCAGTGGTGTGATCTTGCTTCACTGTAACCTCCACCTTCCAGGTTCAAGCGATTCTCCTGCCTCAGCCTCCCGGGTAGCTGGGATTACAGGCGTGCACTACCACATCCAGCTAATTTTGTATTTTTAGTAGAGACGGGGTTTCGCCATGTTGGCCAGGCTGGTCTCAAACTCCTGGCCTCCAGTGATTCGCCCCGCCCCCGCCTCGGCCTCCCACCGAGCCTGGCCTAATAAGCACTTTTTTTAAGTTTTATCATTTTAATTAAATATTTCAGGCTTTAAATAGGAAAGGGAATGAGATAATTTTTGTTCGTTTTTCCAGGTTGCTGAACAAAATAATTACCAGAAAGAAATCAACATTTAGCTTTAATTTTTGATGCTACAAGACCCCTCTGGAGACAGTGTTCACGCAGTATCTGGAGAGTGTTGTTTAGGCTCCTGCTTCCTCACGCAGTCCCCTCCAACAATGCTGTTGGTCCATTGTGCTTCCCACTGTCCTTAGTCCATCTCATCCATGAATAGGCCATCAGCTCCCCCAGACCAGCAGCGGTGGGCTTTCCTTTGAAATCTGGAGGGTCTGGAGGGCTGCGCAAACTTCCCTTGACTTAGTTATCTCAGAGCATTGTGATGGAAAAGAAACATCCCATGCAAGTGGACAGCACTAGGTTGTGAACTGGAAGGAAGGTGGGAAAGGAGAGATACCCATTACGCATTTCACTTTCTTGAACTCAGCAGCAGAGAGAATGATGAAATCAATAGCTTGAGAGAACTAGGAAATTTTAGGGCCATGTTTGCATGTGTGTATGTACTTGTTGTTAACAAATTGGTAATAGATCATAAATATGATCTAATATTAACTTTTTTTTCTGATTGTCACCCATACAAAAAAAATTTCTCTTAATGGCTGATTATAAATAATAAAGTAAAATCTACAGATTTTTATGTTTTTTAAGACTCTTTTCATCCATAAAAGGTCCCTGGTCTTTCTTTTATGGATATTATTTTTTAAAATTGATAGACATTATTTTTTAGAGAAGTTCTGGGTTTAAAGAAAAATTGACCAGAATAGATAGAATTTCCATAAACTCCATCACTCTCCCTCTCTTACAATTTTCCCTATTATTAACATCTTGCATCAGTATGGTACACTTGTTACAACTGGTAAACCAGTAATTACTAATACATTATTGTTAACTGAAGTCCACAGTTTACATTACAGTTTGCTCTTTGTGTTATACATCCTGGGTTTTTTTTTTTTTTAACAAATGTATAATGACATATATTTACCATTATAGTATCATAAAGAGTTAATGCCAGTTAGTTGTTGAAGGAACTGGGCCTTTTATCCTTAGAAACACCTCTATGTTGTATTTATTTCATTGTATCTATTTCCTGCCCCTTGACATGTTTCTTCACCTACTCTATTTCTTGTAAACTGGTAGTTACAAGTAGAGGCTCACTTAGATTCAGCTTCAAATCTTTTAACAAGACAATTTGATAGGTGGGCTTGTGCACTTTCCATTGCTTCGCTTTATGAGGTACATAATGTCTGGTTCTCCAACTTTTAGTCACCAATATTAGCACTAATGTGTGGTTCAGCTGCCATTCATAAATACATGTATATATAACTCGTATACTTATGTGAATGTACATATTTATGTGTTGATAAACAAAATGATACACAAAAATTAGAAAATAACATTGAAAGAATGAACGTAAAAGTAAACAAGAAGAGATTAACTCTCGAATGCACAGTTTAGAAAAGAATCAAAAGTATATCTTCGAGCTCCTTAGAATATAATGAAAATGGGGACTTATAATGACATATTTCTAAGGACTCTGTAGAAACTGCTTTCTCATTTTAAATTACACCTTTTAATACCCAAGTTACAAAACATTAGAAGAAATCAGTGCATTAAATATAAGAAGGAAGAAGAAGAAGAAGAAGAAGAAGAAGAAGAAGAAGAAGAAGAAGAAGAAGAAGAAGAAGAAGAAGCCCGAAAAAAAAAAAGAAAAAGAAAAAAAAAAAAGAAAATAGAATGGTGAAGGAAACACAGGAATTAACTAGAAAATTGCAAAATCTGATTGGTCATTTGAAAAAGAAGTGTAAAATGGTCAGCCAAATGTAAAATAATAATAATAATAAGGGGATATGGAGAAAGCACAAAGAAAAACCAAAAACATTAGTGAATGCTATTATTAAGATTTGAGAAATGTGGCAGGATAATGTTTTTAAGTATTGCTCTGTCTTTGATCTCCCTGTTTCCTTATCTGTTCAAGGCAGTAACCGTATTTTACAGAACCTTAACTCTACGCATGGGGATGAAGCGAGTTGAACACAGTGTACATAGACAGCGTTTCGGTACTCAGGAAGCTCCCACTCTAGGGGAGAGAAAAACAAACCAGTAACTTAAAGACATACTTTCTGGAGGAGACGATATTTGTGAAGATGTAGTAGGAATTGAGAGATCGTGTGGGCATCACTTTTAGCTGTACTTGTCTAAAGACGGGAAATTTGCATTGAGACCTGAGTAGCTAGAAGTGCCAAACCTGTGGCAGGAGTGGAAAACATGGGAGGATGGAAGCAGGGGCAACAAGACTCTTACATGGGGAGCAGTAAAACACGAGATCGGGGGAGGGGGCAGGTTCCTCTGATCTTCTCCCAGGTAAGAAGCACCGCCGTTGTCAACAGGAGAAAGAAGCGGGTATACAAACCAAGAGACATAAACCGGACAAGGAACTGGAGAATGCGGGCGTCGATTCCGCTACCTCTCGCATGCTAAGCGAGCGCTCTACCGCCTGAGCTAATTCCCCACTGAGGATACACCACCCCCCACCCATTTTCCTGGTTATCAGGAGCCTGCCGGTACTTTGGGCCGCCAAATCCCTGGCAGGACAAGATTGAGGGCGGAGCTTCTCAGATACTGCCTTGGGCAAAGTTCTACGAGCCTGAGAGTGTGAAGAATACGGATTTCCAAAATAGGTCATGAGGGAGACCTCTCTCCTCACTTCTCAATTTCGCCTTCTTCATCTCTCGGAAGTAGAGAGCACGTTCCAGTTGGAGAAGCACCACCCGGAACTGCCTGGCTTGCGGGCACAGCTATTCCAGCCCGCTCTAGAGCTGTGATCCTCACCTGCTCCCTGCAGGCAAGGCCGCCCGGAAGTAGTGGGGCAGCTTCTCCCAGCCCCAGAACTTCACGCCATACGCGCCGCATCTTCAATAGCACTTTCCTCCTGTAGGACTCAGAAAGTGATGGAGAACCTTGGAGGAGTTGAGAAAGAGAAAGCTTGAGAATTTTCATCTCAATCTGTGGATTCATTCCTGAAGCACTTCTTCAGCACCAGGCACAGTGGATGAGGCCAGTGATCCACATAGAAAGTGCCACAACAATAGCAAGTAATAGTACTGTGCAATTGCCGTCTAGACCCTATTTTAGATGCTGTACACATATTAATAGTAATGCAGGTAAAATGCCTAGAAATAGTTTATAATCTTCATTTTTTATATGAAAAATTATGGAAAATTGTCACCACAGAGCTCAGGGATCTCTCAGCCAAAAGGAAAAACAGATGCAGGCTATACCGTGTCTGCTGTGTAGGTGCTTCTCCTGCCATTTCCCTTCCCTGTCACCTTCCTCCCCCCTTCTCTTGCTCCATTGGGCACCACACTTGTCCTTCTTATGCCTGTCTAGTTCTTCAATTCCCGGGCCCACAGAAGAAGGCTTCCCCTGTAGCCCAGGGGAGGCTACATTAGCTCCACTGCCTTGGAGTTGTAGTGGATTCCAAATCTGCTTTCCACCTGTGAAGAATTCTCATTTAAGACAGGAACATAGTTATTTTACTCTGAGTATAACTAGCGTCAAGTAGGATTTTTGCCTGATGAAAATTTGCTGAATGGAGAAAGGCTATACAGATAATTTAGAAGCCTCAAAGGAGAGAGTGGCTTCAGATCAGTAAAGACTGAAGAAAGGATTAGAAGCTAGGGTCTAACAAACCCATAGAAATGTTTTTGCCTGAAAAGGAAATGTGGTTGGGGAAGAGTGGAGGGGCACTACTTTCAGAGTGATTAGTGGGTGGAGGCATGGCCTTCATGGAACTGCAGGTGGTTTGGGGCAGCTTCAGGTCCCTCCTTCACGGTCCCAGTTTATTAGGAGTGCACATCCTGAGAAGGAAAGAGGCTGCTCCTATGGGACAAAAATTCAACAACATGTTTATTATTTATGACATTCATTTTTGAGATCATTTATGAATAAGAAGATAAAATAGAAAAACATGTAATCAATAACATTGTCTTTCTATTACGATTAACAAAGGGCAATGCTGAGAAGTCAAATGGTGTCAGAGAGAGATTTGAGTGATGGGAAAGAAAGAAGGATGGAAAGAGGGGCACGTCCCAGGGACCTACAAGAGCTTCCTGGAGTCATCTATCCAAAGACCACTCTCTCCAGCATTCTGAGCTCTGCTTGGGCCAGTTGAGCTAGTCAACATATGTGTTGTTAATACAGCGCCTCATGTAGTTTCTTTAAATAGGGGATAGTGTTGCAATTTCAAAAATACATTTTTTTACGTTTTGGTTCATCTTGGAAATTAGAGGAAGACCTAGGTCCCCATTTATTTTGAGCACATTTTTGTCAGAACGAGCTTTCAGAGAGATGAATAGAAGGAATAAATGTCACTTTTCTTAGTGAGAGTGTATCCGACCACTAGAGTTAATATGCTAGCTCCCACCTTCACTTATACTCCTTCCTTACCTCTCTCCTTACCTCTCTTACCTACACAGGAGAGAGGTAAGGAAGGAGTATAAGTGAAGGTGGGAGCCTGGCCAACTCTCAGATAATCTGGTAGAAGACACGTTTTCATCCTCTACCTGACCATGTGTTGTCAATGTGAATAAAAGCAAAAGGTTGGCACATTCAAGTCTCCTGCTTTTGCCTCCTGACACTATTTCCAGGCTGTTCCTCATATTTTGTACCCAAAAGGCTAAAGTTTGATTTCCCCACAAAAATACATTGTATTAACTTCGAGCTGAAGCCCCAAAACCTGTATTGGCAAAACTCACTTGTGACTAATCGCTTCCTTTTTTGCTTTTGCATGGAATGCTATGTATAATTTCCTTAAAAAAAAAATGTACATAACAAGATGAAACTGAGTCAAATAAAGAGCGGTAAATCCGCTGAAAGTATTTACCAGATACCATTGGTAGCCTAGGGATTAAAAGAAGCTAGAGAGTGCAGGCGTCGATCCTGCTACCTCTTGCATGCTAAGCAAGCGCTCTACCGCTTGAGCCAATTCCCCCACACCGCATTTGTCTTTTCTGCCTGTTTTGATAACCGGGACACAAATGTCGTTCCATGTCCCACTTAAGTTTCCAGCTTTTCAAACACCTCCGGGAACTTCCCTACCAAGGCGAAGCGAGGAATGAAGTTTCTGGGAGACAGCCTCAGACCTGGAAGGCAGTGACCATCCTCTGCTTTTTCAATCTGAGTCGGGATCCTGAGAAAGAGAGAAAAGATCTCATTAGGAAAGCACTAGTTCTAATCTGATTTCACTCTCCCATTAGATGAAAGAGAAGGAAGTACCGTCCCTAATTAGCAGTTACCTCAAATGCTCTGTTGAATGCATCACTTTTTAAGAACACAAACCTGGAAATAAGCCCAAGTATCTTTTTATCGATTGATCCTTCAAGTAACTTATCTAGTATCTGTGTTACTAATTGTTTCTCCATTCAGGGGAGTTGAGATCTGTTGTTACCTATTAATCCTTGATAGATTTAATTTGCATTTTTGTACTGATTAATGTTGTTGAACATCTTTTAGTGTGCCTTATTGGCCATATAAGCATCTTATTTTGTGAAATGCCTGCTCAAGTTTTTTGCCCTTATCCTTACTGAGTGTTTGTATCACTGAGTTCTAAAATGTGTTCTATATTCTCCATAAAAGTCCTTTGTTATATGTGTATCCATAACACATATGTTGTATAACAACTATGTGTGCATATAACATATATTACATTTCTTTTCAAGTCTATGTCTTGCCTTTTCATTTTCTTAATATTGTCTTTCAAAGAAAAAGCATTTTAATATTTTATGAAATCCAGTGTATCTTTTTTTGTAAGGGCTCATGCTTTTCTGGTTCCTTCTGAAAAAGCTTTGCCTACATCAGATATGTGCAGACTTCTTTTCTTCTACAAGTTTGATAACTTTAACGTGAAGCTTTACGTATATAAACCATTTTGATTTAATTGTTGTATAGGATGTGAGTTAAGGGTAGGGAATCATTTTTTCCATACTCAGTTGCCTGGGACCATTTGTTTAAAAAACTCATTAAATAACATTTTACCTCTGTCATAAATCAGTTGACCACATACGTTGGTCTGTTTCTGGACTATCTGTTCTATTCCATCAATCTGGGTAAGTATCCTTGAGACAATACCACATTATTTTGATTACCTTAGCTTTATAATAAGTCTTGACATCACCTGGTGTAAGTCCTCTAACTTTGTTTTTCTTTTCCTAATTATTTAGGTTACTCTAGGTCCTACAGAATAAGCTTGTCAATTTCTGTAAAAACAAACAAACAAAAAGAAAAGAAAACAAAACAAACAAAACAAAAATCTCCTGCTGGGATATTTGTTGGGATTGTAGTAAATCTATAGATCAACTCAGAGGGAAAAAAATGATATCTTAATAATATTACCTTTTTCAATCTGTAAATATGTCAAACAACACCAATTAGTCAAGCTTTCCTGAGTTTTTCTCAGCCATCTTTTGTAGATTCCTAGGTACAAGTCCTGTGCACACTGACAAGTTTATCTCTAAATATTTCATTTGTTTTAAACCTATTGAAAGTGGTAATTTAATTTTCCATTTTTTTGATGCTAGTACATAGAAATACAATTAATTTTTGTATATTGTAATCTGTGACATAGCTGCATTTACTTATAATGCTTATTTTTGTGGATACACTAGGATTTTTTGTGTATCTGATCATGTTGCTTGCAAACGAATATATTTTTCTTATTCTAAAGTGAGTATGCCATTTATTCTTCATTCATGCGTTCCTTACTTTCTGACACTAGCTAGGACTTTCAGTAAAATGTAGAAGTAAGGACAGATATTTTGCACTTTTCTCCAATATTAAAGGGTACATATTTATTCTTCCACTATTAACTCTATTGCTAGTTGTAGGACTTTCTTAAACGCCCATTATTCATCTGAGGAATTTTCCTTCTATTCTTAGCTTACTGGGATATTTTTTAAACACCACGAATGAATGGCAAATTTGGTCCAATATTTCTTCTGCATCTAGTGAGATGATTACATGTATTTTTTGTTTTGTTAATGTGGTATATTACATTTAATTGACTTTTCAATGCCTAACTAATTTTTTATTCCCGAGGCAATCTCCCCTAACTCATGGTGCATTATGCTTTACAGATAATGCTGGATTCAATTTGTTAATATTTTAATTCAGTATCTGTTGGTAAATGTGTCAGAGAAGGGTCTCCAAGTGTGGAACGCGCCGCTTTCACAGCTCAGAGAAACATGGTGAGCACAGTGCTCCCTTCTAAGTGACGGGAGCTTCGAGATACAACAATGAGACTTTACTTTGGAGGAAATGTCTCAGAATTTCACAGATCCTAAAAACTTTCATTCACGAACCAGGTCGATGAATGGTTTCTGTGTTTCTCTCCCACCCTCTGGAGCATGCAGGGCTTAACAAAATCTGCAACTTACTTGACACTTCTTGCTCATCGAAGATTTAAATGATACTATCAATACAGTGTACCAATGTTTTGCTGTTGGTGCAGACAGTTCAATTCTCTTTGGACTAGATTAGGAAAAATTGGGGGACTTGGTATACCTCTGGAGTAAGAACATAAATGCATACTTTTGTCTAGTCCATGTGAATATGAACTGTTTCTGTTCTTTCTTCCTGATAACAATAGAAAAAATGCATTCCCCAAATCAAAGACTGCATGCCAAAGACCTTGCAATTTTTGCTTTTATGTTCATATTGTTTATAACATGATTAATTTATTAACTTTACATTCCAATTCTATTTTCTTATGTATTCAAGTGAAAAGTGTTAATTATGAGAAATTCTGCACTATGGCACTGCTAATATTGCAATCTATATCCCAGACTTCGTTTTACCGACAGAAGAAAGCATACCCTCATCAATTTGTCATGTCTTCGGAAGAAGGGACATGGGTTTGTAGTGGAATTCATGACTTTTTCTGCCTGAACATTAATTAGCAGAAGCATGCTCCATTTCTTTATATAGACCCACTCTTAGAACCAAGGTGAACTGAGTGAAAAAGATACTTGCCTTTATATTTCTCTTATCAAACTAACCATTCTTGAATCTACCTTTATCACTTTTCTCCCAGGACCTCCTAGTGGAAGAAACTGTGAAAATGGCTGGTGTCACTTCAGACGCAAAAGGAAAAGTGGCACATCATGTTCAGAATCCGATTAAATAGTGTCAGCAATTATTACCTCTGCTTAAAGGATTCAGAGCTGAGTTTGTTCAGCTACCCTGCCCTGACTAATGGCATCATGCAGGTGTACTTAGAAGTAAATTTAAAACTCCCCCTTACTTTAGGATCACACATCTCCTAGGGTAATTGCAGGAGTGATTGGGAAAGAGCAGTCTACTCTGAGGAGGTCAGATGGAGACCAAGTGAATCCTGTAAAATACAAGTAGTGTCATATGACAAAAATGCAAATCCAACACTACTAAGTCTTGGATTTCTTCTTTGTTTCCTTGATTAATTTTCTTGCTTCGCTCCAAAAATCATAGCATAAAGCAAATTATTGTTCTACCTATTGCTTTCCACTTTACTCATCTTTCATCTGGTGTCTGTGTGATTATGTCTCCATTAGAGACTGAGACCTGTTATTACCTATTAAATCCCTTCATTCCAGGATGTGGAACTAATTAGATAAGTTTCAGATTGTTGAATTTAGTGGTTATTTTAGAGGTAATTAGATCGTTAAATTTAACACTTGTAGCTCCACATGATGATGGAGTGCAAATATCTATTTATTCATAAATATCCATAGGCAGGGATCAGAACCAACATTGAGAAGACCCACTCCCTCCAAACAAGACGACCAAGAAAACAAATTGATTCTACTACCTTGGATTTATTAAACTTGCTGAGCAAAGAGCCGTACCTCTATGGAGTCCCAGTACTGCCTAAAACAAGGGTGAGTCAGAGACCAGAATTTAAAGGGTCTGGGGACTGGAGCTATTCATAGGACACTTTTAGGGGGAAGGTTAGTAAGGTCCTTCTCAGGAGGGACTGGACAGAATTTCTTTTTCTTTTTCTTTTCTTTTCTTTTTTTTTTTTTTTTTTTTTTTTTGAGACGGAGTCTTGCTCTGTCGTCCCGGCTAGAGTGCAGTGGCGCGATCTCGGCTCACTGCAAGCTCCGCCTCCCGAGTTCACGCCATTCTCCTGCCTCAGCCTCCCGAGTAGCTGGGACTACAGGCGCCCGCCACCACGCCCGGCTAATTTTTTTTGTATCTTTAGTAGAGACGGAGTTTCACCGTGTTAGCCAGGATGGTCTCGGTCTCCTGACCTTGTGATCCGCCCGCCTCGGCCTCCGAAAGTGCTGGGATTACAGACGTGAGCCACCGCGCACGGCCAGAATTTCTAAACTAGGCGAATCATAGGTTTATTCAGTGGAACTTAGCTGCTGGAACATGAAGATCTGCGCAGAGTTGCTGGATCCGTTTGGCTTTGGTCTTATCTTGGATCATCGGGTCTGAGTAAGCTGGTGTTAAAACAATTTGAGCTTAGTGTGGTATGGCAGGGTTTGTAGACTCGTCCTGTGCTGTAAGTCACAGGGCTTTTGCAACTTCTGTGTTTGTTCATTTCTCAATTTGCCCTCTTTCCTCACCAACAGAACTGCCCAAGAAATCAACTTACAGTATAGCTACTGGAACTTAGCTCCGAAAAGGTCCTCTGCAAATCTAGAACACTTGTTTTTTTGTTTTTTTGTTTTTTTTCCAAATAAGAAAGTTGAAGAGCAAAACGACGTGTCTAACGTCACACATTGAGCTTTAAAGACAGATGGGATCTGGCATGCGTTTGTCAGTTAACAGTGCTAGCACAAATACAACTCTTGTTAAAATCGTAAGGATTTTATGTCGTGAGACACTCAGGACTCACCTGATCTCGGTGTTCAGTTGTGCGTAGTTTTTGATTTGCGCCTCGCCCTTGGGCAAGTGCAGAATCCTGGGGTTATACAAAGCGCATCACAGTTAACCCCTTTGTCCCAGTCCGCAGAATGAGAGCTCAGAGCCCGGCCATGGGAGGCTCGGTTATATAGGCAGGAAAATCAAGGAACCCAGGTATGAGCAGGGGCGTTTGTGGCGCGGAGAGAGCTCCTATCCCTGCCGTCCATCTACGTCTCAGGCTTGGCCCCTGGCGTGCAGAAAACCGCATCTCCCGAAATCCCAGAACGTAAACGTCACCCAGGTACTCGCTCTCTTGTCATTCTCCGGGATGTAACAGACTCGGGGTCTCTTCACGGATCACCGAAACCGCCTTCTCCGAGGCCTCCAGGGTGACTAAAGAGAGGGTTGGTGTTCTGTGTTCTCCCGCCGGTGTGTTCCTCTTCACGTCCAGCCGCTTGTGTCCGTGCCCGCTAGGGTCTCGGGAGTTTTTATAGGCACAGGATGGGGGCGTGGCGGGCCAGGGTGGTCTTGGGAAATGCAACATTTGGCCGCGGAGGAAGGAGTGCCCGTCCTCACCTAGATCCATGGGCACAGGCCCGGCGGCGGAGCCCTGCTCCCCTCCCTTATCAGTACCGCGGTTAGTGCTCTGCTTTATGGCCGCAGCAATCTCAGACACTCTCGGAGCGTGTTTTTTTTTCTTGTCCTTTCGCTCCCCTTTTCGGGCGCCAGCTTTCAAACCAGACCAAAGGTGTGCTTTTCCCCCATTATCTCCCAGCCTTCTTTCCTTTTCGCCTCTACTCAAGACTGTGTCCACAATTAAGCTCTCAGGAGGAGGAGGCCTCCAGCTGCCTCAAGGAAGGGCATTTCTCGCAGTGCAAAGTGCGGAAGAGGGGAGCCATACCGACTGAAGTATTAACCAGAGTCGGTTTGCATAGAGGCTGCAATGGATAGAATTTCAGAAGTGAGGCGGAAAGACAGGCCAGCCCTGCGAAAGATGGATTGGAGAGAGGTGAGAATCTAGTTCAAAAGCCGGGAGAAGGAACAGGACATTAGCACAATAGTCTAGGCAGAGAGCTGGACCACCTGTAATACGGCAAGGGGGTTGGTTGAGATTTCCTTTATTCAGTTATTCGAAATGTATCTATTGAGCTATTTATTAGTCCCTGGGTACTGTGGGTGTTCCTGCGTATTCAACCACCTTGTCGACGCTGCAGGATGCGGCCCCATTACCCAGGACCCAAAGAACTTCCAAAAATGAATCCCGAGGAACAGCTGTTTCTCTACTGGAGAAGTGGGCAGCCAGGCGGAAACACGCAGGGAAATAGTTCTCTTTGGGACAGAAGGCATCAACCTCGTAAGACCCAGCGATCAGCAGAGCTCCCGGAGAGTGTTTCTTAATCTAAAGGTCATGAGTCGGGCTGCAAAGTTGTCTTGTCGTGCGTAAAATACCAATGGACTTATACCTGTTTCATCGAGAAGGAATACAATGCGAACACAAAGACTGTAATGGAACGTATTTCTCTAAAGTGTCCTTTTCAGATAGAAATACGAGAGCGTTTTCCTGAGTTTTCTAAAAATGGGGTGGGGTAGGGATCAAATACTCACTTCTGGGAAACATGGGCGAATTCAGTGGGAATCGTGCTAGAAGTTACGAGCAGAGGAGCCTGGGTGGGGACTTATACTGGCCTTGACGGCCCGTGGAAAGGAACTGGCGGCAATTCCTTCCGTTTTCCGTCAATTTCTTCACGGGTCGCTCAGAAGCTACGGAAGCAAAGTAGAAAGGAGTGATAGGGACAGGCCACAGTACCGGCGGACGGTGATGGCGTTGCGTTTAAAAGGGTGGTCACTGAAACCCTTTGTCGTGAAACACTGAAGCAGGTGACATTTGAACTTTCCTTCCGCAGAATTGTATTTTAACTGAAATTTCCAGGTTAGAAGAAATTTGCCGAGGATCGTAACCAAGTTAGCAAAGATCGTAGGTTCTTTCCAACTCCAAGAACTTCAGAAAAGTTTCTTTGGTGATTGGAATAACGTTCGCCTTTAAACTTCTCAAGAGAGGTAGGGTCCGTTCCGCCGGCGGGGCCGGTTAGCTCAGTTGGTCAGAGCGTGGTGCTAATAACGCCAAGGTCGCGGGTTCGATCCCCGTACGGGCCACAGGCTTTTCTAATGTTTATTTCACGGGCCACAGGCTTTTCTAATGTTTATTTCACAGTAACAATTATGTGTAGCCACGTCAAAGCTCACAAGAGAAAAAGAATGTAAATGTGTGTGAACCCAGCAATCTACACAGACTTCTAATGCTTGTCTCACAGTAGCAACTGTGGGCAGTGATACAGAAAGTCACAAGAGAACTCACGAAAGTAAATGTATTTGTACCCAGTAACCTTGATAGGACGTAGTTCGCTGAATCGTAGGGTTGCGTTTGCAGTTCAGTGTTCCTGCAAGAGCAGATGACGAAGAGAGCTAAGATTCCAGAAAGAAATTGAAATCCGGGAGGAACGTGAAAAACAGAGACGAAAACACGGAAATAAGGACCTGGGCTTTTCATTCTTTTACGATTTCCAAAGTGTACAAATCTTTCTCTGTCGTGACTAACTCCTGATATGGGCTTTCCTAACTGTGCATCTGCTTACTTCCCGCAGACCTGTCCTTGGCTTGTGCAGGGTAAGTAAAGCCTCTCAAGAACTCCCATTTTTCATTTCTATTTCCTCTCTTTTAGCTTCCCTCACTCAACTCTAGAGATACTGGACTTAAGGAAATGTCCCCATAGAACGCTGAGCCTTTCACCTCCTCTTTGCTCGTCTCACGGCTTTGTTAGACACGAAACCATCTTCTGGAAAATGTCTTCCCTGACACCTCTCCTACTTTTCTGAGTTTGGGTTGCTTTCCTCCTAGCACTCACGGAGATCCAGGTACGCATTTGTTTTAGCGGCATTCACCATGTTGGGATTGTCTGTTGCTTGGCCATCTTCTCCATGAGACCATAAGCTTCTTGGGGGTAGGATGCTTATTGCTAAATACTTTCAAAAGTCTGCATGAGCCAATGAAGAGTGAAGGATAGGTGTGCAGGCATGATGGAAAGAGTGTCTTGTGGTCCAAATGGGCTTCACGGGTCTGTAGAATCCATGCTATCGCAACATAGTGCATTTTGGTCAGACGAACAATAGGCTACACTATATGGTGATTGGCTCCATTTCACTGAACGTACCTCTAAGGCTCTGAGTGGCTCTATATGCCCCCCAGGACTGGATAGTGGTAAAGGACAGAGCATGCGCAATAGATCCAAAGTCAGGCAAGGTCTGAAATGTTTAACTTTGCTGAGGCTGAGAGACAGGAATGAACCCTCTTCCGCGATGGGAATTTCTACTCCACTGATCCATAGTAAATAAAACAGCGAGCCAATGCACCTCAAACCTCTATTTTCTATTACATTAATGTGATTGGTTTTGACATTTTCAAAATTCAAGTGATCACAATGATTTAGAACTAATGTTTACAAAACTATAATTTAGGAAATCCTTAGCTGTAAGCAGACACACCTACACAGAATAAAGAGAGTGATATGCCCTTTACTTCAGTGTCATTTATAACACTGGGGTAATAATACTTGGGGAAGCTGAAAAACTATATTGACCGACTTACGTAAAAATTAAGAAACATTCAGTATAATTTCTAGCACATAGTGCTGAAAACCTCCTTGTATGTGGAATATTGTTCACCTTTAAGGAAAATGCTTTCAAGGTCTGAGGAGAGATAGTAACGCATTTCTGTTGCTACTGGCTGTTTTGCTCATTTAGTTGTAGCAACAAGCTTCTGTGAACATAAAAATGAAATAACGCTTAAAAAAACAAAATAGATGGTGGAGGAACACAATAGGGATGCAAAGTAAGGTATGATTTTCTAGGCAAAAATTGAGCTGTACAAAATAATGTAGTAAAGGATTTGTGCCTGATTCTTTTTTGTATCCCCTTTGAAGCTTATTTAGCTTATATTCCAAGGCCTCAATTGTCATCCTTCTCCCAACAAGACTGTTTCTCTGTACCACGAACATTCTGGTGAAATTCTCTGCTTAAGCATCTTGACCTCTTGAGCACTCATCTTTGTACTGAGACCCCGATATATGCCCAAATGATGCCCTTCCATAGGAGGGTTTCTTGTTTTGCCCAAAGAGCAATCAATTTTTCAAGCAATTTAGGGCTCTTTCCTCACTCGGGGTCTATGTGAAACCTTAGAGGGAAGCCTGTTCTTTCCAGGAAGAGAATCCCGGTGGGTTCTAACCTCAACCTGTAAATCCACTAAGCAAGCTCCTACTGAACACCTATGATGCAAGCTCAATCCAAGAGGCCAGCACGCTGCAAGGGGAAGGCAACCAAAGCAATAGGTAATGCTTACTGAGCAGTTCTTATTGATCAGATCCCTCTCTAGGTGCTGGGATCCAGCCAGAGAATCCCACAGTCCTCATTTCCTACGTGAAGAAAGATGATTGAAGGAAGGAGCAGGAGTGGGGAGTGGGGAGGGGGTGGAGGGTGGGTAAAGGATGTCTTCAAGGTGACAACTTCTCAGATTCCGCTCCTAAAAGCTTCTGAATGGGCCATCTCCACACTCCCAAGTCCCTTACTGCCTGTGGATTCCTTCCCAGTAGACGTTGTCACATAACATCTTATGTATTTTTCTTGTTTGCTTCTGATCTGTTTCTCTTCACCCCTATCAACTAGAAACTAGCTTCGCAAAGGTGAAGAATATATGCGTTTTTTCACTGTTGAATGGCTGTACCCCGAACAGTCTCTTAACAAGATACGTGCTCGAGAAATACATGTAGGATAAAAGAATAAATGACTTCACCCACTCACCTCATAATTACAATTGGGTAACCTTGAGAGCAGAAAGCTCGACAAAAAATTTCCTGTTTCTTCCATCAGCTAGTGAGAAAGACCAATTATATGATATAGCTTGCAGTTTCTTCTGTAATCTATATCCCTTTACCACTCATTTTACTCAAACCACTGACAAGCCAAAAAACAAACAAACAACAACAAAAAATCTCCAAAAAACCGAAATCACTTTTCCATTCTAAGCTAATGTTGAGTCAGTCTTCAAACTGTTATCTCATAGCATTTGCATTTCATTATTTAGTGCACCCATTTTGTTTCCCTCAACTGAAATAGCAGCAAAAACTGTATCCTCTCTGATGTTCAAACTCAAAACCTTTAGATTATGAGATTGATGTGTGGCCTGCTGCAGAAAGAGGGCGGTTCTCACCCAAGAATTGACATCCCACGTGCTATTTTCCCAAGCACTGCTGCTTTATCAGTTCCTAACTTTCAAAGAACACAATCAATGGTGCTTGGAAATCACTCTTTATCAGCCAATCCTGCACCCAAAGAATTTTATCCTCAGGACAGGTGGAATCTACCCATTTCTAGTATTCATCTAACAAGACGACCATCTTGAGGCAAGAGGCCAAGAACAATTGTACCTGTTTTGCTGACTTTTTCCCTCTTGTGGCCCAGTGATCTGACTTCTCCCTCCTTCAGAGATCTTAATCACTCTTACACCTCCTATGGTGTCCTTTTTTGAAAAGACACACAGGACATGTTCAGTCCATAATAGTTCACTGACTGACCAACTGAACGAATGAAGGAATGAAAAAATAGTCTTTAAAGGTGTCTCCTGTCCATACTACTGTGTCTTACTCTCTATCTCCTCTTGCATCTACACGACTGGAGACAATCCTGCTACAAAAAGTGTAAAGCAAATCTTGTATGCCATTAATTATACTAAGAGATTTATTGAATTTACTTCATGTAGTCCAACAGAGTTTCACCAACAAAACTATGTGTCCTAATCTGGACTTTCTAGAAGTAATGGAACCTCAGATAAGTTTTGTTTCCAAGGTGCCAGAGCTGCTAAGTGTCAAAGCTTGAACTGAGGAGAAGATGTTTTAGATTTTAAAACGTGATTCTTTCTCTGCTCCAGTTCACAATCTTACTCCCTACTCCTCTCCACAGCACCCCATTCATTCACACACCAAATATCTCATTCCCCAAATCCCCTTCACTTACCTTTTGGGCTTTGTTTCCAAGTCAACTTTTGACACATTTTTCTCCTTCAAACACCACATCCAGTGATTTGTGAAATAGTAAACATTATTCCTGCACAACATTTTTGAACCTGTCAATTCCTTTCCATTGATTCAGTACACATTCACAGGGAAGATGCTCTGTGCCAGACACTGTGGTAAGTTCAGGAGATTCTAAAGATTCAAGCAGCCCAGACCTCAAGAGAAGGCAGGACAAATATGGAGAAGGGAAGATCCACGTCCAGTTTTACGATTTCAGTCTCCGTGTCATGTCATTTACAGCTAAATAACCCTTTCAAAAATGTCAGTTTCAATATATCACTCTTTTGCACCCTGAACATTCCTGATTTCCTAGTTATAGCATGATCTTGTTTTTCTTTTATTTTTTTTCTCTTCTTTCTACCCAAATTGTGATTTTGCTGTAGAAAGTTGATTGATTAGATCCATTGCTGTATGGATGTTGTTCGGGTCTCAAATGTGTTTACTGATTTATTGTCTACTGGATCTATCAGTTACTGAGAGGGGACTGTTAACGTCTGCAAATGTAATTGGATTTTTCTATTTTTATCTGGATTATCCAATTTTGCTTACGAGTTTTGAAGCCCTGTGTCCTTATATGCATTTGGGACATTATTTCTCTGGTGTGTTGGCACCTCTAATTATGTAACAGCCCCCTTTATCCCTGGAAGTTTTCTACAATTTAAAATCTGGTTTGTCTGATTTGAATATATCCACCACAGCTTTCTTTGAGTAATGCCTAAATGACATATCTTTTCCCATTCTTTACTTTCAATATGCTATATAACTTTTAATCTCACATATAAGTATATTACTAGTGACTTTCCTGTAGTCAGCATATTCATTTATAATACATTCTGACAATTTCTGGTTTTCAATTCATTGTTTTAGATCATTTACATTTAATGTTTTTATAGATAAGTTTTTAGGTAGATCTATTGTTTTTCTTTCTGAGATGGAGTCTTGCTCTTGCCACCCAGGCTGGAGTGCCATGGTGCAATCTCCCCTCACTGCAACCTCTGCCTCCCAGGTTCAAGTGATTCTCCTGTCTCAGCCTCCCAAGTAGCTGGTATTACAGGCACCCGGCTTCATGCCTGGCTAATTTTTTGTATTTTTAGTAGAGACAGGGTTTCACCATGCTGGCCAGGCTGGTCTCAAACTCCTGACATCAGGTGATCCAGCCACCTCGGCCTCCCAAAGTGCTGGGATTACAGGCGTGAGACGCCGTGCCCAGCCGATAGATCTACTTTTTAATAATTTATTAATCATTTGTTCCCCTTGTCTTAATTCTTCTATGTTCTTCTTCCTAGTTTATTTTGGTTTATTTAAATCTGGTTCCTAAGTGGTCTAGGGATCACCATATACATATATAACCTTTCACAGTATACGTAGAATCAATATTTTACCATTCAAGTTGAATATAGAAACTTCATCAGCAGTTAGGCCCTTTACCTTTACCCTTTTATGTTATGTATGTAGCACATCTAGATACAATGGCAACTGCATCAGATAAAGTTACAATTTTTGCTTTCAATCATGAAACATACCTTAAGGAACTCAAGAGAAGAATAATAGTCTGTAATGTCTACCCAGACATTTTCTATTTCGGCTTTCGTTCCTTCACTGATGGTGTCCTGTCTCTTTCTGGTATCATTTTTCTCATCTTAAATCGTTGCTAATTCTTGTCCAGCAGTTCTACCAGCAATGAATTCTCTCAGTTTACCTTCCTGTGAGAATGTATTTATTTACCTTTAGTCTGAAAGATATTTTTGCTCTACATAGCATTCTGGGTTGACAGGTCTTTTCTTTTGGTATTTAGTAAATGTTTCCTTGGGCCCCTATGGTTTCTGATGAGAAGTCCACAGTCATTCAAGTGGCAGTTTCCCTTTTATTTTCATTTGGCTGCCTTCAAGATTTTTATGGTTTTCCTTAGTTTTCAGCAGTTTGATTATGATGTGTCTGGGTATGGATTTCTTTGGGTTTAACCTACTTGACATTTATTGAACTTCTAAAGTGTTTTGATAAATTTGATATGTTTTCAGCCATTAATTCTTCGGAGTTTTCTTTCTGGAGGACCTCTTTCTCTTCTTCCTGCAGGATTACAATGATGTGTTAGATTTTTCTTATTTTTCTGTTTGTCCGGGAGGCTCTGTTCATTTGCAAAAGCACTCCTTTTTCTCTATTGTTCAGGTTAGGTTGGTATTTTTGTTCTGTTTTCAAGTTCATTGACTTTATTCTGAGTGTCTCAATTTTGTTATTGAAATAACCCATTGAAGTTTTTTTTCTCCTAATAGTTTTGATGAATACATTTTTTAATTTTTAAGTTTAAAATCAGTGTTTAGAGCTTCCAGATACTTGCTAAGACTTCCCAACTTTCCATTCACTTCAAGAGTGTTATCCTTTCATTCATGGAGCATTGTTGTAATAACTGCTTAAAAGTATGTGTCAGATGATTGTAACATCTGTGTCTTCTCAGTATTGTTATTCGAGGATTCTCTTTGCCAAGTGAATTAAGATTGCCCTGGTTCTTCATATGCTGAATATTTTGGGGTTGTACTTTGCATTATGTGATGAGACACTGTGTCTTGTTGAAATCTTAAGGATAATATTGCTATTTTTGTTTTTGCAGGCATGTGATTGCCTTGTGTTCAAGTTCCAATAACCAGCCAGCCTTGTGTGTTGTAGTTTCAAAGTCGATTCTATTTTCAAAGCCTTAACACTGCTATTCAGAGACTCTGGAGTATGTGCAACCCAGTGGCCAGTGAGGACTGGAAAGTAGGCTATCACTTAGTTCGATTCTCAGGCTCTTTTTAGATAAGTTGTCTTTGATCAGAGCCACTTATTCACAGCTCACAGGCGCATCCAGGAGTTCACATACAACTTGACAGGTTTGCTCTCCACAGTGTCTTTCCTGGTTACTTGGCAACTCCTAGTTTCGGTCTCCCGATCAGAAAGCTGGGGCTGTATTTACCTGAGTGGCTCTGCCCTGCGCTTTCCATAATTATGCTGCATTTAGGACCAAGCTGCAGGAGGAAACAGGGAGAATAAGTGCAACTGGATATGTCCCTTTGTATCACAGCTCCTCAAAGAAACAGAAAACTAATTACACATCGATAGATCTATACTATACCACATACCAGTAGAATCTTAGTCAAGCCCGTATTGTTGCTGCCCTTACATAATGAGCCAAAGAAGTGTCCAGGCTGCTACTGAGATGAGTGTCTAACTTACTGTTTTCTGAGATCAGTGTCTAACACATATTTTTTTCCACTGTAACCTGGAGACCTGAGGTCCGACTAGTGAAACCTGGAGAATGTGGGCATCAATCCCACTACCTCTCACATGCTAAGCGAGCACTCCACCACTTGAGCTACTTCTTCATCTCACAGCATCTTTTTTCATCCTTAGTGGGCAGTCTAGAACACACGCGACTTCAAGGCCTTCACCGCGAAAGCAGGGCTCCACTAAGAGCAGATCTTCTCATTGATGGCCCAGGGCAAGAGTGCAGTGGGTACTTATTCTCTGTGAGGAGGGAGGAGAAAAGGGAACAAGGAGAAAGTCACAAAGGGAAAACTCTGGTGTTGCCAAAATGTCAAGTTTCACATATTCCGAGACGGAAAATGACATGTCCCACAGAAGGACCCTGCCCAGCTAATGTGTCACAGATATCTCAGGAAGCTTAAATGATTTTTTTAAAAGAAAAGAGATGGCATTGTCACTTGTTTCTTGTAGCTGAGGCTGTGGGATGATGCAGATTTCTGGAAGGCAAAGAGCTCCTGCTTTTTCCACACCGAGGGACTTTCAGGAATGAGGCCAGGGTGCTGAGCACTACACCAGGAAATCCCTGGAGAGTGTTTTTCTTACTTACATCTGAGACATGTGTTGTCTTCTTGCTAAGGTGTGTCATGTAAAAGTTACATATCCAACTGCATGGCAGAACAATAATAACAAAAAAATGCAGATAAGAGGCATAAAGAATAAGAGACAAAGATCATATCAGAGTGAAAGAATAAAGAAAACACATTCAGCAATGCAGAGAAAGAGTGGACATAGGGTGGAGAAAACCTAGGGTAGGTATAGGGTGGAATGTTTGTAGGAATTCCTGTGTAAAGAAATATGCCTGTTCAATTTAAGTGGAGTGTGTGTGTGTGTGTGTGTGTGTGTGTGTGTAAAATATACACGGAGGGAAGTAGTGATTGAAAAGCCTGGATGCTTGGAGATATGTTGGGAGAATATTATAAAAGCTAAAGACTCATTGAAAAAATTCCAGGTAGAAAAGCAGCATTTTAGGGAAAGGTTTTTAGTTTTAAATGTCAAAGAACTTGAAAATGGAAAAACTGGATCTGGGGAGAAAGAGAAAGAAGTCATAAAGATATTAAAGGATTGAGATTTATCCACATTGACTGTGTCAGTTCCTGAGGTGAACAGCATGAGTCTTTCTGCAGCTTCAATCCCCTTCACACTTCATGGTGAAGAAAACATCCTCCATGAACATCATAGCATGGATAAAGAAGGAGGTGAGTAAAACAGAAGAAAAAGATTCTGCAGAGTTTATGCAGGAAGGATCTACAGTATTTGTCAAGACATTGGGTGGAGAGATTTGAGGGAGAGGAGACAAAGGCACTGGCAAGTCTTGAGCCTGGTGTGGCAGACACAGAAGAGATTTTGAATTCATATCTGATCGATGCAAGAATAAATCCACTCATTTATCTGTATTTGGTAAATGAATGAATGTTACATGAGTGAGCTGGTGTGAAGAAAATAGATGATAAGACTATGTGCTAGACTAAAGCAAGAGCTTGTGATTTTTTTCATTGAGAAAGAAATCTGCTTCTCATATCTGGTTTCCCTCTTTAAAGTTATGTGATCTAAGGAAAATGGTTTAACTGCTCTGAGCTTCAGTGTCATCTGTAACACTAGGGTAATAATACTTGGGGAAGCTGAAAAACTATATCGACCAACTTACATAAAAATTAATAAACAGTCAGTATAGTTTCTAGCACATAGAGCTGAAAAATTCTTGAACGTGGAGTATTGTTCACCTTTAAGGAAAATGTTCTGAAGGTCTAAGGAGAGAGATCAGTGCAGTTTTGTTGCCATTGGCTGATTTGCTCATTTGTTTTGTAGCAATAAGCTTCTGTGATGATAAAAATGAAATAAAGTTTAAAAAGTAAAATAGATGGTGGAGAAACACAATAGGGATGCATAGTAAGGTATGATTTTCTAGGCAAAATGGATTTGTACAAAAGAATGTAGTAGTAAAGGATTTGTGCCTGATTCTTGTTGTATTATTTTTGAGTCTCATTTAGCCTGTATTCTAATTCCCCAATTGTTGTGATCCTTCTCCCAACAAGATTATTTCTTTGCACCGTGAACATTCTGGTCAGATTCTCTGCTTAACCATCTTGACCACGTGAGCACTCATCTTTGTACTGAGACCCTGATATAGGCCCAAATGATGCCCTTCCATAGTGGCGCTTCTTGCTTTGCCCAAAGAGCATTCAATTTTTCAAGCCATTTAGGGCTCTTTCCTCACCCGGGGTCTATATGAAACCTTAGAGGGAAGCCTGTTCTCTCCAGGAAGAGAATCCCGGTGAGTTCTAACCTCAACCTGTAAATCCACTAAGCAAGTTCCTACTGAACACGTATGATGCAAGCTCAATCCAAGAGGCCAGGGAGAAGGCAACCAAAGCAGTAGGTAATGCTTACTGAGCAGTTCCTATTGCCCAGATCCATCTCTAGGTGCTGAGATCCAGCCGGAGAATCCTAGAGTCCTCATTTCCCATGTAAAGAAAGACTATTGGAAGAAAGGGAAGCTAAATGATATCTTCAAGGTGACAACTTCCCTGATTCTTCTCCTGAAAAGTGAATGTGTCACCTCCACACTGCCGAGTCCTTTACTGCCTAATGACTCCCTCCCAGTAGATAATATCACATGACTTCTTGTTTATTTTTCTTTTTTGCTTCTGTCTCTTTCTCCCCACTCCCCCCAACATTGACGTAGTATCACAAAGGTGAGAATATCTGTATTTTATTCACTGCGAATTGCTATACCCAAAACAGTCTCTTAACAAGATATGTGTTGAGAACTATCGGTTGGACGATTAAAAGAATAAAAGACTTTACCCACCCCACCCCATAATTATGTCTGGATGACCTTCAGAGCAGGCAATTGGAAGAGAAATTTCCCCTGCCTCCCCTGTCAGCTAGAGAGGTAGACATAAGACATAGCTTGCAGTTTCTGGTGTAATTTATATGCCTTCACCACGCCTTGTACTCAAGCGACTGAGAAGCCAAAAGAAGGAAAAAATAAATAAAGACAGACAGAGAAAGGAAAGGAAAGAAGGAAGGAAGGAAGGAAGGAAAGAAGGAAGGAAGGAAGCAAGGAAGAAAGAAAGAAAGAAAGAAAGAAAGAAAGAAAGAAAGAAAGAAAGAAAGAGAAAAAGAAAGAAAGAAAAGAAAAGAAAACTCACTTTTAAATTTTAAGCTAATATTTGGTCTGTCTTGAAATCATTATCTCATAGCATTTGTGTTCCATTATTTATCACACCTATTTCATTTCTCTTAATGGAAATAGCGGCATAAGCTGTGCCTTGTCTCATGTTCAAACTCAGGACCTTCAGAATACGAGATTGACAGGTGGCCTGCTGCTCTAAGAGAGCAACTGTTCCTAAGAGGTGACATCCAGATTATTAAATCTCATTTCCCACGCACTGCTGCTTTATCAATTCCTAGCTTTTAAAGAACACAATCAATGCTACTTGGAAATCACTCCTTATCAGTCAATGCTGCACTGGAAGAATTCCCCACTCAGGACAGGTGGAGTCCACCCGTTTCCAGTATTCACATAATGATAGGACCTTCTGGCTTGAGGGACCAGACACAATTGTACCTGTCTTGCTGCTTTTTTTCCTCTTGTGGCCCAGTCATCTAGCTTTTCCCTTCTTCAGAGATCTTAGTCATTCTTCCTTTCCGTAGTCTCCTTTGTTGATAAGAAACAGAGGTAGTGCTCAATTCATGATAGTTCATTGAGTGACCAACTGAATGAATGAAGGAAGAAATAGCCTTCCAAGGTGTCTGCCATTCATACTACTCTTACTGTGTATCTACACTTGCATCTCTATGACTGGAGACATTCACTCAACAAAAAATACAAACTAAACTTTTAATCATATCCTCCCTGTTTTTCCTCATATTTTTGTGCCGTGAATTATACTAGGAGACTTAGGGAGTTTACTTGATGTAGTCTGATTGACTTTTGCCAACAAAATTATGCCTTAGTATGCACTTTTTAGAAGTAATAGAGAATCAGATAGGCTAAGTGCGTTTTTGTTGTTGTTGTTTGTTGTTTGTTTGTTCTGTGAGACGGAGTCTCGCTCTGTCTCCCAGGCTGGAGTGCAGTGGCCCGATCTGGGCTCACTGCAAGCTCCGCCTCCCAGGTTCAGGCCATTCTCCTGCCTCAGCCTCCCGAGTAGCTGGGACTACAGGCACCCGCCACCATGCCCGGCTAATTTTTTTGTATTTTTTCAGTAGAGACAGGGTTTCACCGTGTTAGCCAGAATGGTCTCTATCTCTTGACCTCCTGATCCGCCCGCCTCGGCCTCCCAAAGTGCTGGGATTACAGGCGTGAGCCACCGTGCCCGGTCAAGTGTTTTTTTTTTTTTTTTTTTTTTTTTAAATGCCAAAGCTGCTAAGTGGGAAAGCCCGAATTGAGAAGCAGATATTTTTAGATTTTGCATGTGATTTTTTTCCCTCTGCTCCAGCTCACGGTTATTCTGCCCATTCTTTTGCACTTTAGCTCATTCACTCATACACCAAATATCTAATTCCAGACCTCCTCTTTACTTACCTTTTGGGCTTAACTTTTTAAAAATTTTTTTTAAAAATTTTTTTGAGTTGGAGTCTCACTCTGTTGCCCAGGCTGCAGTGTAGTGGCACAATCTTGGCTCACTGCAACCTCTGCCTCCTGGGTTCAAGTGATTCTTCTGCCTCAGCCTCCCGAGTAGCTAGGACTACAGGTGCCCCGCTAGTTTTTGAATTTTTAGTAGAGACGGGGTTCCACCATGTTGGCCAGGCTGGTCTCAAACTCCTGACCTCAGGTGATCTGCCTGCCTTGGTCTCCCAAAGTGCTGGGATTACAGGTGCGAGCCACTGCGCCCGGCCTGGGCTTAACTTTTATATTTTATTTTATTTTATTTTATTTATTTTATTTTATTTTATTTCATTTCATTTCATTTCATTTTAAGACAAGGTGTCACTTTACTGCCAGGGCACTGGTGTGATCTCTGTTCACTGCAACCTCCGCCTCCCGGGTTCCAGTGATGCTCCCACCTCAGCCTCCTGAGTAGCTGGAACTACAGATGCATACCACCACACCCGGCTAATTTTTGTTTTTTTTTGTAGAGACAGGATTTCACTGGGTTGCCCAGGCTGGTCTCAAACTCCTGGCGTCAAGGGATCTGCCCACCTCGGCCTCCCAAAGTGCTGGGATTACAGAAATGAGCCACCACGTCTGGCCTTGGGCTTACCTTTCAAGTCAACTTTGATTCATTGTCTTCCATCAAACACCACATTCAATGATTTGCCAAATAATGAACATTATTCTTGCACAACTCTTTTGAATCTATCAATTACTTTCCACTCATTTAGTACATATTCACTGGGGAGATGCTCTGTGCCAGACACTGTAGTAGGATCAGGTAATTCAGAGGAAGTATAGACACCCTAGACCTCAAAAGAAAACAAGATAAATATAGATGAGGGAAGATCCACCTCCAGATTCACCATTTTCAGTCTTTCTGTCATTTCCAGCTAAATAATGCCTTCAAAACTCTTTCAAAATAACTAAGTCACTATTTCAAACTCTTTCAATAATAGCACCCTTCTATATGATGGACCACTCTTAATTTCCTGGTTATAACATGATCTTACTTTTCTTTTAATTTTTGTCTTTGCTTTCTGGCTAAATTTTTATTTTGCGTTATGAAGTTGATCAGATCCATTGGTGGATGGTGTGGTTCAGTTCTCCAATATGTTGGCTGATTTGTTGTCTACTAAGTCTACCAATGACTGAGAGAGGAGTTTTAGTGTCTTCAACTAAAATTGGATATTTCTATTTTTACCTGGCTTATCTAATTTTGTTTATGAGTTTTGAAAATCTGTGTCCTCATATACATTTGGAACAGTATTCCCTGGAGAATGGACATTCGTAATTATCTAGCAGCCTTCATTATTCCTGAAAAGTTTCTCTGCTTTCAAATCTACTTTGTCTGATTTTAATGTATACACCACAGCTGTCTTTGATTAATGCTTGCATGAGGTATCTTTCCCACTCTTTTCCTTCAATCTGCTATATAACTTTTATTCTGATATATAAGTGTATTGCAGGTGGCTTTCTTACAGTCAGCATATTTACTTTTAATACATTCTGATGATCTCTAGTTTTTAATTAAGGATTTAGATCATTTACGTGTAATGTTAATATAGATAAGTTTTTAGATAGATCTATTTAATAATGTATTAACCTTTGTTCCCTTTGTTTTAATTCTTCTATGTTCCTCTGTCTATCTTGTTTTGGTTTATTTCAATCTGGTTAGTAAGTGGTCTAGGGATTACCATATACGTATATAACTTTTCACAGTATACTTAGAATCAATATTTTACCATTCAAGTTGAATATAGAAACTTCATCAAGAGTTAGGCCCATTACACTTACCCTTTTATCTTATCTATGTAGTACATCTCGATACAATGACAACTGCTTCTGATAAAGTTACAATTTTGGCTTTCAATCATCAAACATACCTTAAGGAACTCAGGAGAAGAAGAACAGTCTGTTATGTCTACCCAGACATTTTCTATTTCTGCTTTCGTTCCTTCATTGACGATGTTCTAAGTTTCCTTCTGGTATCACTTTTCTTATCTCAAATCTTTGCTAATTCTTTTCCAGCATTCTTGCTAAGAATGAGAATGTATTGACTTACCTTCCAATGAGAATGCATTTATTTGCCTTTATGTCTGAAAGATACTTTTGCTCCACATAGCATTCTGGGTTGATAGGTCTTTTTCTTTTGTTACTTACTGAACATTATGACATTTTTTTCTGGCCGCTATGGTTCCTGATGAGAAATCTACACTCATTCATATGGTAGTTTCTTTTTCATTTTCCTTTGACTGCTTTCAAGATTGTTTTGTACTTTCCTCGTTTTCAGCAGTTTGATTATGATACGTCTTGAAATGGGTTGGGTTTCTTTGGGTTTATCCTGCTTGACCTTTGCTGAACTTTAAAAACCTGGTTTATATCTTTTGACAAATTTGATACATTTTCAGCCATTAATTCTTCAAAGTTTTATCCCACAAAGACCTCTTTGTCCTCTTCTTTTCAGATTACAATAATGTGAATGTTAGATTTGCTATTTTTTAATTTGTCCCTGAGCCTCTGTTCATTTACAGAAATACTCCTTTCTCTCTATAGCTCAGATTATGTAGGTATTCTTGTTCTGTTTTCAAGTTCGTTGACTTTTTCTTAGTCATCTGCATTCTGTTATCGAGATCATCCAGTTAAGCTTTTTATTTCCCCTAAGAGTTTTGGTTAATACATTTTTTTAAATTCTTAAGCTTAAAATTGGTGTTTATATATTCCAGATATTTGCTGAGACTTTCCAACTTTCCATTCACTTCACGAATGTTATCCCCTAATTCTAGGAGCATTGTTGTCATAACTGCTCCACTGTATGCGTCAGATGATTTTGACATCTGTGTCCTCTCAGTATTGTTATTCGAGGAGTCTCTTTGCCATGTGAATGAAGATCTCCCTGTTTTTTTCATAATGCCGAAGATTTTGGGGCTTGTAACCTGGACTTCTTTGGATTATGTGATGAGACACTGTGTTTTGTTGAAATCTTAAGAATAATATTGCTATTTTTGTTTTTGCAGGCACAAAATTGCCTTGTATTCAAGTTCCAAGTACCAACCAGCCTTCCACGTGTTGTTGTTTCAAAGATAACTCTATTTGCAAAGCCTTTACGCCACTGTTCAGAGATTTCCGGAGTGTGTGCAACTTCAGTGAGGACTGGAAAGTGGGCCATTGCGCAGTTCAGCTCTCAGGCTCTTTGTAGGTAAGTTGTTTGGGATTAGAGCCACTTATTCACAGCTGGCAGGTGTGTCCACAAGCTCATGAACAACTTTATGGGTTTGCTTTCTACAGTATCTGTCCAGGCACATTCTAGTTACTTGACACATCCTGGTTTCAGTCCCCTGAGCAGAAAGCCGAGGCTGTGTTTACCCAGGTGGCTCTGCCCTGCACATTTCACGATTGTCTGAGGTTTAGGACCAAGCTGCAGGCAGAAACAGGGAGAAAAGAGCAGTTGTATATGTCCCTTGGTTTCACAGCTCCTTGAAGAAACAGCAAATGAATTACACAGTAGATCTACACTATACTGAATGCCAGGAGGGAGCCATCACCAGGCCTGTATTGTTGCTGCTCCTATGTCTTGAACCAAAGCAGCATCCTGCTCTCAGACACTAACTTGGGTTTGGATACTTGAGTGTTTGGAGACCCAAGGTCCAAATAATAAAGCTTGGAGAATGTGGGCATCGATCCCACTACCTCTTGCATGCTAAGCAAGCGCTCTACCGCTTGAGCTAATTCCCCACGTCAGGGGAGCTTTCTTGATCTTTAGTGGGTGTCCTGGAACACAGGGGATTTCAAGGCCTTCAGCGGGAAAGCAGGGCTCTACTAAGAGCAGGTCTTCTCACTGATGGCCCAGGGCAAGGCGCAGTGGCTACTCATTCTCTGCAAAGAAGGAGGAGAAAGGGAACAAGGAGAAAGTCACAAAGGGAAAACTCGTGCTGCCAAAATGTCAAGTTTAGGGTATTCCGGGACAGAAAAAGGCACATCCCAGCAAAGGAGGACATGTCTAGACCTGCCCAGCTAAAGTGTCAGAGATTTTAAAAAAATGATTAAATGATTAAAAATGATTAAATGATTTTGTGTGTGTGTGTGTGTGTGTGTGTGTGTGTGTGTTTGTGTGTGTTTATAAAAGTGGGATGGAATTATCACTTTTCCTTGTAGCTGAGACTGTCTGGGGGTTGTGAGATGGTCCAGATTTCTGGAAGGCAAAAAGCTCCTGCTGTTTTCGTAACTAGGCCATTCCACCAATGAGGCCAGCGTGCTGACCACTCCCATAGGAAACCCCTGGAGAGTGCTTCTTTCACTTACATCTGAGATATGAGTTGCCTCCTTGCTAAGGTGTGTCATGTACAAGTTACATGTCCAACTATATTTCAGAACAACAACAACAAAATTACAGAGCAGAGCCATAAAGAATAAGAGACAAGATCGTATCAGAGTGTAAGAATATGTAAAATATAGTGTAAGAATCAAAATTGAGCTATGCAGAGAAGGAGTGGACATATGGTGGAGAAAACCGGGCTGTTTGTAAGAATTCTTGTGTAAAGAAATAAACCTGTTCAATTTAAGTGGAGAGTGTGTGTGTGTGTGTGTGTGTGTGTGTGAAATACACATGGAGGGAAGCAGTGATTGAAAAGCCTGGCCACTTGGAGATATATTGGGAGAGTTTTATGAAAAATCCCATGACTAACTGAAAATATCCCAGGCAGAATGCTTAAATAATTAAAGCAACATGTTAGAGAAAGGTGTTTAGTTTTGAATGTCAGAGCTTGAACATGAGAAAACAGGAACTGGGGAGAAAGGGAAAGAAGTCATAAAGATATTAAAGGATTGAGGTTTACCCACATTTATCATGTCAGCACCTGAGGTGGACAGCAGAAGTCTTTCTGCAGAGCTAGTGCCCACGACACTTCATGCTGCAGAACACATCCTCCGTAAACACTGTAGCATGAATGATGACAGAGGTGAAAGAAAAGGAAGAAAAGATTCTGGAGACGTTGTACAGGAAGGATCTACTTTATTTGTCAAGATATTGGGTGGAGAGATTTGAGGGAGAGGAGACAAAGACACTGGGACGTCTTGAGCCTAGTGTGGTAGACACAAAAGAGATTCTGAATTAATATCTGATGAATGAATCCGCTCATTTATTTGTATTTGTTATGTGAATGAATGTTACATGAATGACCTGGTGTGGAGAAAACAGATGGCGAGACTATGTGCTAGGGTAAAGCAAGAGCTCAAGTTTTTTTGTTTTTGTTTTTTAATTTAGAAAGAAATCTGCTTTTCATATCTGGTTTTCCTGTTTAAAGCTACGTGATTTGAGGAAAATGGTTTAACTCCTCTGAGCTTTACTGTCATCTACAAAATTTAGATAATGTTACTGAGGGAAGCTGAAAAGTCGTATCAACCAACTTATATAAAGAATAATAAACATTCAGTTCCATTTCTAATGCATACTGCTGAAAAGTCCTTGTATGTGGAATATTGTTCACCTTTAAGGAATCTGCTCTCAAGAGCTGATGAGGGACTATTTAAGTGCAGTTCTGTTGTCACTGGCTGTTGTGCTCATTTAGTTGGAACCAGCAAGTCTCTGTGAACATAAAAATAAAATAAAGATTGTGGAGGAATAGAATATAAACACATAGTAAGGTGAGATTTGCACAACAGAATATAGTAAAGATTTGTGCCTGATTCTTTTTGCATTCTCTTTGAATCATTTTTAGCCTTTATTCTAAGTCCCCAGTTACGGTTATCCTTCTCCCAACAAGATTGTTTCTCTTCACCACGGATATTCTGATGAGGCTCTCTGCTTAACCATCTAGACCTCCTGAACACTCTGTTTGTCCTGATAACCTGATTTATGCTCAAATGATGCTCTTCCACAGCAGGGCTTCCTGCTTTGCCCAAAGAACATTCAATTTCTGAAGCCATTTAGGGCTGTTTCCTCACCCAGTATCTATGTGAAACCTTAGAGGGAAGCCTATTCTTTCCAAGAAGAGAACCCTGCTGGGTTCTACCCTCAATCTGTAAATCCACTGGGGTAACTGGGATTAGCTCAGATTAGCAACTGGGGTTAGCTCAGCTACTCCAGAGCTTGCTCTCTGGGAACGGATGGTGCTGCTACTTCCCATAAAGGCTGACTAAAAAGAGGCATCTGCAGGCAGGAGAAAGCGCTATGGCAGTTGCTGGAAGATTGCTTCTGACCATTGGCTATCTCTCTGACCTGATGGGAGAAGGGTGACAAAAATTGGACACTTGAAAAACAGGCCAAAAAAAAAAAAAAAAAAATCAAAGGAATTTTAAAAGAACCATGCACAAATTCTTAATTAGATTCTTTTATCCAAATCCATTTTGTCTGGAAAATTATGCCTTAGTATGTATCTGTATTCTATTCCTCCATAATCTATTTTATTTTATTTTATTTTATTATTTTATTTTATTTTATTTTAATGTTCACAAGAAGCTGGATGCTAGCTACCAAATGAGCAAATCAGCTACGACAACAGAACTGCCCTAAAGTCTCCCATCAGATATTGATGTAGTCAAGACCCTCATGAGTGCCTATGATACAAATTCAGTGTGAGAGGCCAGCTTTCCACAAGGAGAAGGCAACCAAAGCGGTAGCTAATACTGAGCAGTTCCTATTGCCCAGATCCATCTCTAGGTGCTGAGATCCAGCCAGAGAATCCCACAGTCCTCATTTTTCATATGAAGAAACATGTGAGGGATTGACAACCCCAGTCCTCATGTATCATCAGTTTTCCAAGGAAGCCAACTAGCCTTCTGGGCAAAAAGCTCTCCTAACCCCCAGTTGCCTTGATAGGTAAAAGTACTCTTATGACAGTGTTAGAAAAACATGGGCACAAGTGTTCCGGCAAGATGGCTAGAAGAAGGCAAGGCTAAAGTTGTCAAGGTGACAGAGTCCCTGATTGTCCTCCTGAAAGCTGAATGTGCCACCTCCACATTCCCAAACCCTTTACTGCCTAGCGATTCCCTCACAGTAGACATCGTCAAATCACTTCTTACATATTTTTGATTGTTTCCTGTCTGTTTCTCCCCACTCCTCCCAAGTATGATGTAGTTTCGCAATAGTAGGAATATTTGTGCTGAATACACTTTCACCCCACTCCTCCCAAGTAGGATGTAGTTTCACAGTGGTAGGAATGTTTGCGTTGTATTCACTCTTGACCCCAGTCTCTTAACAAGATATGTGTTCAAGAAATATTTGTTGGATGATTAAAAGAATAAATGACTTCACCCATCCACCCAATAATTAGTGTGAGGTGACCCTGAGAGCGGGAAGTTGGAAGAGAAATTTCCCCTGCTTCCTGTGTCAGCTAGAAAGACCAATTATATGACATAGCTTGTAGTTTCTGGTGTAATCTACTCTTCTGTTTTCACCACTCATTTTACTCAAACCACTGGAAAGTCGAAAAAACAAGAAAACCTAAATTATATTTCCATTTTCTACAAATATTGGGTCAGTCTTCAAATCCTTATCTGCTATAGCATTTGCGTTGCGTTCCGATATTTAGTGTATCCAACTTCTTTGGCAGAAGTGATGCCCTCTCTGAGGCTTGAACTCAGGACCTTCAGATTATGAGACTGACGCGCTGCCAGCTGCGCTAAGAGGGCTTGCTGTTGAGCTCGGGCAACATCCATTTTGTCGAAGTGTATTTCCCACCTACGTTACGGTTTCAGCTTTCAAAAACTACAATCAATCCTACTTGAAAATTACTCTGTATCAATCAACGCTGCACTAGGAAGATTCCATACCCACGACCAGAGGAGTCTACGCCTTTCCAGTATTTCATAGGACCGTCTGGGTTCTGCGTTACCAGGATCAATTGTACCTGTCTTTTGCTGCTCTTTTTCCCTTTTCCTTCCCTCAGAAACCTTAGTCACTCTTACACTTTCCATAGTCTCCTCTGTTGAAAAGAGACAGGAGGTTCTCAGTTCATGATAGTTCACTGACCACCTGGATAAATGAATGAAGAAATAGCCATCAAACCTGTCTCTTGATCATACTACTGTCTTCCTTCATATCTCCACTTGCATCTACATGACTGAAGACATTGCCGCTACAAAAAAAAACACAAAATACTTATAATGGCACCCTCTTTGTTTTTTACCCCTTTGTTTTTTCTTGTGTGCTATTAAGTATACTACGAGATTTCTTGCGTTTACGTAGTCCAGTTGAATTTCGCTAACAAAACGATGTATCCTAATGTGCACTTTCTAGATGTACTGGAGGCTCAGATAATTATTGTTTCTAAGGTGCCAGAGATGCTAGGTGGCAAAGCCTGAACTGACAAGCACATTTATTTTAGATTCCAAAAGGTGAGTCTTTTCTCTGCTCCTGCTCATTATCTCTCTGCCTGTTTTTCTCCACAGTAGTCCATTCATTCATATACCACATATCTAATTCTCAACCTCCTCCTGGGCCTAGATTTCCAAGTCAACTTTGACTCATTGTCCTCCTTCAAACACCACATTCAGTGATTTGCCAAATACTGAACATTATTCTTGCAGGTCTCTTCTGAATCCGTCAGTTCCTTTCTACTCATTCAGTACATATTTGCTGGAGAGATGCTCTGTGCCAGACACTGTAGTAGGCCCAGGAATTTCAGGAGACATTTGGCCAGCCCAGACCTCAAGAAAAAGCAGGATACATATGGACAAGGAAAGATTCACTTACAGATTCGCCGTTATCGGTCTTCCTGCTATTTAAGTAACTGTTTCGGAAATATCAGTTTCAATAATGTCACTTTTCTGCACTCTGACCATTCGTGATTTCCTACTTATAATATGATCTTGCTTTTCTTTGATTTTTTTGGCTCGCCTTTCTACATAAATTGTGATTTTGCTTTATAAAGTCTATTAGATCCATTGGTGGATGGTGTTGTTCTGTTCTCTAAAATGTTTGCTGATTTGTTTTCTCCTGAATCTATCAATTACTGAGAGAGGAGTGTTAACGTCTGCAACTGTAATTGGATTTTTCTATTTTCTTTCTGGTTTATCCATTTTGTTCATAAGTTTTGAAGCTCTGTGGCCAGAAACAGACATATTTAGGACAGTTGTGTCCCTTCGGTGAATAGACGCTTTATAATTATATAACATCTGTCTTTCTATCTGAGGGCCTCATCTCGTGTTAGGCAAGTGAGTGAGATAACCTCTACACTACACTGAGGAAACCCTCAGACTTCCTAAATCTAAGATAGATATATCTAAGATATTCAAGGTATGTATATATCTTAGATTTCTAAGATATATAGGATATATTTATGTTAGATTTATATATATATATATATATACACATACTTATATTCAAGTCTTTTTAAGTTACATCATATAGAACTCACATATTCACATCACATAAGAAAACAGCAAAAATCACAAAAGTATTACAGACAAGAACCATGGGGATTAAAAGATCAGTTTGTAGTAAAGGGATAAATATGAACCTTGAAGGATGCAGATGAGGAAGAATGCACATGAGTTTGAAGGAACAGGCATAGATGTAGGAATTCCTGTGTGAGGAAACATGCCTGTTCACTTGGGATGTGTAGTGCACAAGTGCATATGTGCCTGCTTGTGTGTGTGCCTGTTTATAAAATGAAAGGAAGTAGTGATTGAAATGCCTGTGCACATGGAGATAATGATTGGGAAAACATTGAGACTTAAGAACCCTTGAAAAAATTGCAGACAGCTTACATAACCAAATTAACATTTAAGAAAAAGGTGTTTAGTGTTGGATGTCAAAGAGCTTGGGAACAGGAAGACTGTAATTGAAGAGAAATGGAAAGAAGTTATAAATAGATTAAAGAATTGAGGTTTATTCACATTTATTCCGTCAGCTTCTGAAGTGAACAGCATGAGTCTTTCCGTAGCTCCAGTGCCCATTATACTTTGTGGTGCAGACTACGTCCTCCATAAACGTGGTAGAATGGGCAAGAGAAACATGAGTGAAAGGTAAGAAAAACATTCTGGAGAGGCTGTGCAGGAAAGATCTATGGTATTTGTCAAGACATTGGTGTAAACATTTGAGGGAGAAGTCTTGACACTGTGGCACACAAGAGATCCTGAATTAATGTCTGATGAATGGAACAATAAATCTAGACATTTCTAAGTATTTGTCAAATGAATAGAAGGATGAACAGATGAGCTGGTGTGGAGAAAAACAGATGATGAGACTATGTGCTAAATTACAGAATGAACAAGAGTTTGTGTTTTCTTATTGTGGTAAAATATACTTAACCCATTTTACATTTAAAATTCTAAGTGTTCAATTTAGTGGCATTACGTACATTTACAATGTGAGCAACTATCACCACTACCCATTTCCAGAAGTTTCTCAGCATCCCAAACAGCAACTCTGTACCCATTAAACAATAACTCCACATTTCCCTCTCCCCAACAACCTCTATTCTTTCTGTCTACATGAATTTGCCTATTCAAGATGTCTAAAGTAGAATCACAAAACATGTTTTTAAATTGGGAAAAAATAAGCTTTCTGTATTTGGTTTTGCTCTTTACAGCTACATATTCGCAACTCAGGGGTGCACTCGGTGAGTTGACAAACCACTTGTGGGTTTGCTTTCCACACTCTCAGCAGGACTTCCCGGTGACTCGGAACTCCACTTTACAGCGCCCTGACCAGAAAGAAAGCTGGGGTTTTACTCATCCTGCTCTGCCCTGCATTTTCCAGAGCTGTGCTGCATTTTGGCATTTTGGGTCAAGCTGCAGGAAGGAGAGAAAAGGAACAATTGGGTATATCCCACCCTCTTGGGATCTCCTCTTTCCTCTGAATAAAGAGAAAACAACTTAGAAAATGGGTACTGTCCACTGAACGTTTTAGGGGCTATTATTAGCACTGTTTCTTTATGCCCATAGGTCTTTTACCAGTGAAGCATTCAAGATGGCTGGTACTTCCTCGTTTTCTTCGACAGGTGACTAATGAAGCCGTTCTCCACGTTGTACTGTATGGACATGCGGCCCCAAGTGACAACATCGATCCCACTACCTCTCACATGCTAAGCGAGTACTCTACCACTTGCGCTCACTCGTCACCTACCGCAAAACTTTCTGCCCTTTCCTTTATTCAGGAGTAGATGTGCGCGACTACCCACCATTTCTTGCGTCTCGGAACAAAGGAAATGTCTCGATTATTAGTGGGGAACCAGGACTCGACCTAAGGCGAGTCTACTCAAAAATGGCCAAGGGCAAGGGCATGATGGCTATTCCTCTGCGAGGGAGAGGGGAAAACGTAACCAGGAGAAAGTGGACACTGGAAAAGTCTGGTGCTGTAAGATTTCACGTTCCAGATTTTCAGGGAGAGAAGCGAGCACGTCCCAGCTGGGGAGCGCCCGCCCAGAGCGGCCTGCTAATTTGGCACAGCTATCCCAGGATGACGATCTTTCTTTTAAAAGAGGCGGGATTATCACTTGTTCCTTGCAGCTCTGGACTCCCGGGAAGAAGCGGCCACTCCCGGTCAGATTCTGGGAGACCAGAGAAACCTGTTGTTTCCGTTGAGTTTCAAATAGAGGACCTTCCATGTGTTAGGCCAGCGTGGTAACGACTACACCATAGAAACCCTTTGCATCACAGGCTTTTTATATTTTGAGATGAGCATTAAATACTGGTTTTTACAATTTTTTTAGTTGACAAGTACAAAATGTATATATTTATGATGTACAACATGATGTTTTCATATATGCATACATTGTGGAATGGTTAACTCGAGCTAATTAACGTATCTATTACTTAGTGTGTGTGTGTGATGGGAACACTTAAGTCTACTCTTTTAGCAACTATAAAGTACAGAATACACTTATTATTAACTGTAGTCACCATACGGCACAGTAGATCTGACCTTATTCCTCCTGTTTAACTGAAATTTTGTGTCCTTTGACAAACATCTCTCTAATTCCATTCCTACCTCCCATCTCCTCCCCTAGCCCCTGGTAACTACCATTCTACTCTCTGCTTTGATGAGTTTGACGTTTTTAGAGTTCACATTTAAGTGAGATCGTGCAGTATTTGTCTTTCTGCGCCTGGCTTATTTCACTTAACACAATGCCCTCCAGGTTCATCGACATCGAAAATGACAGGATTTCTGTTTTTTAAAAGACTGAATAGTATTTCATTGTGCAGTTGTAATATTTTCTTTATCCATTCATCTGCTGATAGACGCTTAGGTTGATTCAGCTACTTTAGTAGTAATTCTGCAATGAACATGAGAGTGCAGGTATCTCTTCAATAGCCCGATTTTTGAACATATACCCAGAAGTGGGATTGCTGGATCATATGATAGTGCTCTTTTTAGTTTTTTGAGGAACTGCTGTACAAAACAGCTGCACTAATTTACATTCCTACCAACAACGTACAAGGATTCTCTTTTCTCCACATTCTTGCCAACACCTGTTATCTTTTGCCTTTTTGATAGCAGCCATTTTAACAGGTGTGGTTTTGATTTGCATGTGCCTGATGATAAATGACATTAAGCAAGTTTTCATATGCCTGTTGGCAATGTGTCTTCCTTTGAGAAATGTCTATTAAGGTCCTTTCTCCATGTTTTAATTGGGTTATTTGTTTTCTTGCTATTGAGTTGAGTTCCTGATGTATTTTTTATATCAACCACTTACAGAAGTATGGTTTGCAAATATTTTCTCCCAATCTATCGGTTGTCTCTTCACTGTTGATTTTTTTTGGGGGGGGGCTGTGCAGAAGTTCTTTAGTTTCATGTAATCTTATTTATCTATTTTTGTCTTTTTGCTTTTGGGGGGGTTCATATCCAAAAAATCATTGCACAGACCAATGTTATGGAGCATTCCCCATATGTTTTCTTCTAGAAGTTTTAGAGTCTCACATCTTATGTTTGTCTTCAATCAATTTTTAGTTGATTTTTGTATGTGGTATGAGATAAGGGCCTCCTATCATTTTTCTGCATGTAGATATCCAGTTGTCCCAACACCATTTATTGAAGAGACTATCCTTTCCTCATTATGTGTCTAGGCACGTCTGTCAAAAATTAATTGACTATAAATGTGTGGATTTATTTCTGCCCTCTCTATTCTGTTCCACTGGTTTATATGTCTGTTTTTCCACCAGTACTATGCTGTTTTGATTGCTATATATTTGTAGTATATTTTTAAAGTCAGGTAGTATGATGCCTCCAGTTTTGTTTTTGCTCAAGATTGCTTTGGCTATTTGGGGCCTTTTGTGCTTCCATATGAATTTTAAGGGTTTTTTTTTTCTATTTCTGTGAAAAATGTCATTGGGATTTTGATAGAGATTGCGCTGAATCTGTAGATCACTTTGGGGGGGTATGGATGTTTTAATAATATTAATTCTTCCAATCTATAAACACAGGATATCTTTCCATTTGTGTCTTCCTCAATTTCTTTCATCAGTGTTTAATAGTTTTCAGTATACAGACCTTTCACCTCCTTGGTTAAATTTATTTCTAAGTATTTTTTGTAGCTACTGTAAATGGGATCTTTAAAATTTTTTATTTTGGTTAGGTTGCCATTAGTGTATAGAAATGCTAGCTTTTGTATGTTGATTTTTGTATGTTGTTTTGTATTCTGCAACTGTACTGAAATTGTTTTTTATTTCTAACAGTTTTGATTTTTGGTGAGTTTTTTAGGGTTTTCTATATATAGGATTATGTCATCTACAAACAGGGACAATTTAACTTCTTCCTTTCTAATTTGGATGTCTTTTATTTCTTTCTCTTGCCTAATTGCTCTGGCTAGGACTTCCAGTACTATGTTAAATAGAAGTGGCAAGAGTGGATATCCTTGTCTTATTCCTGATCTTAAAAGGAAAGCTTTCAATTTTTTTCCCCACTGAGTATGATGTTAGATGTGGGTTTGTCCTATAAAGGCCTCTATTGTGTTAAGGTACATTCCTTCTATACCTAATTTTTGAGAGTTTTTAATCATGAAGGAATGTTAAATTTTGTCAAATGCTTTCTCTGCATCTATTGAGATGATGAGATGGTTTTTGTCTTTCATTCTGTTAATACGGTGGATCACACATTTACAGATTTGTATAAGTTGAACCATCTTTGTATCCCTGTGATAAATCCTGCTTGATCATGGTAAATAATTGTTTAAATGTGCTGTTGAATTCAATTCGCTAGTATTTTGTTGAGTATATTTGCATACATGTTCATCAGGGATATTGGTTTGTAATTTTTTTTTCTTTGTAGTGCTCTCCTCAGGCAATGGGTTCACGGTAATGCTGGCCTTGTGAAATGTGTTTGGGAGTATTTCCTCTACTTCAGTTTTTTGAAAGAGATCGAGAAGAACTGGTATTTCCTCTTTAAATGTTTCATCAAATTCAGCAGTGAAGTTGTCAGGTCCTAGGCTTTTCTCTGATGGTAGATTTATCACTGATTTAATCTCCTTACTTGTTTTTGCTCTGTTCAGAGTTTCTGATTCTGTCTTGCAAGTTGCATGTGTCTAGGAATTTATCCAGTTTTTAGGTTATCCAATTTGTTGGCATATAATTGTTCATAGTAGTTTTTAAATAATCCTTTGTATTTCTGTGGTAACAGTCGTTACCTCTTCAATTCATTTCTGATTACATTTCTGATTTTATTTGAGTCTTTGCATTTTTTTTCTTAATCAGTCTAGCTAAAGGTTTGTAAATTTTATTTACCTTTAAAAAAAATTCTTAGTTTGGTTGGTCTCTTTATTTTTTCTATCTTCTGTTTACTTCTTCTGATCTTTATCATTTCCGTCTTCCTACTAACTTTGTAACTAGCTTAGTTGATTGTTTTTCCAGTCCTTGAGGTGTAATGGATGCTAGGTAGTCTATTTGTGATCTTTCATCTTTTTTGATGAAAACTCTCTTAGAACTGCTCTTGTATCCTGTAAGTTTTGGTATATTGTATTTCCATTTTCATTTGTCCCAAAGTAATTTTTCAATTTCCCTTATGATTTCTTCTTTGACCCATTGGTTGTTCAGGAGCATGTTGTTTAATTTCCACATAGTTGTGAATTTTCAAAAATTCCTCCTGTTGTTGATTTCTTGTTTCATGCCATTGTGGCCAGAAAGGATACTTGATATGATTTCAGTCTTCTCAAATTTGTTAAGACTCATGTTGTGGCCTTATCTATGGCCTGTCCTGGAGAGTGTTTCATGTGCACCTGACCAGAATGTGTATTCTGGCTAGGACTTCCAGCACCATGTTAAATAGAAGTGACATTCTACTGTTGTTGGGTGGAATATTCTGTATATGTCTGTTAGGTCCATTTAGTCTAACGTATATATCAAGTCCAATATTTTCTATTGATTTTCTCTCTGGATGATCTGTTCATAGTTGAAAGTGGGGGACTGAAGTCCCCTCATATTATTCTATTGCAGTCTATCTCTTTCTTTAGATCTATGAATATTTGCTTTCTATATTTAGGTGCTCTAATGTTGGGTGCATATAAATTGATAATTGTTATATCCTGTTGATGAATTGACCTTTTTATCATAATATAAAGACCCCTTTCTCTCTTTTCACAATTTTTGACTTTAAGTCTACTTTATCTGATATAAGTATATCTGCTCTCTTTTCATTTCCATTTGCACAGAATGTCTTTTCCCATCTCTTCACTTTCAATCTGTGTGTCCTTAAAGGTGAGGTGAATTTCTTGTAGGCAGCATACAGTTGGGTCTTTTTTGGGATATATTTTTAATAATCCAGTTAGCCATTCTATATCTTTGTATTGAAGAATTTAATCCATTTACATGACGGCAATTATTGGCAGTTAAGGACATAGTATTGACATTTTGTTAAGTATTTTCTGGTTGTTTTTTAGGGTTTTTTGTTCCTTTCTTCCTCTCTTGCTGTTTTGATTGGTGATTCAATTATTTTCTGTGGTAGTATGCTGTTATTTGTTTCTCTTTATCTTTTGTGGATTTACTATAGGTTTTTGTCTCGTGGTTATCGTGAGGTTTACCTAAAACATTTTATAATTATATAATTATAACCGGCTATTTTAAACTTATAACAACTTAAATTTCAATCCCTGTTTATGTATTTCATATGTAGTCACATAACCATACCATATAAGTGAATAGCAAAAAACCAGAAATGTATTACAGAAAGGTGGCAAGGGGCAAGGCCATATTAAAGAGAAGAAATAAAAATAGATATAGCTGAGAAATGAAGATGAAGATGGCACACAGGACAGAAAGAACAGTGATGGTATAGAAATCTTTCAGTGTGTATTGTGGGACATACCTATTTAATTGGTGGGTGTGTGTGTGTATGTTTGTAAAATGCGTATTGATGGAAATAGTGTTGGGAAAGCCTAGACATTTGCAGATATATTGAGGAGAGGATTAACTCCAGGCGGGTGGCTTATGTAATCGAAGCAACATTTTAGGAAGAGGATTTTAGTTGTGAAGTTTAAAGAGGTTGGAATTGGAGAGAAAGCGAAATAAATTATTAAAAAAATTAAGGATCCAGGTTCATCCTCATTTATTCTGTCAGGTCCTGAGGTCAACAGCATGAGTCTTTCTTCATCATCAGCGCCTAATTCAAAATACACTCTAAATAAATGTTGTAGAATGGATGAAAGAACAGACAAATGAGAAAAGAATATTCTGGAGAGGTTGTATAAGAAGGCTCTACAGTATCTATAAAAACCCTAAGTATAAAGATTTGAGGGAGGAGAAGTCAAGGGCAATTGGGAGTTTTGAACCTGGGTGGCAGACACAAAAGAGATTCTGAATTAATGTCTGATAAATAGAAGAACTATTCCACTTATTCAGAGGTTCAAATGTAGATAGTAATGGATGTTGGGGTTTTTGGTTCTTTCTTCATTGGGCATGTACAGGTTGGGCTTGGCAATTATTTCACTAACACTCCAAGTAAAGGACTGTAAAAGGTAAAGAAAACCAAGAGAATGCAGGCTGCATTACAGAGGGTTGGAGCAGACATCCATTCCCCATACTCTGGGCCCAAAATAAGGTTATTTTAGTGGTGATGGGAAGAGCTTTTTGCTAATTGAGACTGAGATTTATGTGGAGATTTAGCCTCAAAAATAAGAAAGGCTGGTATCTGACACTGGAGATGACAGACAGAGAGAAAGCCAGAGTCAGGGAATGAAACATTTGGCATAAACTAAATCCTTAGAAAAAAGTCTCACAGGCAGATCAGGAATACGGTGTATGTGGCAGCAGGCAGTTAACTGTGGTTATTTCCATCTGCCTTGGGCCTCACCTTTGCAGTACTCTGTCTACTGTGTAATGTGATAACATCCAGGGAAAATTCCTCTGGATAACCTACTAAATTACAAACAGAAGAAATGAGGACATTTTTCAAGGTCACACATGAAACCTGGTAGATTTTTTTTCTGTAAGTGCACAGTGAGCTGGAGATTGACCTAATCATGCAATAAATGCTCAGCAGAAAATGCTGTAAAGCAATTCCTTCCTCATCAGTCCTCAGAATCTGGTGAGGGTGAGCTAGAAGGGAAGGGCAGGAAGGTCATGATCCACACTGAGCTGAGCAGTGGGACTGTCTCTGCATTTCACCTCAGGGAAAAGTCTGCTTCACTTTGAGCCTATGCCTTAGAGACACCAAGGAACTGGAAATGGAGTTTCCTTGATTGCTTGGGACTTTGGTGTGCAGTCTCGAGGCTTGAGAAAAAAGAACATTTTCATATTTGGCTCTGCCGTCAGTCTGGTAAGTGGGGTACTCTATTGGCTCATCTTCTGGCTGCCCACAGAGGCCCAGACCCCAGCTGTCAGCCTCTGAACTCCGCCACTTTTGCTCCAGACCCAGAAGAGTGGACTCATTTTCAACACTGAGGCCACAACTCAAATGTCACTGTCTCAGAGAGCCCTTCTTTGACCTCTCCAGCTGAATCAATGTCCTGTCTCTCTCTCCATCTTTTAAATAAAATTTTTAATAAATTGGAAAACATATTAAATTATTGTTTTATTTTCTATCTCTCCCCTAGAATATAAGCTTCTTGAAAAGCTGACAATCTAGATCCCCCAGTTTATACCCAGTGTCTACAGTTATGATAATACTTTTCTTGTATTTTCCTGTTCAGAAATCAGTGACATGCAGAGGGAAAGCTTTCTTCTGTGTGTTTTCTTTCACAGGGTAAGTTCAAAAAGAATTCTTAAACCAAGATAAGATGGCAAGCTGTGAGCCTTTCTGGTTTTCTGGAATGAGCAAGATAATTAGCCACAGGTGAAAATAAGCAAGATTCGTCTACCCATGAAGATTTTGCAAAGTTATTTCCACTTTGTAATCATAAAGTATGCCCTTTTGAGCTCTTACTGGTTTGATGAAAAGGCAATTGGCATGACAAATTTGTAATAAGTAGAAGTCATCAGCTTTTCCCAGTGGCCTGTCATGATCCTATAGTGGTTAGTATTCTGCCTTGTGGCTGCAACATCTGTGGGAATCTGAATATGACAGTCTGAAGTCGACTGCTTTTTTAATTAATCCCAGAAACTAATTCTAAGGCTTTAATGCGGAGCTAGGTTTTGTGTTATTTAGAACATATATAAAGAAAACCTTCTTTGACTCCTTTCTAGGCACTGATTATCAAACCAGACAAGAATGAGAAAGCATGAATTTTTACAATCCATTATCCTTCAGCTTCCCTTTTCTTTCCATCTCCACTCAAGGTGGTATCCACAGTTACATTTAAAAATGAGGAGCTATCAAGATGCCTTGCTCAAAGGTATTTGCAAAGTCTCAGAAGAATAAAACAACAGGTTTTGAAGGTGAATTAACAATGATTTTGTTTTCTGAGAGTGTGCATAGGATTGAATTCCAGGAGTAAAGCTGCGAGAGAGGCCAGCTTTTTAGGAAGGGCTTTGAATGTCAGGATAAAATGTTTAAGCACTGTAAGCAAAGTTTGCTGGTAAATGAATTTAGGAGAGACTGTAACTGAATTTGCATTTCAGTACCATTCCAATAGGGCACAGAGTTGAGAATTGAGTGCAAAGATCATGAGGAAGGTCAGGGTATTACCATAATGGTCTAGGCAGAGAAAGTATACATCTTTAATAGGGCAAGACAATGGAGTTAGACACCTTCATTCATTCAACAAATCTTTATGTGGGGGCATATGGCATGCCCCTAGGCTCTGGGGATGCTGAGTGCCTGTCTGAGGATTCAGCCACTGAATGGTTGCTAGATGGCATTGACCCATGGGTCACGAGTATGAGGCGCTTTAAAAATTTAATCTCATGTGGAATTACATGGGGAGATTCCAAGGAACCACTTGCGCTGGTGCGTCCGCGGCCGTCGCGAGGCGTCCGTCCTTCCCCGAGGGCGAGCTCCGGGCAGGCAGGGACTCGCCACCCGCAGCCCTGGAGCCGGGCCGTGAGCGCCTGCGCGGCGCTGGGTCGCTGTCCAGGAGATGTCTGCGCGGGAGACCCAGCTAAGCCTTGTGCGGCTACCTCCTCCTGGCTGATCCCAACCCGGTCCCCCAGCCACTCGATAGAAACACGATTCACATCGTCCCCGTTCCTGAGTGAAGGTCTCGTCTCCCACGACCTGCTTCGCCTCGCTCGTGATGATTTCCTACACTTGACTAGGGTTCCCGGTGCATTCGGCCCTCCCTCCTTAAGCTTCTGTCCTCTATCCGTTATGAAATCGTGTAACTTGTTTGGTGTGAACTGAGACAGCTGAACTTCGGAAGAAATTAGGCAGGATTCCCTGAAAAATGTGTGTGTGTGAGTGTGTGATTATATATATATAACTGCTCCTTGCGGAGCAGGGCTAATCAGGTAGCGTGCCCAGAGTAATCAAAATTTTTGTTAATTCTCAGGAGGGGGCATTAAAACAAAGAGCCAAAAGTTCTAAAACGGGGGACTTTTCACTCGAAATGGGCTGATGCAGAAGATACCATTAGTCAATTTGTACCAGATTCTTGATTTATTCCCTTGTAAATCTTTTCCAGCCTTCTTCACCTTCCTCCACCCAATCTTTCTCAGGTGTGTTATGATCCAACAAGGGTAATAATGCAAGTTTTATGAAGATCTCCTTATAAAGAAAAGGTTTCGGAAATACTGCTTTCTGTTTACTTTTTGATATGTGGATGATAAACAACACCCCATCTTTCCAGAACACAAGGAGGGGGCGACTTCAAGCTAGCAGTTGAATCAGGAATCTTCTGATACATTATGCTTTGCATCATTGGCTCTGCTTAAGTCAACATGGTTTTTCAAAAAAATTGTTTTGTGTTAAATTTTATTTGTAAAACTTTCTACCAAATAAAGATGTGCAGATTAAATAAAATTTCTAAATGTGGTTGATAGCACTTGGCCTCCCTGCCATTTGTCTGCTCTCAGCTTTCCAGCTGAAAAAAATGAAAAGATTCATGGTCTTCTTGAAGTGTCATTAGTTCAATTTCCTGCCAGCCTCGGGTCCTTGACCTCAGTGGTGAGGAACGTGAAAGCAGCAGATGATGGAGATTTTAGGATTTTGTTGCTTGAAAAGGAAACCAGGTGTCAGGGACCGGTATGAACAAATGAAATAACAGAAACACTGGCAAATCCTATCAGGCTACTCATTCTCAAGAGTAGTGTTCCTTTCTGTACTTTTAGTGTACAGAGTATTCATCTCAATTGTGACTTTTATCAGAATTGTAAACAGCTGTTTGCTCAACTGTCTTCCCTACTCCATTGTAATATTCCTTGAGGGCAGCACATTCAGTGTCTACAAAAACTAATTTTACCTTAAAATTCTGCACACATGCATGTAGGGTTGAGTGAGAAAAAATGCTTGCAAGAATCAGGAAAAAGTTTTAACTTGTAAAACAGGTAGGCTCACAGGTGTATGATCCTATGCTATTCCAACCCATATGTTTAAATGAGAAAACAGCGGACTGCTATATACAAAAGTGGTTTTCTGGGTTCTCGGATATAATAACTTTGCGGCTCACAATGGCTCTTATATCCTTAAGGCAGGAGAGAGTTGGGGCTGGGCATGTGTCAATTAAATCTAAAGCCACTGACAGACCATAGGGCTAGGCTGGAGCCAGTGGCTGAGAAGTTGGCCTCCTAAGTGAGGAGAATGTCTAATTTGCTGACAGGAAAGCAAAAGCTCAGTGAACCAAGTGCACGCCAGACAGACATTTTTCATACCTTTTATATGGCTGGTTTGAGTTAATGCCAGTGATTAGGATTTAGAACACAAAACCCACCAAACTTCTTTATGAAATATTTAGCACAAAGATCTCTACATTACTGGAAAAAACTCAGGAAACTCTTAGCAATAGCTCCACAACATTAAAAACACTCAACTGGCTTTTAAAAAGTAAATTTATTACCACACATAATAAGTCCAGAGAGTAGAGAGATTCCATCATGTCATCAAGACCCATGATAAATCTTTAAATATTTTGATTTTTTTGAACTTTACACTCTGTTACTCTCAATATATGGGTCTCATACTTTGGCCGGTTCCTCTGCAGTGCCTCAAACTCTGTCCCCTGAGCAGAAAGCCGGGGCTGTATTTACCCAAGTGGCTCTGCGCTGCACTTTTCATAATTGTCTCACATTTAGGACAAAGCTGCAGGTAGAAACAGGGAGAAAAGAGCAGTTGTATATGTCCCTTGGTTTCACAGCTCCTCAAAGAAACAGAGAATTAATTACATGGTAGATCTACACTATACTGAATGCCAAGAGGGAGCCATCACCAGCCCTCTATTATTGCTGCTCCTACGTCTTGAACCAAAGCAGCATCCTGTTCTCAGACACTAACTTGGGTTTGGAGACCTGAGTGTTTGGAGACACGATGTCTAAATAATAAAGCTTGGAGAATGTGGGCATCGATCCCACTACCTCTTGCGTGCTAAGCAAGCGCTCTACCACTTGAGCTAATTCCCCACATCAGGGCAGCATTATTTATTGTTAGCAGGTGGCCTGGAACACAGGTGATTTCAGGGCCTTCAGCAGGAAAGCAGGGCTCTAAGAGCAGATCTTCTCATTGATGGGCCAGGGCAAACAGCAGTGGCTACTCATTGTCTGCAAAGAAGGAGGAGAAAAGGGAACAAGGAGAAAGTCACAACGGGAAAACTTCACGCTGCCAAAATGCCAAGTTTAGAGTATTCCGGGACAGAAAAGGGCACGTCCTAGCAAAGGAGGACCTGCCTAGACATGCCCAGGTAAAGCATCACAGATTTTTAAAAAATGATTAAATACTTAAAAATGATTAAATGATTTTGTGTGTGTGTGTGTGTGTGTGTGTGTGTGTGTGTGTGTGTGTGTGTGTTTATAAAAGTGGGACCAGAAACAATTGTAACTGTCTTGCTGCTTTTTTTCCTCTTGTGGCCCAGTCATCTAGCTTTTCCCTTCTTCAGAGATCTTAGTCACTCTTCTTTTCCGCAGTCTCCTTTGTTGATAAGAAACAGAGGCGGTGCTCAATTCATGATAGTTCACTGAGTGACCAACTGAATGAAGGAAGGAAGAAATAGCCTTCCAAGGTGTCTCCCATTCATACTACTCTTACTGTGTATCTACACTTGCATCTCTATGACTGGAGACATTCACTCAACAAAAAACATAAACTGAACTTATAATCATATCCTCCCTGTTTTTTCCCCAATTTTTTGTGCCATGAATTATACTAGGAGACTTAGGGAGTTTACTTGATGTAGTCTGACTGAATTTTGCCAAAAAAACTGTCTTAGTCTGCACTTTATGCACTTTTTAGAAGTAATAGAGGCTCAGATAAGTTAAGTGTTCCTAAGGTGCCAAAGCTGCTAAGTGGGAAAGCCTGAACTAAGAAGCAGATATTTTTAGATTTTAAATGTGATTTTTTCCCTCTGTACCAGCTCAGTTATTCTGCCCGTTCTTTTGCACTTTAGCTCACTCATTCATACAACAAATATCTAATTCCAAACCTCTTCCTTACTTACTTTTTGGGCTTAACTTTTTTTTTTTTTTTTTTCGACAGAGTGTCACTCTGTCGCCCAGGCTGCAGTGCAATGGTAAGATCTTGGCTCACTGCAACCTCTGCCTCCCGGGTTCTAGTAATTCTCCTGTCTCAGCCTCCAGAGTAGCTGGGACTACAGGTGCCTGCCACCACGCTTGGTTAATTTTTGTATTTTTAGTAGAGACGGGGTTTCACCATGTTGGCCAGGCTGGTCTCAACCTCCTGACGTCACGTGATCAGCCTACCTTGGCCTTCCAAAGTGCTGGGATTACAGGCATGAGCCACCCCTCCTGGCCTGGGTTTAACTATTTTATTTTATGACAGGGTCTCACTTTGTTGTCCAGGTACCGGTGCGTTCTCTGTTCACTGCAACCTCCACCTCCTGAGTTCAAGCGATCCTCCCACCTCAGCCTCCTGAGTAGCTGGAACTACAGATGCATACCACCACACCCGGCTAATTTTTGTATTTGTTGTAGAGACAGGTTTTCACTGTGTTGCCTAGGCTGGTCTCAAACTCCTGGTGTCAAGGGATCCACTGATCTCGGCCTCCCAAAGTGCTGGGATTACAGAAATGAGCCACCACGTCTGGCCCTGGGCTTACCTTTCAAGTCAACTTTGATTCATTGTCTTCCTTGAAACACCACATTCAGTGATTAGTCAAATAATGAACATTATTCTTGCACAACTCTTTTGAATCTATCAATTACTTTCTACTCATTTAGTACATATTCACTGGGGAGATGCTCTGTGCCAGACACTGTAGTAAGATCAGGTAATTCAGAGGAAGTATAGACACCCCAGACCTCAAACGAAGACAAGATAAATATGGACAAGGGAAGATCCACCTCCACATTCACCATTTTCAGTCTTTCTGTCATTTCCAGCTAAATAACGTCTTCAAAAATGTTTCAAAATAACTAAGTCACTATTTCAAACTCTTTCAATAATAGCACCCTTCTATACGCTGGACTACTCTTAATTTTCTCATTATAACATGATCTTGCTTTTCTTTTAATTTTTGTCTTTGCTTTCTACCTGAATTTTTATTTTGCATTATGAAATTGATAGGTCCATTACTGGATGGCATGGTTCAATTCTCCAGTATGTCTGTTGATTTGTGTTCTACTAAATCTTCCAATTACTGAGAGAGGAGTGTTAATGACTGCAACTATAACTGGATTTTTCTATTTTTACTTGGCGTATCCAATTTTGTTTATGAGTTTTGAAGCTCTGTGTCCTCATATACATTTGGGACAATATTCTCCTGAAAAATTGACAATCATAATTATTTAGGAGGCCTCATTATTCCTGAAAAGTTTCTCTGCTTTCAAATCTACTTTGTCTGATTTTATATATATACACCACAGCTGTCTTTGATTAATGCTTGCATGAGGTATCTTTTCCCACTCTTTTCTTTCAATCTGCTCTATAACTTTTATTCTTATTTATAAGTGTATTGCAGGTGGCTTTCTTTAGTCAGCATATTTATTTTTAACACATTCTGATGATCTCTAGTTTTTACTTAATGCATTTAGATAATTTACATATAATGTTATTATAGATAAGTTTTTAGATAGATCTACTATTTAATAATTTATTAACCTTTTTTCCCTTTGTTTTAATTCTTCTATGTTCCTCTGTCTATCTTGTTTTGGTTTATTTCAATCTGGTTGTTAAGTGGTCTAGGGATTACCATATACATATATAACTTTTCACAGTATACTAAGAATCAATATTTTACCATTCAAGTTGAATATAGAAACTTCATCAAGAGTTAGTCCCATTACATTTACCCTTTTATCTTATGTATGTAGTACATCTAGATACAATGACAACTGCATCAGATAAAGTTACAATTTTTGCTTTCAACCATCAAACATACCTTAAGGAACTCAAGAGAAGAATAATAGTCTGTTATGTCTACCCAGACATTTTCTATTTCTGCTTTTGTTCCTTCATTGATGATGTTCTAAGTTTCCTTCTGGTATCACTTTTCTTATCTCAAACCTTTGCTAATTCTTTTCCAGCAGTTTTGCTAGGACTGAGAATGTATTTATTTACCTTCCAATGAGAATGCATTTATTTGCCTTTATGTCTGGAAGATACTTTTGCTCCACATACCATTCTGGGTTGATAATGTATTTTTCCTTTGGTATTTACTGAATGTTATGACATTTTTTTCTGGCTCCTGGGTTCCCGATGAGAAATCTACAATCATTCATTTGGTATTTTATCTTTCATTTCCCTTTGGCTGCTTTCAAAATTGTTTTGTGTTTTCTTAATTTTCCGCAGTTTGATTATGATATGTCTTGCAATGGGTTTCTTTTGGTTTATCCTGCTTGACATTTACTGAACTTTAAAAATCTGGTTTATATCTTTTGAGAAATTTGATACATTTTCAGCCATTAATTCTTCACAGTTTTATCCCACAAAGACCTCTTTGTCCTCTTACAATAATGTGAATGTTTCCAGATTACAATAATGTGAATGTTAGATTTGTTATTTTTTATTTGTCCCTGAGCCTCTGTTCAGGGACAATAAAATCCTCCTTTCTTTCTATAGGTCAGATTCTGTAGGTATTCTTGTTCCGTTTTCAAGTTCATTGACTTTTTCCTTAGTCTTCTGCATACTGCTATTGAGATCATCCAATTAAGCTTTTTATTTCCCCTAATAGTTTTGGTTAATACTTTAATTCTTAAGTTTAAATTGGTGTTTACATATTCCAAATATTTGGTGAGACTTTCCAACTTTCCATTCACTTCATGAATGCTATCCCGTAATTCTAGGAGCATTGTTATAATAACTGCTTTAATGTATGTGTCAGATGATTTTGACATATGTGTCCTCTCAATATTGTTATGCAAGGATTCTCTTTGCCATGTGAATTAAGATCTCCCTGGTTTTTCATAATGCTGAATATTTTGGGGCTTGTAACCTGGACTTCTTTGGATTATGTGATGAGACACTGTGTCTTGTTGAAATCTTAAGGATAATATTGCTCTTTTTGTTTTTGCAGGCACACAATTGCCTTGTATTTAAGCTCCAAGTACCAACCAGACTTCCATGTGTTGTTGTTTCACAGATAACTCTATTTGAAAGCCTTGACACTGCGGATGAGAGATCTCTGGAGTGTGTGCAACCAGTGGTCAGTGAGGACTGGAAAGTGGACCATTGTTTAGTTCAGTCCTCAGGCTCTTTTTAGGTAAGTTGTTTGGGATTAGACCCACTTATTCACAGCTGGCAGGTGCGTCCACAAGCTCATGAACAACTTTATGGGTTTGCTTTCTACAGTATCTGTCCAGGCACATTCTAGTTACTTGACACATCCTGGTTTCAGTCCTCTCACCAGAAAGCCAGGGCTGTATTTACCCAGGTGGCTCTGCCCTGCACTTTTCACAGTTGCCTCACATTCAAGCTACAGGCAGAAACAGGGAGAAAAGAGCAATTGTTTATGTCCCTTGGTTTCACAGCTCCTCAAAGAAGCAGAAAATTAATTACACGGTAGATCTACACTATACTGAATGCCAGGAGGGAGCCGTCACCAGCCCTGTATTGTTGCTGCTCCTACATCTTGAACCAAAGCAGCATCCTGTTCTCTGACTTGGGTTTGGAGACCTGAGTGTTTGGAGACCCAGGGTCTAAATAATAAAGTTTGGAGAATGTGGGCATCGATCCCACTACCTCTTGCATGCTAAGCAAGCGCTCTACCACTTGAGCTAATTCCCCCACATCAGGGGAGCTTTATTGATCCTTAGTGGGTGGCCTGGAACACAGGGGATTTCAGGGCCTTCAGCGGGAAAGCAGGGCTCTACTAAGAGCAGATCTTCTCACTGATGGCCCAGGGCAAGGTGCAGTGGCTACTCATTCTCTGCAAAGAAGGAAGAGGAAAGGGAACAAGGAGAAAGTCAAAAAGGGAAAACTCACACTGCCAAAATGTCAAGTTTAGGGTATTCCGGGACAGAAAAAGGCACATTCCAGGAAAGGAGGCCCTGCCTAGACCTGCCCATCTAAAGTGTCACTGATTTTTAAAAAATGATTAAATAATTAAAAATGATTAAATGATTTTGTGTGTGTGTGTTGTGTGTGTGTGTTTATAAAAGTGAGATAGTATTATCACCTGTTCCTTGTAGCTGAGACTCTCTGGGGATTTTGAGATGGTACAGATTTCTGGAAGGCAAAAAGCTCCTGTTGTTTTCATAACTAGGCCCTTTCAGGAATGAAGCCAGCGTGCTGACCACTACCTTAGGAAACCCCTGGGGAGTGCTTCTTTCACTTGCATCTGAGATATAGGTTGCCTCCTTGCTAAGGTGTGTCATGTACAAGTTACATGTCCAACTATATCTCAGAACAACAACAACAAAATTACAGAGCAGAGCCATAAAGAATAAGAGACAAGATCATATCAGAGTGTAAGAATATGTAAAATATTAGAGTGTAAGAATCAAAATTCAGCTATGCAGAGAAGGAGTGGACATATGGTGGAGAAAACCGGGCTGTTCGTAGGAATTCCTGTGTGAAGAAATAAACCTGTTCAATTTAAGTGCTGTGTGTGTGTGTGTGTGTGTGTGTGTGTGAAATACACACGGAGGGAAGCAGTGATTGAAAAGCCTGGCCACTTGGAGATATGTTGGTAGAGTTTTATGAAAACTCCCAAGAGTAATTGAAAAAATCCCAGGCAGAATGCTTAAATAATTAAAGCAACATGTTAGAGAAAGGTGTTTAGTTTTGAATGTCAGAGCTTGAACATGAGAAAATAGAAATTGAAGAGAAAGAGAAAGAAGTCATAAAGATATTAAAGGATTGAGATTTACCCGCATTTATCGTGTCAGCTCCCGAGGTGGACAACAGGAGTCTTTCTGCAGCGTCAGTGCCCATCACACTTCCTGCTGCAGAATACATCCTCCATAAACACCATAGCATGGATGATGACAGAGGTGAATGAAAAGAAAGAAAAACATTCTGGTGATGCTGTGCAGGAAGGATCTACAGTATTTGTCAAGACATTGGGTGGAGAGATTTGAGGGAGAGGAGACAAAGACACTGGGAAGTCTTGAGCCTAGTGTGGTAGACACAAAAGAGATTCTGAATTAATAGCTGATGAATGAATCCACTCATTTATTTGTATTTGTTATGTGAATGAATGTTACATGAATGACCTGGCATGGAGAAAACAGATGGTGAGACTATGTGCTAGGGTAAAGCAAGAGCTCAAGTTTTTTTTTTTTTTTAATTTAGAAAAAAATCTGCTTTTCATATCTGGTTTTCCTATTTAAAGCTATGTGATTTGAGGAAAATGGTTTAACTCCTCTGAGCTTTAGTGTCATCTACAAAATTTGGATAATGATACTGAGGGAAGCTGAAAAGCCGTATCAACCAACTTATACAAAAAATAATAAACATTCACTTCCATTTCTAATGCATGGTGCTGAAAAAGTCCTTGTATGTGGAATATTGTTCACCTTTAAGGAACCTGCTCTCAAGAGCTGATGAGGGACTTTTTTTAGTGCAGTTCTGTTGTCACTGGCTGTTGGGCTCATTTAGTTGGCACCAACAAATCTCTGTGAACATAAAAATAAAATAAAATAAAGATTGTGGAGGAATAGAATACAAACACACAGTAAGGTGAGATTTGCACAACAGAGTAAAGGATGTGTGCCTGATTCTTTTTGCATTCTCTTTGAATCATTTTTAGCCTTTATTCTAAGTCCCCAATTATTGTCATCCTTCTCCCAACAAGATCGTTTCTCTCCACCGCAGATATTCTGGCCAGGCTCTCTGGTTAACCATCTTGATGTCCTGAGCACTCTGTTTGTACTGAGACTCTGATTTATGTTCAAATGATGCTCTTCCATAGCAAGGCTTCCTGCTTTGCCCAAAGAGCATTCAATTTTTCAAGCAATTTAGGGCTCCTTCCTCACCCAGTATCTATGTGAAACCTTAAAGGGAAGCCTATTCTTTCCAGGAAGATAATCCTGTTGTGGTTTTAACCTCAATCTGTAAATTCGCTGGGGTAACTGGGAAAGAAGTCATAAAGATATTAAAGGATTGAGGTTTATCCACATTTACTGTGTCAGCTCCTGAGGTGAACAGCATGAGTCTTGCTGCAGCTTCAGCCCCCATCACACTTCATAGGTGAAGAAAACATCCTCCATAAACACTGTAGCATGGATAACAGAAGGAAAAGATTCTGGAGAGGTTATGCAGGAAGAATCTACAGTATTTGTCAAGACATTGGGTGGAGAGATTTGAGGGAGAGGAGACAAAGGCACTGGCAAGTCTTGAGCACAGTGTAGCAGACACAGAAGCGATTTTGAATTAGTATCTGATGAAAGCAAGAATAAATCCACTCATTTATCTGTATTTGGTAAATGAATGAATGTTACATGAGTGAGCTGGTGTGAAGAAAACAGATGATGAGACTATGTGCTAAGTGAAAGCAAGAGCTCATGATTTTTTCATTTAGAAAGAAATCTGCTTCCCATATCTGGTTTCCCTCTTTAAAGTTATGTGATCTGAGGAAAATGGTTTAACTGCTCTGAGCTTCAGTGTCATCTATAGTACTGTGGTAATAATACTTGGGGAAGCTGAGAAACTATATCGACCAACTTACATAAAAATTAATAAACAGTCAGCATAGTTTCTAGCACATAGTGCTGAAAAAGTCCTTGAACGTGGAGTATTGTTCACCTTTAAGGAAAATGTTCTGAAGGTCTAAGGAGAGAGATCAGTGCAGCTTTGTTGCCATTGGCTGATTTGCTCATTTATTTTGTAGCAACAAGCTTCTGTGATGACAAAAATGAAATAAAGTTTAAAAAGTAAAATAGATGGTGGAGAAACACAATAGGGATGTATAGTAAGGTACGATTTTCTAGGCAAAATGGATTTGTACAAAAGAATGTAGTAGTAAAGGATTTGTGCCTGATTCTTGTTGTATTATTTTTGAATCTCATTTAGCCTGTATTCTAATTTCCCAGTTGTTGTAATCCTACACCCAACAAGATTATTTCTTCGCACCATGAACATTCTGGTCAGATTCTCTGCTTAACCATCTTGACTTCCTGAGCACTCATGTTTTTACTGAGACCCTGATATATGCCCAAATGATGCCCTTCCATAGGAGGGCTTCCTGCTTTGCCCATAGAGCATTCAATTTTTCAAGCAATTTAGGGCTCTTTCCTCAACCAGGGTCTGTATGAAACCTTAAAGAGAAGCCTGTTCTTTCCAGGAAGAGAATTCCAGTGGGTTCTAACCTCAACCTATAAATCCACTAAGCAAGCTCCTACTGAACACCTATGATGCAAGCTCAATCCAAGAGGCCAGCACTCCACAGGGGGAAGGCAACCGAAGCAGTAGCTAATGCTTACTGAGCAGTTCTTATTGATCAGGTCCATCTCTAGGTGCTGTGATCCACCCAAAAATATCCCACAATCCTTATTTCCCATGTAAAGAAAGAAGATTGAAAGAAAGGGAAGCTAAATGATAGCTTCAAAGTGACAACTTCCCTGATTCTTCTACTGAAAACTGAATGTGTCACCTCCACACTGCCGAGTCCTTTACTGCCTAATGAGTCCCTCCCAGTAGATATTATCACATGACTTCTTGTTTATTTTTCTTCTTTGCTTCCTGTCTGTTTCTCCCCACTCCTTGCAACTATGACGTAGTATCACAAAGGTGAGAATATCTGTGTTTTATTCACTGTGAATTACTGTACCCAAAACAGTCTCTTAACAAGGTATGCGCTTGAGAAATATTTGTTGGATGATTAAAAGAATAAAAGAGTTCACCCACCCCACCTGATAATTATGTTTGGATGACCTTCAGAGCAGACAATTGGAAGAGAAATTTCCCCTGCTTCCCTTGTCAGCTAGAGAGGTAGACATATGACATAGCTTGTAGTTTCTTGTGTAATTTATATCTCTTCACCATGCCTTGTATTCAAACCACTAAGAAGCCAAAAGAAGGAAAAAGAGAAAAAGAAAGAAAGAAAGAAAGAAAGAAAGAAAGAAAGAAAGAAAGAAGAAAGGAAGAAAGAAAGAAAGAAAGAAAGAAAGAAAGAAAGAAAGAAAGAAAGAAAAAAGAAAAGCTCATTTTTAAATTTTAAGCTAATATTTGGACTGTCTTGAAATCATTATCTCATAGCATTTGTGTTACATTATTTATCACACCTATTTCATTTCCCTTAACGGAAAGAGCGGCAAAAGCTGTACCTTGTCTGATGTTCAAACTCAGGACCTTCAGAATACGAGATTGACAGGTGGCCTGCTGCTCTAAGAGAGCAACTGTTCCTAAGAGCTGAGATCCAGATTATTAAATCTCATTTCCCACACACTGCTGCTTTATCAATTCCTAGCTTTTAAAGAACACAATCAATGCTACTTGGAAATCACTGCTTATCAGCCAGTGCTGCACTGGAAGAATTCCCCACTCAGGACAGGTGGAGTCCACCCGTTTCCAGTATTCACATAATGATAGGACCTTCTGGCTTGAGGGACCAGAAACAATTGTACCTGTCTTGCTGCTTTTTTTCCTCTTGTGGCCCAGTCATCTAGCTTTTCCCTTCTTCAGAGATCTTAGTCACTCTTCTTTTCCGTAGTCTCCTTTGTTGATAAGAAACAGAGGTAGTGCTCAATTCATGATAGTTCATTGAGTGACCAACTGAATGAATGAAGGAAGAAATAGCCTTCCAAGGTGTCTCCTGTTCATACTACTCTTACTGTGTATCTACACTTGCATCTCTATGACTGGAGACATTCACTCAACAAAAAACCCAAACTGAACTTATAATCATATCCTCCCTGTTTTTTCCCCAGTTTTTGTGCCATGAATTATACTAGGAGACTTAGGGAGTTTACTTGATGTAGTCTGACTGAATTTTGCCAAAAAAACTATGTCTTAGCCTGCACTTTATGCACTTTTTAGAAGTAATAGAAGCTCAGGTAAGTTAAGTGTTCTTTCTAAGGTGTCAAAGCTGCTAAGTGGGAAAGCCCAAATTGAGAAGCAGATACTTTTAGATTTTAAGTGTGATTTTTTTCCTCTGTACCAGCTCAGTTATTCTGCCTGTTCTTTCGCACTTTAGCCCATTCATTCATACACCAAATATCTAATTCCAAACCTCCTCTTTACTTACTTGCTCTGTCACCCACGCTGTACTGCACTGGTGAGATCTTGGCTCACGGCAACCTCTGTCTCCCAGGTTCAAGTAATTCTCCTGTCTCAGCCTCCTGAGTAGCTGGGACTACAGGTGCTTGCAACCACGCCCAGCTAATTTTTGTATTTTTAGTAGAGATGGGGTTTCACCATGTTGGCCAGGCTGGTCTCAAACTCCTGACCTCAGGTGATCCGCCCACCTCAGCCTCCCAAAGTGCTGTGATTACATGTGTGAGCTACCCCTCCCGGCCTGGGTTTAACTATTTTATTTTATTTTATTTTATTTTATTTTATTTTATTTTATTTTATTTTATTTTATGACAGGGTCTCACTTTGTTGTCCAGGCACCGGTGCAATCTCTGTTCACTGCAACCTCCGCCTCCCAGATTCAAGCGATCCTCCCACCTCAGCCTCCTGAGTAGCTGGAACTACAGATGCATACCACCACACCTGGCTAATTTTTGTATTTTTTGTAGAGACAGGGTTTCACTGTGTTGTCCAGGCTGGTCTCAAACTCCTGGTGTCACGGGATCTGCCCATCTCGGCCTCTCAAAGTGCTGGGATTACAGAAAAGAGTCTGGACTTGGGCTTACCTTTCAAGTCAACTTTGACTTATTGTCTTCCTTCAAACACTACATTCAAGGATTTGTCAAATAATGAACATTATTCTTGCCCAGTTCTTTTGAATCTATAAATTACTTTCTACTCATTTAATACATATTCACTGGGGAGATGCTCTGTGCCAGACACTGTAGGTAATTCAGAGGAAGTATAGACACCCTAGACCTCAAAAAAAGACAAAATAAATATGGACAAGGGAAGATCCACCTCCAGATTCACCATTTTCAGTCTTTCTGTCATTTCCAGCTAAATAACTCTTTCAAAAAATGTCTCAAAATAACTAAATAACTCTTCCAATAATAGCACTCTTCTATATGCTGGACTACTCTTAATTTCCTGGTTATAACATGATCTTTTCTTTTAACTTTTGTCTTTGCCTTCTACCTAAATTTTTATTTTGCATTATGAAGTTAATAGGTCCATTACTGGATGGTATGGTTTAATTCTCCAATATGTTTGCTGATTTGTTTTCTACTAAGTCTACCAATTACCGAGAGAGGAGTGTTAGTGTCGGCAACTCTAATTGGATTTTTCTGTTTTTACCTTGCGTATCCAATTTTGTTTATGAGCTTTGAAGCTCTATGTTCTCATATACACTTGGGACAATATTCCCCTGGAAAATTGACAATCATAATTATTTAGCAGCCCTCATTATTCCTGAAAAGTTTCTCTGCTTTCAAATCTACTTTGTCTGATTTTTTTATATATACACCACAGCTGTCTTTGATTAGTGCTTGCATGAGGTATCTTTTCCCACTCTTTTCTTTCAATCTGCTCTATAACTTTTATTCTTATATATGTGTATAGCAGGTGGCTTTCTTTAGTCAGCATATTTATTTTTAACACATTCTGATGATCTCTAGTTTTTAATTAATGCGTTTAGATTATTTACATGTAATGTCATTATAGATAAGTTTTTAGATAGGTCTATTATTTAATAATGTATTAACCTTGTTTCCCTTTGTTTTAATTCATCTATGTTCCTCTTTCTATCTTGTTTTGGTTTATTTAAATCTTGTTAGTAGGTGGTCTAGGGTTTACCATATACATATATAACCTTTCACAGTATACTTAGAATCAATATTTTACCATTCAAGTTGAATAAAGAAACTTCATCAAGAGTTAGTCCCATTACACTTACCCTTTTATCTTCTGTATGTAGTACATCTAGATACAATGACAACTGCTTCTGATAAAGTTACAATTTTTGCTTTCAATCATCAAACATACCTTAAGGAACTCAAGGGAAGAATAATAGTCTGTTATGTCTACCCAGACATGTTCTATTTCTGCTTTTGTTCCTTCACTGATGATGTTCTAAGTTTCCTTCTGGTATCATTTTTCTTATCTCAAATCTTTGCTAATTCTTTTCCAGCAGTCTTCCTAAGAATGAGAATGTATTTACTTACCTTCCACTGAGAATGCATTTATTTGCCTTTATGTCTGGAAGATACTTTTGCTCCACATAGCATTCTGGGTCGATATGTCTTTTTCTTTTGTTACTTACCGAATGTTATGACATTTTTTCTGGCCCCTATGGTTCCTGATGCGAAATCTACAATCATTCATTTGGTAGTTTCTCTTTCATTTCCCTTTGGCTGCTTTCAAAATTGTTTTGTATTTTCTTAGTTTTCAGCAGTTTGATTATGATATGCCTTGCTATGGGTTTCTTTGGGTTTATCCTGATTGACATTTACTGAACTTTAAAAATCTGGTTTATATCTTTTGACAAATTTGAACCATTTTCAGCTATTAATTGTTCAAAGTTTTATCCCACAAAGACCACTTTGTCCTCTTCTTTCCAGATTACAATAATGTGAATGTTGGATTTGTTATTTTTTATTTGTGCCTGAGCCTCTGTTCAGAGACAATAAAATCCTCCTTTCTCTCTATAGTTCAGATTATGTAGGTATTCGTGTTCTGTTTTCAAGTTCATTGACTTTTTCCTTAGTCTTCTGCATTCGATTATGGAGATCCTCCAATTAAGCTTTTTATTTCCCCTAAGAGTTTTGGTTAATACATTTTTTTAATTCTTAAGTTTAAATTGGTGTTTATGTATTCGAAATATTTGGTGAGACTTTCCAACTTTCCATTCACTTCACGAATGTTATCCCCGATTCTAGGAGCATTGTTATAATATCTGCTTTAATGTATGTGTCAGATGATTTTGACATCTGTGTCCTCTCAATATTGTTATTCGAGGATTCTCTTTGCCATGTGAATTAAGATCTCCCTGTTTTTTCATAATGCTGAATATTGTGGGGCTTGTAACCTGGACTTCTTTGGATTATGTGATGAGACACTGTGTCTTGTTGAAATCTTAAGGATAATATTGCTATTTTTGTTTTTGCAGGCACACAATTGCCTTGTATTTAAGCTCCAAGTACCAACCAGACTTTCATGTGTTGTCGTTTCAAAGATAACTCTATTTGAAAGCCTTGACACTGCTGTTCAGAGATCTCCAAAGTGTGTGCAACCCAGTGGTCAGTGAGGACTGGAAAGTGGGCCATTGCACAGTTCAGCTCTCAGGCTCTTTTTAGGTAAATTGTTCGGGATTAGAGCCACTTATTCACAGCTGGCAGGTGCGTCCACAAGCTCATGAACAACTTTATGGTTTTGCTTTCTACAGTATCTGTCCAGGCACATTCTAGTTACTTGACACATCTTGGTTTCAGTCCTCTCACCAGAAAGCTGGGGCTGTATTTAACCAGGTGGCTCTGTCCTCCACTTTTCACAATTGTCTCACATTTAGGACCAAGCTGCAGGCAGAAACAGGGAGAAAAGAGCAGTTTTATATGTCCTTTGGTTTCACAGCTCCTCGAAGAAACAGAAAATTAATTACACAGTAGATCTACACTATACTGAATGCCAGCAGGAAGCTGTCACCAGTCCTGTATTGTTGCTGCTCCTATGTCTTGAACCAAAGACACCGAGAGCAGTGTCTTGCTCTCAGACACTGACTCGGGTTTGGGTACCTAAATAATAAAGCTTGGAGAATGTGGGCATTGATCCCACTACCTCTTGCATGCTAAGCAAGCGCTCTACCACTTGAGCTAATTCCCCATATCAGGGAAGCTTTGTTTATCCTTAGTGGGTGGCCTGGAACACAGGTGATTTCAGGGCCTTCAGCGGGAAAGCAGGGCTCTACTAAGAGCAGATCTTCTCATTGATGGCGCAGGGCAAGGTGCAGTGGCTACTCATTCTCTGCAAAGAAGGAGGAAAAAAGGGAAGAAGGAGAAAGTCACAAAGGGAAAACTCACGCTGCCAAAATGTGAAGTTTAGGGTATTCCAGGACAGAAAAAGACACGTCCCAGCAAAGAAGACCTATCTAGACCTGCCCAGCTAAAGTGTCACTGATTTTTAAAAAATAATTAAATAATTAAAAATGATTAAATGATTGTGTGTGTATTGCATGTGTGTGTGTGTGTGTTTATAAAAGTGGGATGGCATTATCACTTGTTCCTTGTAGCTGAGACTCTCTGGGGGTTGTGAGATGGTCCAGATTTCTGGAAGGCACAAAAGGGATTCTGAATTAATATCTGATGAATGAATCCACTCATTTATTTGTATTTGTTATGTGAATGAATGTTACAGGAATCACCTGGTGTGGAGAAAACAGATGGCAAGACTATGTGCTAGGGTAAAGCAAGAGCTCACGTGTTTTTGTTTTTGGTTTTTTAATTTAGAAAAAAAATCTGCTTTTCATATCTGGTTTTCCTATTTAAAGCTATGTGATTTAAGGAAAATGGTTTAACTCCTCTGAGCTTTAGTGTCATCTACAAAATTTGGATAATGATACTGAGGGAAGCTGAAAAGCCATATCAACCAACTTATACAAAAAATAATAAACATTCACTTCCATTTCTAATGCATGGTGCTGAAAAAGTCCTTGTATGTGGAATATTGTTCACCTTTAAGGAACCTGCTCTCAAGAGCTGATGCGGGACTTTTTTTAGGGCAGTTCTGTTGTCTCTGGCTGTTTTGTTCATTTAATTGGCACCTACAAGTCTCTTTGAACATTAAAATAAAATAAAGATTGTGGAGGAATAGAATACAAACACATAGTAAGGTGAGATTTGCATAACAGAGTATAGTAAACGATTTGTGCCTGATTCTTTTTGCATTCTCCTTGAATCATTTTTAGCCTTTATTCTAAGTCCCCAATTATTGTCATCCTTTTCCCAACAAGATTGTTTCTCTCCGCCACGGACATTCTGGTCAGGGTCTCTGCTTAACCATCTTGACCTCCTGAACACTCTGTTTGTCCTGATAACCTGATTTATGCTCAAATGATGCTCTTCCATAGGACGGCTTCCTGCTTTGCCCAAAGAGCATTCAATTTTTCAAGCTGTTTAGGGCTCCTTCCTCACCCAGGGTCTATTTGAAACCTTAGAGGGAAGGCTATTCTTTCCAGGAAGAGAACCCTGCTGGGTTGTAACCTCAATCTGTAAATCCACTGGGGTAACTGGGGTTAGCTCAGTTACTCCAGAGCTTGCTCTCTGAGAACTGGATGGTGCTGCTACTTCCCATAAAGGCTGAATAAAAAGAGGCATCTGCAGGCAGGAGAAAGCGCTATGGTCATTGCTGGAAGATTCCTTCTGACCATTAGCTATCTCTCTGACCTGGTGTGAGAAGGGTGACAAAAATCGGAGACTTGAAAACAGGCCAAAAAAAAAAAAAAATGGATTCAAAAGAATTTTAAAAGAATCATGCACAAGTTCTTAATTAGATTCTTTTATCCAAATCCATTTTGTCTGGAAAATAATACCTTACTACGTATCTGTATTCTATTCCTCCATAATCTATTTTATTTTATTTTAATGTTCACAAGAAGCTGGATGCTAGCTACCAAATGAGCAAATCAGCCACGATAACAGAACTGCACTAAAATCTCTCATCAGATATTGATACAGTCAAGACCCTCATGAGTGCCTATGATACAAATTCAGTGTGAGAGGCCAGCTTTCCGCAAGGAGAAGGCAACCAAAGCGGTAGCTAATACTGAGCAGTTCCTATTGCCCAGATCCATTTCTAGGTGCTGAGATCCAGCCAGAGAATCCCACAGTCCTCATTTTTCATATGAAGAAACATGTGAGTGATTCACCACCCCAATCCTCATGTATCATCAGTTTTCAAACAAAGCCAAGTAGCCTCCTGTGCAAAAAGCTCTCCTAACCCCCAGTTGCCTTGATAGGTAAAAGTATTCTTATGACAGTGCTAGAAAAACACGGGCACAAGTGTTCCGGCAAGGTGACTAGAAGGCAAGGCTAAAGTTGTCAAGGTGACAAAGTCCCTGATGGTCCTCTTGAAAGCTGAACATGCCACCTCATATGTATATGTGTATGTGTGGATGCATATGTGTATGTTGTGTGTACACACCTACACATATATCTACAAATGCATGTGTGTATGCATGCATGTGTGTACACGTGCATGCACACATGTATCTGTATACATGTATTATGTACACAGTATGCATGTGTACATGTATGTGTGTCTGTGCATGTGTAGATGTATACGTGCATGTACACATGCATCTACATATGCATGTGTATGCCTAAATGTGTGTACAAGTGCGTGCATATGTGCACTATACATATGTGTACATTACGTGTGTGTATGTTTCTACACGTGTATCTGCACATGCATACGTACATACATGCATGTACACGTGAATACACACGTATATGTATATATGTATGTGCACCTGTGTGCACATGCATCTACATATGTGTATAACTATATGTATGTGTGTGTACCCATGTGTACATGCATCTGCGGGTATGCATTTGTGTACACATATGTCTGCACATGCATGCCTGCAGGCATGGATGCATGTGTGTGTGTGTGCATGCATGCATGTGTATCCATGTATGTGTGTACACAGAATGTTTGTATGTTTGTAGGTATTCGTGTACGCATAAATGTGCACATGCATGTTTGCATGCATTTGTTTACACATGTGTACATGTGTATGCACATATATGCATGTGTACATGTATACATTGTGCTCATGTGTGCCTACATGTATGTATATATTGCACATGCATTATGTGTGTATGCACATATGTATGTGCACGTGTGTGCATGTGTGTACATGCATGTATGCACACATATGTTATTTGTGTGTGCATGCATTTGCATACATGTTTGTGTGTGCACATGTGTGCACACATGCATGTGTGTAGGCATGTGTGTGGATGTGCACACGTATGTATGGACACGTATTCTTGCATGCACGTGTACATGTATGTGTGCACACAGGCATGTGTAGGGATGTATGTTGTATACGTGTATGTGTGTATACATGTATGTATGTACACAAAATCTGTTTGTATGTACACCTAGATCTGTATTAGTCAGGGTTCTCTAGAAGGACAGAACTAACAGGATAGATGTGTATATGAAGCGGAGTTCATTAAGAAGTACTGACTGACACAATCGGAAGCTGAAGTCCCACAATTGGCTGTCTGCAAGCTGAAGAGCAGGGAAGCCAGTCCGAGTCCCAAAACCTCAAAAGTAGGGAAGCTGACAGTGCAGCCTTTAGTCTGTGGCCAAAGGCTCAAGAGCCCCTGGCGAACCACTGGTGTAAATCCAAGAGTCCAAAAGCCGAAGAACTTGGAGTCCAATATTTGAGGGCAGGGAGCATCCAGCATGGGAGAAAGATGGAGGCCAGAAGACTCAGCAAGTCTTCCTTTTCCAAACTCTTCTGAGTGTATGTATGTATACATGCATGCATGTATACATGTATGTTTTCAATATTTATACACATGGAATCATTTAGGATATTATTAGATCTGGCTTCTTTGATATCAACTTTTCATTATGTTTTTAAATTCCATCTATGTTGTTGGATGACCACTTGCCTGATACTGTTCATTGCAATACAGACTTCCACGTATGAACACATCACAGTTTGTATAACCATATTGCCATTGATAGCTATTACATTATATCTATCCTTCAGTTATTACAAATGATGCCACTCTAAACATTCCTGAATGTGTATCCTGGTACACATAAGCATGCATTTTCTATGCAAAAATGAGTGGAATTGAAACCATCTTTGCAAAAATTATGACAGTGAGAAAAATCTAACATAGCTGACTATCTTGCTTCTAACTTCACAAACTGTCCTTGTTCATTCCTGGGCATAGGCCAAGCTAACTATGGAGGAATTCATAGTTTAATTTTAAAACAAAGATGATAATAGCTGCTTCCCAAAAGTAACCCCTCCCTGCTAAGGGACTGAAACTACCTTTGTAAAACTAACAAATTAGGCATAAGGTTAAAATTATGGTTCAGGAATAATGTAGCTGGAAGTCACAAGATTGTAGCCTCCTCAGTTGCTCCTATAGATAACATCACTACTGTAAAGCCTAAGATTGGTGCTTGATGTATTTTTTAGACCCTGTATTTTGATGGACCAGCTGATGTCACCTGGACAGGTAACCCATTAAAAAACAAACAAACAAACAAACAAACAAAAAGCCGCTAGCCTGACCAACATGGGGAAACCCCATCTCTACTAAAAACATAAAAATTAGCCAGGCATGGTGGTGCGCGTCTGTAATCCCAGCTACTCAGGAGGCTGAGGCAGGAGAATCGCTTGAACCCAGGAGGTGGAGGTTGCAGTGAGCCAAGATCGCACCATTGCCTGGGTGGCAGAGTGAGACTCCGTCTCAAAAAAACAAAAAAACAAAAAGCAAACAACAAAAAAAACTGCCTCAGCTGGTCTCATGAACCCCTGATCCAGGAACTGACTCAGTGCAAGAAGACAGCTTTGACCCTTTATGATTTCATCCCTTACCCAACAAATTAGCATTCCCCAGTCCCTACCCCCTGTCCACCAAACTATCCTTGAAAAACTCTGGCCTCCAAATGCTCAGGGAGGTGGATTTGAGCATTATCTTTCATCCTTCCACTTGGCTGGCCCTGCAATTATTAAACTCTTTCTTTGCTGCAAAACCTGCTGTTCTCACTGCATTGGCTTTTCTGCGCAGCAGACAAGAAGAACCTGTCAAGTGATTACAGAATTGCTGGTAAGAAAAGTGTATCTTCAACTAGATACTGCCACACTCTTTTCCAAATTTACTGCATTCACTTGCACTCGCAGTAGCTGTATATTAGTGTTTTTCTTGCTCTACTTAGTTGAAGTCACTGTAATGTTTCTCATTGTGATTACTATGCATGTTCTCAAACCATTTCCCTGTTTATTTCATTTTAATCTATTGATTGTATTTAAATGTACACTCTGTATTGTAGCCTCTGAAGCTATCTCAAAAACACAGCTTTTTTTTTTTTTTTTTTTTTTTTTTGTGGTGCCACTGTTTACAAACCTTCAAGCACTTCCTAATGTTGTCTTAAAAGTCAAAGCTTCTTAGACTTTTATGTTTGGTCTGATATGGTTTGGCTCTGTCCCCACCCAAATCTCATCTTGAACTGTAGTTCTGACAACCCCCACATGTCTCAGGAGGGACCCTGTGGGAGGTAATTTAATCATGGGGGTCAGTTACCCTCATGCTGTTCTCATGATAATGAGTTCTCACTAAATCTGATGGTTTTATAAGGGGCTTTTTCTCCTTTTGCTTGGCACTTCTCCTTGCTGCCACCATGTGAAGAAGGGCATGGTTGCTTCCCCTTCTGCCATGATTCTAACTTTCCTGAGGCCTCCCTAGCCATCCTGAACTGTGAGTCAATTAAACCTCTTTCCTTTATAAGTTACCCAGTCTCAGATATGTCTTTATTAACAGCATGAGAATAGACTTACACAGGTCCAATGCTTAACTCTCAAATTTTATATCCCTCTCCTCCTACATTTGAACTCATACTAAACTATTTTTAACTTCCCCCTAAAAATGAAATGTGTATGTCTCAGTTTAATCACAGTCCTGTGAATTAATGGCTCCAATCCTCTCTTCCCTTAACTTTCACAAAGATAACTACTACATATTCTTCAAAAACCTATTTATGACATCCATTGTCTATAAAGCTCTCCCCAGCCTGAAGCCTATGTTAGATTTCCTTACTGTGAGGTCCATGCAACTGTCCATAGTGCTTTCCAGGCTGTATTGCCATGTTTCCATATGGAAATTCCTTCCTGGCATTTCTTGGGAAATTTATAATTTTCCAAATCGTGACAAAAATCAGTCAAGAAAGAAGGAAAATGGGGAAAGTATAATTAAAATTCTGCATAGGCAGAATAATGCCCCCCTCCAAGATATTCGTATTTTAATCCTCAGAACCTGTGAATCTATTACTTTGCATGGGAACAATGACTTTGCAAATGTGATTAAAGTTAGGAGTTTGAGCTAGAGAGATTAGCCTGGATTATCCAGGTGAGCCTAATTTAATTACATGAATCCTTAAAAGTAAACAACCTCTCTCTGCTGTTTCAGAGAGCAATTAAATGACAGAGGATTAGAACGAAGTGACATGAGAAGGAACTGATCTTTCATTGCTTGTTTTGAAGATGAAAGAAGAGGGTCATAAGCCAAGGAATGTAGGAAGCCTAGAAGCCAGAAAGAGCAAGGAAACAGATTCTCCAGAAAGGGACACACACTGCCAACATAGTGAAACCCAGTTTAAACTTCTGATCTACAGAACTTTAAGATAATACATTTATTAATATATTTTTAATACACTAAGTTGTGGTAACTTGTTACAGCAACAACAAAAAACTAATTCACATTCCTCTTAGGGCAGGGGTCCCCAAACCCCAGGGCGCAGACTAGCAACAATGTGTGACCTGCCATAGCAGGTGATGAGTGGCAGGCAACCGAGCATTACCACCGGAGCTCCGCCTCCTGTCAGATCAGATTTTCATAGGAACACGAACCCTATTATGAACTGCTCATGCAAGGGATCTAGGTGGTGTGCTTCTTATGAAAACCTAATGCCTGATGATCTGAGGTGGAACAGTTTCATCCCAAAACCACCTTGCCCCACCAGTCTGTGGAATAATTGTCTTGCATGAAACCAGTCCCTGGCCCCCACAAGATTGGGGACTGCTGTTTTAGGGTATACAGGGTCATATCTGTCTTGAGAACTGCTGCTTCCCTCTTCCAAAGCGATTTGGGGGCATGATTTCCCACACACATAAAGCCCTTTGGTGAGAGTCTGCTACTCACCAAATGAATAAATTAAAACTGCCCCAATTGTGTTCAAGAATGTCTACCTAGATTTTTGGTTAGCTTGAGGTTGAGGTACTTTATGATTGTTCTCCAAAAAGAAGAATCACTGGTATCTTACAAAACAATTCCATTGAACCAGAAGTTATTTCTTGACTATGTTTTACTTGCTTCTTATTTTTATTTTCTACTTTTTTCCTTCACTTGCAAAAGTTTCTCCCATTTGTTTTGAGGGCTTCTATTATCTTACACACATCAGCAAACAGTTGCTGATTGATAAACTGACAATTAATATGCTTTCTGTTAACTTAAAGATATTGTTCTTCAGCTGCAGAAGAGGAGGGACTACAAGGGTCTATACAAGGTTTTACTTGCTCATCTGAGCTGATAATGAATCCTTTTTAAACTACCTTCTTTTCTAAATTGAAACCTGAGTCTGCATGACTCACTAGGCAGGATTTACAGAAAATGTATTAACTAGGATACAGAGCCAATGAATATAAAAGGTACAGCACAATGAGACTTACAAATGTAACTCAAACACTCAGGTGCTGTCACCTCTACTGTGGGCAATCTCAGAAAGATTCACTCTATTCAGGGAATATGCTTTAGGTTCACCTAAACTTCCTTACAGTTTACCTTCCTCAGGTTGTGTTAGTACCCTTGAGGCTAGTCCTCCAAGTATATCTGCTTGAGGATGGGTTGAATGAAAGGAATCTTGGGAAACAGAAATAGCAAAAGAGAAATCTGAATGTAAATGAAAAACAAAGATATAATAAAATCAAGAGACAGAGACAAAGACAAAAAAAAAGACTCAAAAAGAAAAAGTTTCAAATTTTTTTGCACTTGTTTGGCATCTACGGGCTCAGAAAACTTTGGATCCAAAAAGAAACAGAGAGCATGGTTCCCCTTAGAGCAGCAGTTCCCAACCATTTTGGCACCAGGGACTAGTTTCGTGGAAGACAAATTTTCCACAGATGGTGGAGGGGGATGGTTTTAGGATAATTAAAGCATATTACATTTATTGTGCACTTTACTTCTATTATTATTACATTGTAGTATATAATTAAATAATTATAGAACTCACCATAATGTAGGATCAGTGGGAGCTCTAAGCTTGTCTTTGTGCAACTAGACTAGACTCACTGGGCAGGATTTACATAAAATGTCTCATTAACTTAGATACAGAGTCTATGAGTATAAAAGGTACAGCACAGTGAGGCTTACAAATGTAATTCAAATACTCATCTGGGAGTAATGGGAGACAGTGACAGATCATCAGACATTAGCTTCCCATGAGGAGCATGCAATCTAGATGTCTCTCATCTGCAATTCACAATAAGGTTCGCGGTCCTATGAGAATCTAATGCCACTGCTGATCTGACAGGAGGTGGACCTCAAGCAGTAAGGCGGGTGATGGGGAGCAGCTGTAAATACAGATGGAAGCTTCACTCACTTGCCCATCACTCACCTCCTACTGTACAGCCCAGTTCTGAAGAAGCAACTAACTTGTATGTGGCCCAGGGGTTGGGGACCCCTGCTTTAAAGAATTTTTTTCTTTTTTTGAGACAGGGTCTCACTCTGTCACCCAGGCTGAAGTGTAGTGGCACAATCTCAGCTCACTGCAGCCTCAACTTCCCAGAGGACTCCAGGGATCCTCCCATATCAACCTCCTGAGTTGGTGGGACCACAAGTGTGCACCACTACATTCGACTAATTTTTGTATTTTAGGTGAAGATGGGGTTTCACCACATTACCTAGGCTGCTCTTGAGTTGATCTCGAACTCCTGAGCTCAAGCAATCCACCACCTTGGCTTCCCAAAGTGCTGGGATTACAGGTGTGAACCACCATGCCAGCCCTAGAACTAACATTTTAATGGGTATCTATTACATGCCGAGTCACTATGATGATACCTTTGCATTAATTACTACATTTCATTCTTACCTCAGCTCAGGGAGGGAGGTATTGTCTTATGAACTTGTAACAGTCAAGATGGAAAGACAAAGTAGAGCACTGTAAAACAGATAAGCTGGAGAGCTGGACGGAAAACACAGAAAAGGCAGCCACGCATCATTCAGGAAAAGGAATAATGGTGAATAGCCAGATAGATTCAATGTATGAGAGAAAAGGTAAATTAAGAAGAGATGGGCTGGATGCAGTGGCTCACGCCTGTAATCCCAGCACTTTGAGAGGCCGAGGCGGGCAGATCACCTGAGGTCGGGTGTTCGAGACCAGCCTGGTCAACGTGGTGAAACCCTGTCGCTACTAAAAATACAAAAATTAGCCAGGTGTGATGGCGCATGCCTGTGGTCCCAGCTACTTGGGAGGCTGAGGCAGGAGAACCGCTCAAACTCGGGAGGTGGAGGTTGCAGTGAGCTGAGGTTGTGCCACTGCACTCCAGCCTGGGCGACACAGCAAGAGTCCATCTCAAAAAAAAAGCCAGGCACAGTGGCTCACGCCTGTAATCCCAGCACTTTGGGAGATCAAGGCAGGTGGATCTCTTGAGGTCAAGAGTTCCAGACCAGCCTGGCCAACATGGTGAAACCCCAACTCAACTAAAATATAAAAATTAGCTGGGCTTGGTAGCGCATGCCTGTAATCCCAGCTGCTTAGGAGGCTGAGGCAGGAGAACTGCTTGAATGAGGGAGGTGGAGGTTGCAGTGAGCCGAGATCATGCTACTGCACTCCAGCCTGAGCGACAGAGCGAGACTCCGTCTCAAAAAGAAAAAAAAACAAAGAAAAAAAGAAGAGATGACATGGATGAAAGACCTTTTCTGTACTAAGTTAAAATCTAGTTGGAGTAACAGGTACGGAACAATCACCAGAACTCTCAGTAACAAGCTGCAGCAGATGAAGAAAAATTGAGGCCACTAACGTTGATTTTGGGTCTGACTCCTGTAAATCTCCATTAACAGTGCATGCATCAGGATCCCAAAAATCGCAAATATGCCTGCCGTAGAGACACAGAAGAGGACTTTCTCTTTTTCAGAGTTCCTTCGTGGAAACTTTCAGCTTAGATTTCGGCAGGAAAAATTCTAACATAGCCAAAACCTGCCATAGTATTCTTTAGCCTTCCTCTGACCCCAGTTGTTTCCTTAAGTACCTTGGGAATTTCCACTGAAATCTTGATTATGTCCTGTTCTTTAGATCATCTGTCTGTCCTTTATTGCATGGTCTAAGGTATTCCTTTTTAGTGTGTAAATCACTTTGGAAAATGATTTAGAAAAATAAAAAGACTGCATGGTGTCTAAGAAGAATTTAAAGGGTTTTCAAATGGAATTCCAATGTATCTACACCTTCCAAAAAAAACTCTCTCCTCAGTCTCAAATCCATTGATCACTTTCCTCTACAACTCATCAACTATCCATACTTTATCCAACCCCAACTCATACCCTGCATGCCTCTGACTTGCTTGCCTAATCATGCTCATCCAACCAACATTAATTGATCATATAAGTAACCTATTTGACGTCACTTTCTACTCAAATTTACCTTTCCACCTCAATATGATTCATACACTAAACCTATGTTGTCCCCTGATCCTGCTCCTTTTCCCTGATCTCCAATCTCTTATCCTTCTACTTGACATTAGTCCAAACTTATATTTCTTATTTCGCAAATCGCCATGTCCTTATTCTTACCAAATATTTGGCCGAACTAAAGATATAACTCAATCTTTCTCTCCCATAATCAGATCTTATCACATTAGTTCAGTCACTCACATGATCTAACCCTCTTAGGTGATGTCTCTTTATTCTCTCAGAAGGAGAAATCCTAGGAAACTGCAATTCCCTGCCTCGTCTTATCACAAATGCTGCCCCTTATAAACGAACTGCTTCCACAGAATATGTTTCCATACAAAGGCTACTTATATGATTGTCAGATGCAATACAGGATGCCCAGTTACATTTAAATATCGGATAAACAATGAACCATTTTTTTAGTGTATGTCCCATGGGAAAAATATATTCCCTAAAAACTTTTTTAAAATCTATTGTTTATCTAAAATTCAAATGTAACTGGGTTTCCTGTACTTTTTTCTTTCTAAATTTGGCAACCCTAGATACATACACTCTCCATAGGACCAATCTACTTTCCAGTGGATAATCTCAGAAAGAAGTTTCAGACCTACTGGCTTCTAGGAAACAAGATACTGAAATGCACCTTTCCAGGGGCTGCAGTTCACAATTTCCCACTTGCTCAACTCTAGTCACAATAGTCTTTCCATACCCTTCATCTCTATCCTCAAAGCCAGATCCTCTTCAGAACCACAAGAAGTATGTTGCCCAAGCTTGGTCTGGAACTCCTGGGCTCAAGTGATCCCCCCACCTATGCCTACCAAGCAGCTGGGGCTACAGGCATGTGCCACAGTGTCTGGTCAAAAACCTCTTAACTGAAACTCTCCTCCCTTGGTTGTCGTAGTCCACTTTTGTTTTCCTCATAATTTCCTGGCTGCTCCTTCTTACTCTTTATCCTCATACTTAAAACTAAAAATAATCTTTCTAAAGATTTTAAATGTGGGGATAATTGCCCTATTTCCACAGCTTGAAATTCCAAGAATTGCTTCCCATTTCATATAAGATAAATTCCACTAACTGAAATCACATTCAAATGTCTCTGTACTTATTTTCCATCTTCCATTTCAGGCTCATCTTCAGCCAACTCCTTACTTCTATTCCTTCGAGTCTCACCTTATGTCTCATCTCCTACAGAGTCTTTTCTGACTCTTTCTCAAAGTTCTTACAAAGTGCTTCACCTCTATGCCCCCAGATGACCTTATACAACTTCTACCTCTACCACACCACCTAAAACCCCTGCCGTCTCCATACCAGACTGTGAGCCATTAAAGGAGTGGTATTGAGTCTCACTGGCCTTTAATTCCTAACACACAGCATAGTGTCCTGTTTTTTTGGTTTTTGTTTCTTTTTGACATGGAGTTTCACTTTTGTTGCCCGGGCTGGAGTGCCCTTGGCTCACTGCAACCTTCACCTCCCAGGTTCAAGCGATTCTCCTGTCTCAGCCTCCCAAGTAGCTGGGATTACAGGCATGCGCCACCACGCCTGGCTAATTTTGTATTTTTAGTAGAGACAGGGTTTCACCATGTTGGTCAGGCTGGTCTCAAACTCGCGACCTCAGGTGATCCACCCACCTCAGCCTTCCAAAGTGCTGGCATTACAGGCGTGAGCCACCGTGCCCGGCCTATGGTGTCCTGTTAATTGGAGGTGCTCAATAAATGTTTAACTGAATAAAACAATTAATAAAGAGTACTTTGGGCCAATGTATCCTGAAAGAAAAGGTTGAACAGTTCAATTCTACACATATTCAGACCTTGTTATATGCAGTGCAGAGATCAGAATCCAACTTGCTTAATTTTTATTCCAATAATTTTACACAATACACTCACCACTATTGAGGTAGCCATAAGTATAGTGACTGCAAGCACAGAATCTGGCATCAGACTGTTCACATTACAGCTTCATCAGTAATATGTGATCCTGGGCAAGCTACTTAATCTCTCTGTGCACCAGTTTCCTCCTAAAAGAATACATATCTCACACGATTTTTGTTACAACTGAATGAGACAATAGTGTAAAGTTATTAGAACAGTGTTTGATACATGCTACACACTCAAAATGTTATTATTCAAAATATTAAGACAACCCTGAGTGGAATATTTTGACCTTGAAAGTTTCATTAAAAATAAACATGAAAGTAGAATAAGCTGTAGACCCTCTGCGGAAGAATTCCACTAGTAGGAACATGATTAGTTAATACTGAATACGTGTCTCAGAGACTGCGCTCCCCAATTACTAAACCTCAGCAACTGGCTCACAATCCAAGTCCTTGGCCAGGCTGCCCAGGGTTTAGTTTTCCATATTCCTACTACTCATCTTTTCCCTTTGATAGCTGAGGACATTTAAAAACTGTTTTTTGTTGGTTTGTTTTTTTTAATTTAACAATTGAGCTGGGAGAATACCCAGTGTTCAACCTAAAGAACTGAGTTCTGTTCCAGCCCACCACTAGGTGATTTACTCTTAGCTGATTCGAAATCAGAAACATAATCAGCAAGGACTGGGGAACCTCCCACAGTACTTTCTCTCGCTGCTGTTTTCTCCACCCACACAAGTCCACCACTTTTAAAAGCATTTCTTCCATCTCGCTGGCCACATCTTCGTGGATGACAGCGCTGCCACTGTGCTTCAGAATCCTCTATCTCTCCCAGATCTTTCCTGGTGTTTCTCTCAGGGTCAGTGGCATCTAATCTTTGTGACTCTACTCCTGGTTTGAGTCCTCGGTTAACAGCCTTGGGGAAACTGTAACATAAACTGCAACGCTGTTGGTGCCGTTTCTTCTTAGACAGGGTGGCAGCGATCGCCTCCCCCCGCAGCCGGCCTTCCACTGCGCCAGCAAGACCCCCTCCCACCAAAACGCCGAGGGCTCCCAGAGCGCAGGCGCCCCGGGCCCCGCCCCTTTCCGAAGACTCGGCTCCTATTGGCCCAGGGGCCGGGGTTGGAACGCCCTAGTGGCCGGAGAGGGGTGATCATGTGACTTGCGGGGGTGGGGCTGCGCCGGCCTCTTCCCAGCCAGCTTGAAAGGGTTTGCGTAGCCGGCCTTGTGGGCCCTTGAAGCGCTCTGTTAAAGCGCTCTGTGGGCGGCCTGGCCCCAACTCCTCTAGTCTAGGCGCACGAAGGGAGTTGCTCCTAGGTCTTGTCCGTGCCGGGTTCGCTTTTCTTTCCTTCCCGAAGCCTGGCCCTTAGATCTACTATCGCAGAGTCTGCGGCCGCCAGGAAGCCCAGATTCGAGTGTCCGGAGAGTAACCGGAAGTGCTGTCCCCAGGCCTAGGGGCGGCGCCGGCGGCTGCCAGGGTAAGCGCGGCCTGCGGGGCCCAGGGATGGGATGGGTGCGCGGTGGGACCCAAGACCCACGGCCACAGTCGAGTGGGAGCAGCCCCTGTTCCTGGACACTGAGCATGGTCTGGTCTCCGCTGACGGCGGACGGAGGACTGAAAGATGGTCAATGAAAAGTTGAAAGAAGAGAACCTTAGTACGGTAGTTCCTAGAGATAGTAAACACTGCAAGGCACTTTTCAAAGCAATATAATCTTTCATATATATCGAGGAAAAAAAGGACCTTGAATGGATTTTTCGCTTCATCTTCAGTGCAGAAATTAGTTATGTTGCAGTTGAATCTATCTGCAGAAAAATCTGGTTTGTTTAATCTTCCTATAACCATTTCTTTTTGGAAAATGGAATTACAGATAACTTTATATTATATACACTTATCACATGCACTTTGGGGTTTGTAGTGGTAGACGAATGGGTCTTTGATCTTAGGAGTTGAGATAATACAAACAAAAACAATTAGCAGAAGGAGAAAAAACAAACGAAAAACGAGGCTTAGGGCTTTGTTATGAAGTTACAGTTAGTAATAGAAAGATTCTTGACATTTTGTCTAGAGCTGGTCGGAACTGATGGCTACCAGTGGCAGGTACTTCCTGCAGGAGAAACAGTGTAAGCAAAGATGGGAAGAGGTAAGCTATGGTTGAAGGATGCTCACTAGAATGGAGAGGAAATGGGACCAGTTTTCTAGGCCAGCTCTAGAAAAATTATGAATTATAAATTTCACAAGGTCATCGTCTACATTATTGATTTTTCCTCTAGGAGAGGCAAGAATTGAGTGTTGTGAATAGTTCTGAACTAGAGACCTTTTGAAACCAAAAGGAAGATGGTCTTGAGTCTTTCTTGTTACGGTAAGTGGTATACCAGGCTCTGTTTCTGTATAAATGTGGATGGGGGTGTGGGGTGGGGCAGGGTGAAAGACAGGAAAGTATGGGAGAAGATATATGGAAAAAGAGAATGCCCCTTTCTTAGCTCCTAAGATAGCAGAGTGATAAAACTGAGCCCTATCCTACCAACTTAAGGCTATTTTCTACTCCTTTTCAACATGCATGCATATTCACATTAGGCTTGCAGTAATTGCTTTTTGATTGATTTGTAGCACAAAGAGGGTAGTATGCCTAATGCTTAGGCAGGCTCTGGAGTCAGAAGATAGGTATTGAAATCCTGGCTCTGCTGCTTACTATTTGTAAGTTGTTGGGTGATTATCTAACTGCCCTAAGCATCAGGTTTTCCATCTATAAGATCCAAACACTGGTATTAATACCTATTTCATAGGGTCCTTGGGAGGACTAAATGAGATAATCCATGTAATCAATGAAAAATAAATGAGAAATTTCCAAGTCTAAGGCCTATAAACACCATCTAATTTTTAAATAATGCTTTACTAACTTTGTCTCTTGGTCCCATATACCCTTTAAGGATAACCATGAACTCTCAAGTTGTATGAATTAGCCTGTCTGCTTGGACTTTTGTCGTGTTCCAGTTTATTCCTTTCACTTCGACCCTAGGCAGGAAAGAGTACTAGTCTCTTCCTAGGATGGGGCAAGAGAAGCATCCTGAAGGAGGGTACCCTGGAGCTAAGACTTGAAAGATGTATTTGGGCTTGCTAGATGAACCAGCCAGGGCTACTGGTCTAGTCTGTTATACAGCTACTGGGGGTCCAAGGATAATGATTGCCTTTTTGTTCTGGTATTTGTTCACACTTTTCATTTATTCAACAAATGTACTCTAGGTAGTAGGGATATTACAGTAAGCAAAAGACTAAGTCCTAACCCTAATAGAAGTTATATTTTAGTAAAAAGACAAACGAATAAATATAAAATGTATACCATAAAGTTGAATGGTGATAAGTGCTGTGGAGAGAAATAAAATGTGATAAAGCAACACAGGCTATTTTAGATAAGGTAGTCAGGGTATGCTGCTTTTTGAGGAAGTGATCTTCAGGCAGAGACTTGAGTCCAATAAAGGAGTAAGCTGCATGGGGAAGAGCATTCTAGGCAGAAGGAACAAGTGCAAAAGCTCGGAGATGGCCTGTGAGGCTGAAGATAACGCAGAGGTGCCACATTATGTAGAGCAGTAAAAACTTTGGATTTTATTCTGAGTGTGCTAGAAAACAGTATTTTAAATTAGGGAAGTGTCGTGATTTTTTTTTTTTTTTGAGATGGAGTCTTCGCTCTGTCATCCAGGCTGGAGTGCAGTGGCACAATCTCAGCTCACTGCAAGCTCTGCCTCCCAGGTTCACACCATTCTTCTGCCTCAGCCTTCCAAGTAGCTGGGACTACAGGCGCCCGCCACCACACCTGGCTAATTTTTTTGTACTTTTTAGCAGAGACGGGGTTTCACCGTGTTAGCCAGGATGGTCTCAATCTCCTGACCTTGTGATCCGCCAGCCTCGGCTTCCCGAAGTGCTCGGATTACAGGCATGAGCCACCGCGCCCGGCCTTATGATCTGTTTTGAGGTTTGACACCCAGACTTATTTTTTAGGTGTTGACATCTAAAAAAAGCTTGGATATGAATAGGAAAATTATTTCCTTATTTATTCAGTTTTTTTTTTCTTCTTCTTAATGCCCCACACTTCATTGGTTGTTTAGGGCAAATAAGACATCTTGGACTGATAACTTTAGGGAATAATGTAAATGATTTGCCTGGCTGTGACAAAACTAAGAATCCTTTATTTTCACTCTATTCTCCTTTTGAGCTTAACACTAATACAAATTTTAAAAGACAAAACCTTTTATGAACCCCTCATCTTATAACAGCTATTTGTCTGTATCCCGGCATATCTTTACTTAGTTGTGATTCTGAGTTGGAATTCTTCCTTTTCCTTCTAATATTTCTCCATAATTTTTTTCTAGTTTTTGCATAATCTTCATATTAATCATTAACTGGCCAAATTGTTTTATTAGTTATTGCAAGTGGGTTTTGAACAAGGCTTTGCACAAGAATCAGGCATAGAAAATGGGCTTAATACATGTTAGTGGTTTTGTGCATGTGAAGGTAGAATTAAGAAAATAATAGAATCTACCATTTATTAAGCATCTACTGAGACCTAGGCATTGAGCTTAGTACCGGCAGTGTCTTTGTTCTCATAGCAACTCTGTGAGGAAAAAAGAGAATATTGAAGTTGAAGGAAATTAAGTTACTAACCCAAGTTCTCACAGCTACAAAGGAGGAGAGTGGGAATTTGAACCAAAATCTGCATCCAGAGCTTAAACTGTCAGTATTAACCACCAAAATAAACCAATCTTTAGCCACCATGTTTTTTGAAAACCAAAATAAAATACCTTTTAATTTTGAATAAGTACAGATATACAAAAAATTGCAAAATGGTACAAAGAACTCCCATATACCCTTCACTCATATGCTCTAAATGTTAACATTTTACCATGTTTGCTTTATGATTTTGCCTCTGTCTATTAAACAAACGTTTTAGTCTGTTTTGGGCTGCTATAACAGAATACCATAGACTGAGTAATTTATAATGAACAGAAATTTATTGGCTCATGATTCTGGAGATTCGAAAGTCCAAGACGGGGGCTGGCATCTAGTGAGAGCCTTCTTGCTGTGTCATTTCATGGCAAAAGGGCAAAGAGAGGGTGAGAGCAAGCAAGAGTGCTCAGAAAGGGACCAAACTCATCTTTTTGTGAGGAACCGACTCCTGAAATAATGGCATTAGTCTATGAGGGTGGTGCCCCTGTTACCTACATACCTCCCATTAGGATCTGTTTCCCGACATCATTGAATTGGGGATGAAGTTTCCAATGCATTAACTTTGGAGGACACATTCAAAGCATAGCAATACACATATACATATATATAGATTTTTCCCTGAGCCATTTGAGAATAAATTGTAGACATGTCTCTTCTCAAACAGAGAATCAAGCCATGGAATCCTGCTCTCCTATGCATGTACAGTACTGCTAGCTACATGCCATCCCTAGGAGAACTGAGAAAACAGTCATTCGAATACATTTTCTTTGGGGACTTCTTTTCTAGAACCCTAATTGAGAAAGCCTGTCCTAAATATTCAGTTGTATATTTCCTAAAAACAAGGATATTCTCTAGAAATTATCATTACCATTATCGGAGTCAGGAAATTAACATTCATACAATAAGTACTATTATCTAATCTCCAGACCTTATTCAAACTTAGCCAATTGCTCCACTCATGTTGTTTAAGACAAAAAGAAAAAAATGTTTTCTGTGGACCAAGATCTAATTCAGCATCAGTCATTTAATTTAATTATAATGTTGTCCCTATTGTGAACATATCTTCAGACTTTGTCTTTCATACCTTTGACATTTTTTGAATATTTAGGCCATTTATTTGGTAGTTTCCCTCAGTTTGGGTTTTTCTGATGTTCCCTCGTGATCAGATTCAGTTTAGACATTTTTGGCAAGATACCGCAGAAGTGATGTTATGTTTTTCTCTTTGCATCATATTAGGAGGCTCATGATGTTTTATCTCATTACTGGTCATGTTCACTTTAGTTGAGGATACCATTAGGTTAAGGTGGTGTCTTCCAGGTTTCTATACTGTGAAGTTACTCTTTTTATATTTATAATTATTAAATATCTAGTGGGGAGATATTTTCAGATTATGTAAATATCTTGATTCTCATAAAATTTTTCATCCAGTAGATTTTTGCACAGTACTCTTCTTTTGATTGAACATCGTGAAATTTTTAATTCCATCATTTCTTCTATATTTGTTTGCTTTTCTAATGCAAAAAAACTTTCCCTTCTATACACTTTTTTTTAATGAGTACAAATTCATGGATTCTTATTGTGTGACTAATTTATTACTGTTATTACTTATTTCAATGTTCTGCTTGTTCCAGATTTGTACAGTGGCAGTCCTTCCATCCTGAATTGTGGGTCCTTCTGGCATATTGCACCACTTTTTGAGCACTTCCTTACTTTCTGACACATCAGGATGGTCCAGGCTTATCTTATACTTTCCAAACCGTGGAAACAGCCATTTCTCCAAAGAGTCTTGATTCTTTTCAATGTAGAATGGTATTTAGAAACCCATGTCTGAATGCTTGGTATACTCATTACTACTAGGATTTTATTGTTTCCATGACTTCTCAGCAAACATTACTAGGAAAAAAAAATAAACATACGTAATTTCACACATATATACGTTTCTTTATTCTCTATATAAACCTTAAAATCTTGACTTATACTGGTACTTCTAATTCCAGTTAAACACTACAGAGTTCATTCTAGCCTTTCTCTTTTCTGTTTGTAGCCTTCTTCATTGACAATGGGGAATCTAGGTGACATTATCCATAGTATATTTACTTATTTATTCGGTCCTAGGATACACATTAAGTAGTGTACCCTTATCCCAACAGGGGAGAAAATCTGTACTGATTCGAGTTATTTTTATCTTTAGATTGAATATACATAGTCCCAATATTGTGTTAGAGTTATTTTTTTTTCTCTTCTGTGTAGTTGTTATTTATTTGAAACACAGGCGCATTTGTTTTTATGCTTTTCTCTTCCATCTTGACTATTTAGTTCATTAGTTCATTCATGTATTGAATATGTAAAATGTAACATAATTCTAAAAGTAAAAATATGTGTGCTGTGTATTCATATTCTCAGAGAAATGTGACTCTTCTCCTCCACCCAATTCTGTTTTCCTGTGCCATCAATTCCATTTTTATCTGCCTTGTAATGATAACCAATCTCATTAGTTTCTTGTTTTTTGGGGCAAGTGGAGAACTACATATATAATTTTTTATTTTTACTTTCTTACATAAAATACAACATACTTTTTTACACTTTGCTTTTTTAAATTTATAATTTATCCTGGAAATCACTCCACATCAGTTGATAAAGATTTTCCTCATTCTCTTTTACAGTTGCATAGTACTCCATTATGTGTGGATGTATGTACCATAGTTTATTCACCATTTTCTTACATACAGATATTTATTTTAAATATTTTCCCGTTACAAACATTACTATGAGTAATTTTATGCTTTATATTTTCATGTTATTGGAGGTGAATCTTCAGAGTCCATTTCTAGAAATGGGATTGCTGAGTCAAAAGTAAATGTATATCTAGTTTTGTTACATATTGCCACATTCCCCTCCGGACGAGATTGTACCCATATGCATTCCCTCCAGCAACGTATGAGTTTGTTTGTTTCCTTACAGTGTTGACCGCAAAATGCATTGTCATGCCTTTTAATGTATACTGATTTAATTGGTGATACTGGTATTTCATGTACTTTTAAAAAATTATTTCTTTTTTTATAGACTTACCAGTTTGCATTCCCTCCAGCAACATATGAGTGTGTCTGTTTCCTTACAGTGTCGACAACAAAATGCATTGTCATACCTTTTAATATATGCAGATTTAATTGGTGAGAACTGGTATTTCATGTACATTTAAAAAATTATTTCATTTTTTATAGACTTTATTTTTTAGAGAACTGTTAGGTTCATAGCAAAATTGAGCAAAAAATACAGAGAGTACCCATATGTCCCCTACCACTCTCTTTACCCTGACACATGCACATACCACACACATAGCACACACAGCATCCCCCGCTGTTAATCTCTTCAACAGAGTGATACATTTCTTACAATCAGTGAACTTAAGTTGATACATCATTGCCACCCAAACTCCATAGGTTACATTAGGGTTCACTCTTTATGTTGTACATTCTATGGGGTATCTACAATTTTTTTTATTTTTTTGAGACGGAGTTTCACTCTTGTTGCCCAGGCTGGAGTGCAATGGTGCGATCTCAGCTCACTGCAACCTCTGCCTCCCAGGTTCAAGTGATTCTCCTTCTTCAGCCTCCCTAGTAGCTGGAATTACAGGCTCCTGCTACCAGGCTCAGCTAATTTTTTGTATTTTTAGTAGAGAAGGGGTTTCACTATGTTGGCCAGGCTGATCTCGAACTCCTCACCTCAGGTGATCCACCCGCCTCAGCCTCCCAAAGTGCTGGGATTGCAGGCATGAGCCACCATGCCTGGCTTGACTTGCCAGTTTTTTTAAACTGGTTTGTTTTCTTGTTGAGTTTTAAGGGTATATGTATATTTTTGTATATTTTGGAGATTTTTAAATGTTTGGAATAACAGTCTTTAATCAGATGTGTCTTCTGCAAATATTTTCTCCCAGTCTGTGGCTTGTCTTCTCATTCTCTAGACAGTTTATTTCATAGAGCAGACATTTTTAATTTTAAAGTCCAGCTTATCAATTTTCCTCCATGGATCATACCTTTGTTGTTGTATCTAAAAAGTCATTGCCAGCACAGGCATGGTGGCTCACGCTTATAATCCTAGCACTATGGGAGGCCAAGGTAGGCAGATCAGTTGAGCTCAGGAGTTCAATACCAGCCTGGGCAACATGGTAAAACCCATGTCTCTACCAAAAATAGAAAAAATTAGCCTGGAGTAGTGACACATGCCTGTGGTCCCAGCTACTCAGGAGGCTGAGGTGGGAGGACCACTTGATCCTGGGAGGCGGAGGTTGCAGTAAGTTGAGATCGCACCACTGCACTCCAGCCTGGGACACAGAGCGAGACCCATCCCAAAAATATAAAGTCATTGCTATACCCGAGTTTATCTAGATTTTCTCCTATGTTATCCTCTAGAAGTTTTATAGTTTTGTGTTTTATACTTAGGTATCTGATTCATTTGGGGTTTGTAAATTTTTTTTAATTGAGAAGTAAGTATGTATGTATTTATGATGTAGAACATGATGTCTCAATATATGTATACATTGTGGACTGGCTAAATCAAGCTATTTAACATATATTACCTCACATACCATTTCTTGTGGTGAGAACATAAAATCTACTCTCAGCAATTTTCAAATATGCAATGTATTTTTATTAGGCATGATGTAGAACTCTAGAACTTACCTACAGTACAACTCTAGAACTTATTCCTCCTGTTTAACTGAAATTTTGTATCCTTTGACCAATTTCTTCCCAACCCTGCTATGTCTCAGCCTCTGGTAACCACCATTTTACCATCTGTTTCTATCAGTTAGACTGTTTTATACTCCATATGTAAGTGAGGTTATGTGGTATTCATCATTCTGTGTCTGTCTTATTTCACTTAACATAATGTCCTCCAAGTTCATTTATGTTGATGCAAATGAGAGAATTTTATTCTTTTTTTTTTTTTTTTGCATGTGAATGTCTAGTTACTTCAGCACCATTTGTTGAAAAGACTGTCTTTTTCTGCCTTGTATTTATTGCCTTTGTTCCTTTATCATGGATCAGCTGACTCTATTTATATGGGTATATTTTTGGACTCTATTCTGTTCCATTTATCTATTTGTCTGTTTTTTCACCATTACCACACTTTCTTGATTACTATAGCTTTAGTCTTGTAACTTCAAATAGTATAGTAAGTGTTGAAGTTAGGTAGCATCAGTCCTCCAACTTTGTTCCTGCCCTTCAGCATTATGATCGCTAATCTAGGTCTTTTACCTCTTCATATAAACTTTGTATCAGTATGTCAATATTCACAAGATAATTTGCTGGGATTGTGTTGAATCTGTAGTACAAGTTGGGAAGAACTGACTATTTGACAATATTGAATCTTCTTATCCATGGATGTGGAATATCCCTCCATTTATTTAGTTCTCTTTTTTATTTCTTAGAGTTTTCAAATTTTCTTTGCATAAATTATGAACATATTTGGTTAGATTTATACTTAAGATGTTTTATTTTTTAGAGTGTTAATGTAAATGGTATTGTGTTTTTAATTTCAAATTTTACTTGTTCATTGCTGGTATAGAGGAAAATAATTGATTTGTATGTTAACCCTGTATTATACAACCTTAACTGTAATCACTTCCTAGTCCCAGGAGTTTTTTGTCAATGATTTTTTCAGATTTTTACATATATGGTCATGTCACTTACAAAGACAGTTTTATTTCTTCCTTCCTAATCTCTATACCTTTTATTTCCTTTTCTTGTCTTGTAGCATTATCTCTCTATTCCAGTATTATGTTGAAAAGCAGTGGTGAGAGAGAACATTCTTACCTTGTTCCTGATGTTAGCTGAAAGCTTCTAAGTTTTCACCATTAAGTATGATGTTAGCAGTGGTTTTCTTGTAGATGTGCTTTATCAACTTGAAGAAGTTTCTCTTTGTTCCTAGTAATATCACTTATTTTAATTTGCATTTCTCTAATTATGAGATTGAACAGCTTCTCATATATTTAAGGGACATTTTTATATTTTGTGTGTGTGAGAATTGTCTTTTGCTTATTTTTCTATCAGATGTTTGTCGTTTTCCCTCAATTTTTAAGAGATCTTTATATATTAGGTATATTGTCCCTGTATCTCAAATATTGTTACAAATATTTTCTCTTAGTTTGCCCATTGACCGTTGACTTTGTTCATTTTTTATATATATAAAATGTTTTTGGCTGGCACAGTGGCGCACACCTGTAATCCCAGCACTTTGGGAGGCTGAGGCGGGCAGATCACCTGAGGTCGGGAGTTCGAGATCAACCTGACCAACATGGAGAGACCCCGTCTCTACTAAAAATACAGAATTAGCCAGGCATGGTGGTGCATGCCTGCAATCCCAGCTACTCAGGAGGCTGAGGCAGGAGAATCACTTGAACTCAGGAGGCAGAGGTTGTGGTGAGCCAAGATCACGCCATTGCACTCCAGTCTGGGCAACAAGAGCGAAACTCAGTCTCAAAAAAAAAAAAAAAAAAAAAAATATATATATATATATATACACACACACACACACACACACACACACACACACATATGTATGTATATATAAAAGAAAACTTTAAAAAAAAGTTTTTATTTTTAGTCAAATGATCAGTCTTACAGATAGAAAATTTTTGGTACCCTAAGATTAATGTAGAATTTACTTTAGTTTTCTTGTAGTATCTTATCATTTCCATGTATACATTTAGAACCCTAACCAATTGGGAGTTTATATTGGTGTGTGGTATGAAGTGTAGACCAAATTGTACCTATTTTCATGTGGCTACCTTGATGTTTTACCATCATTTATTAAAAAGTCCATTTTTGCCCTGGTGATTTGAGATGTCATCTTTATTGTATACTAAATTTCTATATGTGTTTATTTCTGGATTTCCTTTTCTATTTGTCCCTTTATCTAATTGTGTTTTGGAACTCTGTTGTTTTAATATTAGAAGCTTTAAAGTTTATTTTAATGTCTCATGGGTTTAGTTACCCTTCGTAGTCTGTCTTTTCATTGCTTCATGGCTGTCCTTGTTGGTCTTTTCAAAGTGAACTTGAGTAGCAACTGTACAGCTTAGGCATTGGAGATTTTTCTTTAAAGGGCCAGAAAGTATTGTATTTAGGCTTTGGTGGCTATCTGGTCTCTATTGTGACTACTCAATTCTGCCTTTCAATACATTAATGAATAAGTATGACCCTATTTCAGTAAAATTTTATTTGAAAAAAACAGGTGGCAGGCCAGAATTGGCCTGTGGGCCATAGTTTGCCACCCCTTAGTCTAGTTTCATAAAGAAGCTTGTTATTTTTATTGAGATTGCATTGTTTATAAATCTTAGGAGGGAACATCTTCATAATGTTGAATTGTTCTATGCAAGAACAAAGGCTGTCCTTCCATTTATTCAAGTCTATTTTTGGGTCTCAGGAGGGAGAAGTTTTCCTATGCTTTATTTGGCATGGCTATGTTTTATTTATTTCTAAGTAGTTTTATATTGCTGCTGTTATACAAAGGTTGTTCTCTATCATTGTGTGTTCCAATTAGTTATTCTTTATATTTATGTAAAAAACTGGTGGTTTCTGTGTGGCAAATTTTATATCCTGCTACCATACTGAATTCCTTTATCATTTGAGTTAGTTTTAGCATTGGTCCTTTGTAGGGTTTTCTAATTCTACTATTAAATCACCTCCAAATAGAGATAGTTTTACTTCTTTCACACCTCTAATTGATTTTTCTAATTGCATTGATTAATACTTCCAGGTCAGTGATTGAAAAGAGAAGTATTGGCCATACTTGCCTTGTTCCTGATCTTAGTAAAAATTATTGTAGTTTTTCTAACTTAAGGTACTGGATGAAGGAATGTATGTTTTATCATATTAAAAGGAAATATCTATTAATTTCCACTTTCTTGAGTGTTTTTATCCAGAATAGATGTTGATTTCTGTTGCAGGTTCTTTCACTATCTATGGAGATAATATATTATTTTTCTCCATAGGTCTGTTCATATGGGGTATTATATTTAGTGGATTTCCTCATATTGAAAGATAGTCTAATTTTGAACCAATTTTGCAAAAATTCCACTTGGTCATGTTATATTATTTTCTTAATGTGGTATTGATTTTTGTTAGTATTTCTCACATTCATAAAAAATGTTAGCCAGGCATGGTGGTGTGTACCTATACCCCAGCTATTCAGGAGGCTGAGCCAGGAGAATTGCTTGAGCCTAGGAGCTTGAGGCTACAGTGGGCTATGATTGTGCCACTGCTCTCCAGCCTGGGTATCAGAGCAAGACCCCGACTCTTTAAAAAAAAAAAAAAGCGATATTGGATATTAAAATTTTTTTATGCTCTCTTCATCAGGTTTAGTTACCAGTGCTATCCTTATTTCACAAAAAGAATTAGGAAGTTGTTCTTCATTTTCGGTGCTCTGGAAAATATGTATGAAGCATTGTATTTATTTGGTCTGTGTAGATTTATAGAATTATTTCGTGAAATAATCTGGGCCTAGTGCTTTTTATGGAATGGTTCCTTTATAACTTTTTCTATTTATTCTCTGCAAATTGGTGTTTTAAGACTTTATATCTTTAATGGAGTCAACTCTAATAAATTGTGTTTCATAAAGAAACCCTTATTTTATAGTTAATCATATTTATTTATATAGAGATTTGCAAAGTGGTTTCATGTATGTGTGTTTTTCTGTTCGGTGGTTATTCTTCCTTGTCATTTCTTATTTTGTAAATGTGTGCTTTCTTCCTTTTTTTCAATTAAGTAACCTAGTGGTTTATCTGTTTCTTTAAGTTTTACAAAATAAGTATGATTTTGATTTATCATTAGATTTACTGTCTTTTTGTTCTCTAGTTCATTGATTTCTCCTTTTATCTATTTTTGTTATTATTTTGATTTTTTTTCCCATTAAAAAACAAAATAGAGACAGGATCTTGCTATGTTGTCCAGGCTGGTCTTGAACTCCTGGGTTCAAACAATCCTACTGCCTCGGCCTCCCAAAGCACTGGGATTGTAGGTATGAGCTACCATACCTACTTATTTATTTAAAATAGAAATTGGGTCTCATTAATATTGCCCAGGCTGGTCTTGAACTCCTGGGCTCAATTGAAATTTATTTTTTTCTTAGCTTTTGATCTAAGAATTTAACTTGTTCATTTAAATTCTTCTGTTTTTATTGATTAAAGAAATATAGGCATGAACTGGTTTAAATTTATCCCATAGATTGTAATATATAATATTTTCAATTATGAATACTTAAAAATTTTGTTAACTTTTTCATTGCCCCTTTTACTGAATAGTTTTTTAACAGTTTATTTTCCCCCCATTTGAAAGGACCTTTGGTCGCTTGATATTTTAATAAATTTCTAGTTTTGTTGCAGATTGTTTCTTGTAATGTTTCTTTGCGATAATGATGCTTCCTTTATTACATAATATATGACAGATTTTTGTGGATGATTCATGTGTTCTTAAAAAGAATGTGTACTTATCAGGACATACGGTTTAATATAAATAAGATTTACTTATTAATTAGGTTATTTAGGCCTTCTGCATCATTACTTCTTGGTCCAGTTTGTATGTCTTTTATTGAGAGTGGTATATTAAGCTTTCCTATTATTAATATTTTTATCTCTGTTTCTTTGTATCTGTTTCTCTGTTTTTCCTTTGTAAATGTGCCTGCTGTGTAATGTGATACATAGATAACCGTGACTTTAGTGTAATTTAGAAAGTATTATTATGTTTAATTCTTTTGGCTTGAACTCTACTTTGCCTGATATCAGGATCAAAAGCCCTACTTTTATTGTTTCTGTTTGCCTAGTGTTCCTTTTCCCACCTCCTTAATTTTAGCCTGCCTGAATCACTTTGCTTTAGGTGTCTCTTGTATTTAGCATATAGTTAGGTCTTGCTTGTGAGCCAAAATGAAAATCTCTTTCTTTTAATAGGTGTGTTAAGCTCATTTATATTTATTGATATAGTTGATGTTTGGTTTTAACAATGTCATATTGTTATAACTGTATTTTGTTACTTTTTTTTCTACGATAGGTTTTCATAGCTCTTTCATGACTTTCTGTTTTGAATGTTTGATTTTTGTTATATTAGCTACTTTTGTACTTAGATTTATTTATTTATTTATTTATTTTGAGGCGGAGTTTCGCTGTTGTTGCCCAGGCTGGAGTGCAATGGCCTGATCTTGGCTCACCGCAACCTCCACCTCCTGGGTTCAAGTGATTCTCCTGCCTCAGCCTCCCAAGTAGCTGGGATTACAGGGATGTGCCACCACACCCGGCTAATTTTGTATTTTTAGTAGAGACAGGGTTTCTCCATGTTGGTCAGGCTGGTCTCGAACTCCCGACCTCATATGATCCGCCTGCCTCGGTCTCCCAAAGTGCTGGGATTACAGGCGGGAGCCACCGCACCTGACCATACTTAGATCTTTTTTAATGCCTTTAGTTCATTAAAAAAATAAATTTTTATATTTAACCTTTAATTATTTGGTTTTTAAGGGTTTCTAAAATTTTTCTTTTCTAAAAGGCCATTTCAGCTTCAGATGGTTTTTTAGTTTAATAGTGTACTTTAATTCTCACCTGCCATAAATACAATATAGTAATCCCACCTTATTTGTGGGGGATATGGTCCAAGACTCCCAGTGTATACCAGAAACTGCAGATAGTATTGAACCCTAAATGGCTTTTTTTTTTCTATACATACTTACTGTGATAAAGTTTTTTGTACTTAGAGTGGGTTTTTCTTTCTGGCAATGAATTTTAGGTCAGTCTTGCCCACTGCTAGCTCTCTTCTCTTTACCTCTCATTCTCAGATTGTCCTTGCTCTCCTTGATAGCTTATGGCTAGAATGTGAGAGACAGCTATATGGGATTTGGTGACAGTGTGGGCTTTGTATAGTACATTTGTTCTTCTTATTCTTACTGCTTTTAAAGGATGTGTTGAGAGATTTGGATTTCTGTAGCCACTGTTATCCCCTCTGACTGTGTTTTATTACCACATTCTTTATATTTCCTCTAGAGATATTTTCCTTTTTTTTTTCATATTTAAGTCAGTTTTCTGTCCACTGACTTCCATGGCCAATTTTAAATAATTGGTGTGCAAACACCGCATGTTCTCACTTATAAGTGGGAGCTGAACAATGTGAACAGTTAGACACAGGGAGGGGAACAACACACACTGGGACTGTAGCAAGGTGCGGGGGGAGGGAGAACATCAGGAAAAATAGCTAATGCATGGTGGGCTTAATAACTAGGTGATGGGTTGATAGGTATAGCACATGTTTACATAGGCACACGTTTACCTATGTAACAAAACTGCACATCCCGCACAGGTACCCTGGAACTTAAAATAAAAATAAATAAATAAATAGATAAATAAATAAATGGTGTGAAAACTTACAGGTTTTCTGAGAAGTCTCAGTTGACAATTACGTTTTACAACTTCCCTCACTTCTGTATTTAGGGCTACACTGAGTTTAGGCCCCATACTGAAGAGGACCAAAAGGGGGAAAAAAAAGAAATAAAATCACTGCTGGTTGAATGGCATTTAAAATTCTGCTCTTTCCTGACTTGCATGCTATGTGCTTTTTGGAGTTGTCAAATAACTGGGCCATACATTCTGTCCAGACTTCATAGTTGGATTCAATGGGATGACATCTGTGACATGTATTTACTCCATCTTACCTGGAACTAGAGCCATAAAACATGTCATTTTAATACTAGCAGCTATAAGCTAAGTGTCATAGAGAGCCTCAGCTGTATGGCCCTATATGTTGCCTGGGTCCAAGTAGTTCCATTTTTGCTTCTGATCCTCAGTAGCAGGAAGGTTGTTGAGGGAACTGCAAGTCCCATTAACCTAAGGATAAGGCAGGTTAAAACTTCTAGAGAAAGACATCAATGGTTAAGTGTGGACTCTCTAACTTCTTTTTGTGCCCCTAATTGACCACCTCCTGGGTTGTTTGTGGTTGAAATATAAATCAGCTTAGGGTGTTATAAATTTTGAATTACCAAAATTGTGATGATTACGTGGGTTGCAGTGGTGGTAAGGTGGTAATTTTGTTATAATCCCAAAAATACTTTGTAGTCCCTATTACACTTTGGATCAGGACAGCCTGAGTTCCTGTAGGGAAGATAATGCCTTCGTGTTTTCAAGATACCACCAAGATTTAGTGTTAGGAGCCCTTTCCTTCAATGTTGTTATAGTTGCAAAGGAAGCTATAGATTGTGCAGATGGGTTATAGATTCTGTATTGTCCTTTTCTCTAAAGAGTCATATGGGATGATTTAAGACTCTACAGAATTGAATTTAAGGGATTAGATAAGAAAACCCATCTGTTCTTTTTAACTGTAGTTTACCCATTGTTAAATCCTTTGAGTGTAAATGATCTAGTGCTAAATTCTGTCATTTATGGCTTTTTATCCTTGTCTTTGTGTTTTACAGAATGCTATCTTCTTTGAGAAGTCAAATTGTCAGGATCAGGAATGTATGTTTTCTTCCATCTGGATTCTAGGTAAGCTACAGTTACTTCAGTATTTTGAAGTATCCCTTCTCTTTCCCAGACTCCATCTCATCAGAGTACCTCCCATTCTTTGTGACATTCAGTCCTTTTATCAGACAAGGAGAGAAGTAGAATTTCAATGAGAATTCATACATGTACTCAGCAGATGCTTATTAAGCACCAACTTTGTACCTGGCATTACTGTATATGGTAAGGAAAGATAAAACAGACATCCTTGTCATATTTTAGCAATAGACAATAAACTGAATAAAGTGAATTATATAGTATGTTAGAAGGTTTTAAGTGCCATGAAGAAAAGTAAAGCAGAAAAGGGGAATAGTGAATGCTGGGGCATGAAGACTATTCACAACTTTAAACAGAGTGGTTAGGAAAGGCCTTCCTCAGAATTGACATCTGAAAAAATAGTCTTTGAAGGAATTAAGAGAAATTCATACACACATCTAGAGGAAGAAAGCTGTAGGCAGAAGAAAGAAAGGGCAAAGGCCCTAAGGATAGTATGTTTGGATGAGGAACAGCTAGGAAGCCATTGCGGCTGGATTAGAACATGCAAAGAGAAGAATAATATAAAAGGGTGTCAGAGAGGCAGTGACAGGCTAGCAGGGCAGCTCAAGTGGGCCTCTTGGGCTATTGTGAAAGTAAGAAATAAGAGTGGTTTGGACTGGAATGTAACAACAGAAGCTGGTGAGAAGTGGTTAGACTCTGGATGTGTTTTGAAATGGAGCCAACAAATTTGCTGATGGCTTGATTGTGAGGTGTGAGAAAGAAGAGTGCAGGATGACTTCAAGGTTTTAGCCTGAGGAAATAAAGGATGAACTTGCCATAAACTGAGATGAGGCAGGTGATAGGTGGAGTAGATCTGGAATCCAGCCCCAGTATAAGTCCTTTGCTCACTTCCTTTGACTATAAGGCAAAAACAGATACTTGCCATTTAGCTCTGTAAACTGAATTTAATAAAAGAAAATAGGAGTAATGCTTGTGATACGTTAGGCTTTGAGGATTGAGATTATGACGGTGACAGAGTATACTGTGGACTTGTAGTCTAAGGAGTTCTGTGATACCGTGAAAGTCACCTGAAAGATGTAATTTGGACCAAAAAAAAGTAATTTCTAGGACAGTTCATAGATCATGGAGATATGCTCAAATATTTCTGAAGGGGGCCTACCCCTCCACACCTGTGGGTATTTCTTGCAAGGTCCTGTGGGTAAGGTGGAGACGAGAGACTGAGAAAAGAAGACAAAGAGAGACAAAGACAGAGACAAAATATAGAGGAAGAAAAGTGGGCCCAGGGGACCGGCGCTCAGCAAGTGAGGACCTGCACCAGCACTGGTATCTGAGTTCCCTCAGTATTTATTGATCACTCTCTCACTATCTTGGTGAGGGGGATGTGGCAGGACTATAAGGTAATGGTGGGGAGAGGGTCAGCAGGAAAACATGTGAGCAAAGGACTCTGTGTCATAAATAAGTTTAAGGAAAGGTGCTGTGCCTGGATGTGCACATAGGCCAGATTTATGTTTGACTTTACACAAACATCTCAGTGCAGTGAAGAGCAGTATTGCCTCCAGCATGTCTCACCTCCAGCCATAAGGCGGTTTTCTCCTATCCAAGTAAATAGAATGTACAATCGGGTTTTACACCGAGACATTCCATTCCCAGGGATGAGCAGGAGACAGATGCCTTCCTCTTATCTCAACTGCAAAGAGGCCTTCTTCTTTCACTAATCCTCCTCAGCACAGACCCTTTACGGGTGTCGGGCTAGGGGACGGTAAGATCTTTCCCTTCCCACGAGGCCATATCTCAGGCTGTCTCAGTGAGGGGAAATCTTGGACAATACCCAGGCTTTCTTGGGCAGAGGTCCCTGCGGCCTTCCACAGTGCATTGTGTCCCTGGGTACTTGAGACTGGAGAATAGCAATGACTTTTACCAAGCATACTGCTTGCAAACACATTTTTACCAAGGCACATCCTGCACAGCCCTAAATCCATTAAACCTTGAGTCAATACTGCACATGTTTCTGCGAGCACAGGGCTGGGGCTAGAGTTACAGATTAACAGCACCTCAAGGCAGAAGAATTTTTCTGAGTACAGATCAAAATGGAGTTTCTTATGTCTTCCTTTTTCTACATAGACACAGTAACAGTCTGATCTCTCTTTCCCCCACATATTTGAAATGTAGGATTTTAATCACTGTATTTAGCATAAACATGTCTGTTTTGTTTAGCTTGTCTACTTCAGTTTTGACTTCCCTATTCTTACTAGCCTTGCAGTGCATTTTTCTCCCATTATGTCCCGCGGTGGTCACAATACTACATTTCTTGTGGATCTGTGTTTTGACTCTGAAGAAATTGCACTACTCCCACCTCATTCAGTTCTTTCTCCTATCCCTTTAAGTTTTAGAACAGTTCTGAGTTGACATTTGAAATCTTGGTATATCTTTTTATATTTATAAATAACTTTTACTTACTACAATAAAATTGAGTAAAAGTAGCAGCCTCTGTGCCTTTCGCAAGGAAAGCATACAAATTGCTGAATGGAAATTAGAAAACTGTTGTTAACAAATTGATGAAACAGAATGTTATGTATCATCTCATTACCCAGAGGTAACCATGTTAGTACCATGTGTTTTGGATCCTTTTGACTTCCTGTTTTCTCTGAGTGCACATGTTCCTTTGTGTTCTGGTCCATTACACTTACTAATTTGCTGTATTCGGTGAGCTTTAATATCATTTCCTTTACAAATAGGCTCCAATCTAATATCTAGTTTCTTGGATTCTGGACCTTTTTGATAATTTAAGAAACCGTGTACCTTCTCCCCAGAAAAATGCACATATACTGTACATTTTGCAGTCAAAGTTTTCATAAATTACCTGGGAGTCTGTGGATGCCAAGTAAGAACTCCTCTTCTAGGTTTGAGTGCCTACTCTGTGCCACGCACTTTTCTGAGTGCTGGGGAAACAATAGTGAATGAAGTGAGCCAAAAATCCCTGTCTTTTAGGGGCTTACATTCTATGGAGAAAAACAAAATAGGAAAGGAGAGGAGTGTTGTTTTTGTGAGTCAGCTGGGACGGAGATGTGGTACAGTTTAGAATAGGGTGGTTGGAAATGACTTCACTGAGAATATGCCTGTTGAGCAAAGATGTGAATGAGGTGAGAGAGAGAGCCTTGAAGATTCCTGGAGGAAGAGCCCTTCATCCAGGAAGAGATATCAAGGATAAAGACCCTGAAATGGGAGTGAGTCTGGCTTGTTTGAACAACAGCAAAGACTCAGGGTGACTGGAGTGCAATGAGTAAGTAGAGGAAGAGCAGAGAAATGGATCAGAGTAGTAACTACGAGTCAGATTTCTTAAGAGCTTGTAGGTTTCTAACAGAAGCAGTTTTGGTGGAGTAGTGAGGGTTGATTGTTTAATTGGAGTATGTTCCAGAAACCTTGGAAGACAGAATTGGAGACAATGAGCAGGTTTATTTATTTCAAAGCGTTTTACTGCGGAGAGGAACAGAGAAATGGGACAACAGCCTGAGTGTGAGGCAGTTGAGAGGTTTTTCTTGTTGATTGTGCTTTTGTTTTTGAGAAGAGAAATAATATTGGAATGGTCCAATAGGAAGGAATAAATTGATAATGCAGGAGAGGGAGGGTGGAATTGCTAGAGTGATGTCCTTGTGAACAAAGGGGGTATACAGATGGAAAGGCTATCCTTAGATTGAGCAAGGAAGTTTGTCATCCCTGGTAGCTGAAGGAAAGATGCAGTACGTGACCACACTTACAAGAGGTTGGTTGATGTGGTGGGGGCATGTGGAAAGGATTTTGGTTTTTGTGTATGTGTTGTTGTTTTGCTTGCTTGCTTCCATTTTCTTGGTAAAATAGGAAGCAAAATTATCAGGTTATACTCTTTAGGTGACAGACGAGGGGTCTGAATGTATGAGGGAGGGTCAAACATGAAAAGATCACTGAAGAGAGTTAAGTGTGAAGGATATGGAAAATGGCTTTTTTTCTTCCTTTTATTTCTGTTCTTTAGTCTATTTTTGGTAATTGATAAATGCATTGACTTATTACTCCCTCTGAACTCTCTTGTATCAACCTAACTTTTTTTTAAGATACTTGATCCTGTAGGTGTTTCTGTATGTGTACATACCTCTAAACCACAGAATGAGGAGGAAAAAACTTTTTTTTACAACTTTTCACCATGTAAAGAAAAGCCTGTTATAAAATCTATGTTCCAAGCCTAGACTTGTATCTATAATCAGTCAGGATTTTTCTTTTTGAGCAAGTTGTGTGCTTATATAATCATATCAAAGCAGAATCTTAAGCCCCTTTGTCATAATAACAGTGATAGTAAGAGCCAAAACAGAGGGCTTACCAGGAGATTCATAGCGATTTAATATTCCACAGAACCGTGTAAGGTAGTTTCTATTATTAATCCACTTTACAGATGAGGAAACGAGGCATACAGTGGTTAAGAAACTTGCCTGATATCACCACTACGAATTAGAGTCATAGAAACCTTACTTTTCTCTCTGGTCACTGGGAATTCTAATGATCATTAACTACTTTGTTCCAAGCTTTCTGCAGAAAGGACTCCAGAGATACTCATTCACTGTCCCTTTTGATTTGCTTTCTTCATGAGCAGGCATAATAATTATTAGTCTTGTCTTGATTTCTCAACTGAAGCAAGGAAAGATGAAGAGCTCTTGTTTAAAATTACCCAGATTCATAGAGAAAAGAGTTCTTACTTGCAGTTTCCCATATGTATTGCTGATCAGTTTTATATTAGCAAAGAGTAAAAGTAAATAACTGATTTCAAGCCATATAAAACCTAGAAGACTTAGGGACTCTGATACAGAGTTTGTCTTTTCTGCAGTGATTTTAATTTTGAGAATTCTTTTCTTAGTCATAGGAATATAAATAATATTTCTACTTTGTCTCACAGGGTTGGAAATACCAAGTAAGGAATTAACATATATGATGCTGGAAACTTGTAGAGGCTCATGATTGAAAGGCCTGAAACAGATGTATCTTCCAAGTTCTTATCAAGAAAATGACTGTGAGGGCAACGATGGGTCAAGAAGACCAGCGGAAAACTCCCTAGGAGAGAGCCATAGAAAATGTACACTTCAGAAGAGAAATGTAATCAGAGAACTCAAAAAAGGAAAATATATAATGTATGCCCTCGGAAGGGTAAAAAGATTTTTATTCATATGCATGAGATTATTCAGATAGATGGTCATATATACCAGTGCCTTGAATGCAAGCAAAACTTCTGTGAAAACTTAGCTCTTATTATGTGTGAGAGAACCCATACTGGGGAGAAACCTTATAAATGTGATATGTGTGAGAAAACCTTTGTCCAAAGCTCAGATCTTACTTCACACCAGAGGATCCACAATTACGAGAAACCTTATAAATGTAGCAAATGTGAGAAGAGCTTTTGGCATCACTTAGCGCTTTCAGGACATCAGAGAACACATGCAGGTAAAAAATTCTATACATGTGACATTTGTGGCAAGAATTTTGGTCAGAGTTCTGATCTGCTTGTCCACCAGCGAAGCCATACTGGCGAGAAACCATATCTATGTAGTGAGTGTGACAAATGCTTCAGTAGAAGTACAAACCTCATAAGGCATCGAAGAACTCACACAGGTGAGAAACCATTTAAGTGTCTCGAGTGTGAAAAAGCTTTTAGTGGGAAATCAGATCTTATTAGCCACCAGAGAACTCACACTGGGGAAAGGCCCTACAAATGTAATAAGTGTGAGAAAAGTTACCGACACCGTTCAGCCTTCATTGTACATAAAAGAGTTCATACTGGGGAGAAGCCCTATAAGTGTGGTGCCTGTGAAAAATGCTTTGGCCAGAAATCAGACCTTATCGTGCACCAGAGAGTCCACACAGGTGAGAAGCCGTATAAATGCCTGGAATGTATGAGAAGTTTTACTCGGAGTGCCAACCTAATTAGGCACCAGGCAACTCACACTCACACTTTTAAATGCCTTGAATATGAAAAAAGCTTTAACTGTAGCTCAGATCTTATTGTACATCAGAGAATTCACATGGAAGAGAAACCACATCAGTGGTCTGCGTGTGAGAGTGGCTTCCTCCTAGGAATGGACTTTGTTGCCCAACAGAAAATGAGAACTCAAACAGAGGAGCTACACTATAAATACACTGTATGTGATAAAAGCTTCCACCAGAGTTCAGCCCTTCTTCAACATCAGACAGTACACATTGGTGAAAAACCGTTTGTCTGTAATGTGAGTGAAAAAGGTCTTGAGCTTAGCCCTCCCCATGCGTCAGAAGCCTCACAGATGTCTTGACCAGGCGAGAAGCTGTAATACCAATATTAAAAATTATTTATGTATCAGAGAACTCATTAAGATGAGGACAAATCTCAGACTTTGCTCAGAGCTCAGAATTCAGTGGGGACCAGAGAGCCTGCAATTGGAAATATGAGAAATTCTTTGCCCAGAGAGCTGCCCTAACAGAACACTTCATCCTCACTCCAACGAGAAATCTACAGATGCCCAGAGGTTTTGAAAACTTACCGTCTGAGCTCAAGTTTGATCACTCACAAGAGGATTCATACAAGTGGGAAACCTTAGAAATGCACTGAGTGTGAGAGAGCTTTCTACTAATGCTCAGCCCTTCTCGTTGTAAGAGAATTCACACCGGAGAACAACTTTTTAAATGCCTTCAGTGTCAGTTGTGCTGCAGACAGTATGAACATCTCATTGGACCTCAGAAAACCCACCCTGGGGAGAAGCCCCAGCAAGTGTGAAAAAAGCTTCTAACAAAACTCTGACTTACCCATCAGAGAAGCCATACTGGTGAAAAATTGTATATTTGTCTTAAGTATGGCAAAAGCATTCATTGGAGAGCCTTACTTGGGTTTGCACCCAAAAAAAAAAAACCCAATCTGAGGAAAGACTGCAAGTGTCTGAATGAAGAGTGCTTGTCAATGATCAACTCTTGTGGTACATCAGGGAACTCACATAGGTGAAAAAACCCATACTTACCTTGAGTCTGAGAAAACCTTTGGTAGAAGCTCCTGTCTTATCAGGCCCCAAAAAACCTGTTCTGCAGTGAGAGATTTAATTGTGGGTGAGAATCTATGTACATATAATATGTATGAGAAGACTGTTCTCATAGTTAGTTGACTCATATGGTAGAGAGGACTTTACATGAAATCAGTATGAAAATAGTTTTTTAGATACCCAGAAGCTTGTTCTGGGAGAAGCTAGGGCGGGTCAGAGTAGACCTGATGGGTAACTCAGGTAAAGATGCTTTTCTTTTATCTGAACTACTTAATGATTGCTTTACTTTTACTTTTTAAAAAATTCAGAAATCCAATAAAGGAAAGGACGGTAACCTTATGATAGAAGGTGTGGCATGTGTTACTGTTGGGGGAAAGGAGTATATTGACTTTGCCTTGGTTGATATTTTTATGCTTGTCTAGGATGGGACTAGAGTGTTGATAGTAACATGGCAGCCTTTTGCTGGCAGTGAAATGAACTTAAGAAGCTAGGGAGTAGCTATCCTAGATCAAAACTCTCCTAATAGTTTTTCCTTTGCAGGACCAATCTTATAAAGAAACAGCATACTCAGCTTTTTACTTAGTGTCAGTTGAGGCATACTCTCAAAAGTTTTTTCCCCTAAAATATCTTTCAAGTTATTACTGGTATTTGAAATTTCAAGTTTAGAAATTCATTTCTTTTTAACTCAAAGTGCAAATTTCATATAATGATTATGATGGTTTTAGTGTCCATATTTTTGTGACTTCACTTATCATCTCTTTCAGCAGTAGCTACCCACAGTCAGCTCCTAGTAAAATGGCTACAGGAAAACTGAAAGAAAAGTTTAAGCCTGAGTAGGCATAGAGTAAAAAATGCATAATGATGCATTATTAATATAAGAGTAAGGCTTTTTTTATTTTGAGTATCCTAACTCCAAACCTAGTGTTCTTTTCACTCCATTATCCTGCTGTTTATAGCAAATCAAGACCCATAATGATACGTCTTTCATTTATTTCAGTTCTGCCAAGGAAAGAGAAAATACCTTTTAATCCCAGGGAAAGGATTGCAATCACCACATTATAAGGTATATGGCGTGGAATGCAGAATTCTAAATACTAGAAGGGAAAAGTAGTTGGCAGATTCATCAGAGGCTTAAGGATAAGTACTTGTTTCCAATTTAAAAGTATAATTAGGATTGTCTTTAATGTTCTCTAGAAATACTATAATTAATCTAGAGATCTATCAATGGTCACATCTCAGTTTTTTTCTTCCCTGAGATTCAAAGACGTGTAATACCAATACTTCAGATTCCTATAGTATTTGGGACTTTGTAGACTAGTGAATAGATACTTTGTTGCTAGTCCAAATCCTCTGATTTTGGTTTGATTTGTCCTAGCAGATCCCTGAACTTCAGAGAGTATTGCCATTTGGATTCATGGAGTTGGCGAACTGCTACACTGCTACCTTGTGTATGGCTCTAAGCTTTGATCCTAATGACTGGTTGATGATCATGATAATATTAGGGCCAGTGAATATAGCTCATAGTGATAATAAGGATTCTAGGGTATTTTTTTTTCTTTTAGAAAAAGATCCTGGAAGTTTATTTGATCTGACATGTTTTTGTAATATTTAGAAATAGCTCTTGTATCATAAAAAGTTGCCCAGTATAAGACACACAAGATGTATTTTTTTCTCTGGTGAAAATCATGCCTATCACTAGTATATGTTTGACATTTGTAGTATACTTAAAATAGTATTGGGTGTGAGGCATGGTGGTGATGAAAAGTAGTCCTTATGGCTACTTGTTAGTGATTAGAGAGAACATGGAGAAGGGGTCAAAGTTGGTATCATTAACAGGGCAATGACTTGACCCTTCTTTCAACTGATCTTACTGGTAGTTGTCTCTAGTTTTTAAGTAAATTAATGATGGACCATCCCCCAAACAGAGAACTATGGGGGTATGAAACAAGGCTGAAGGCTTTTAACCATGGGAGAAAAAGGTGTTGGTATTATTCATATAGCATAACCTGAGGTTGGAGAGGACCACTTGGGAGCCTGTAACCAAAACTAGAAGGTAACTTCTGGGATGGACGGAGGTTCCCTTGAAGCAGTGCCAACCTAAATCTACCTCAGGTAAGTAGTTAGATTAACTTTTTCAAGATTTCAGACCAAACAAGACAACTTGTATTCAGTTGATGTATTCCTATGCTTTAATGTTTTTGTTTGCCCTTAATTATTAAATAAACATTTGTTCTGAAAAACTCCATTTCCGTCTCCACTGTACTGAGAGAAACAGCATTTCCTCTACACTTGGATTAGAATGAAGTGGTTAATAATGTGATACTTAGACATGGAGGTAGAGATAACCACTGGACCATCTCTATAATTCCAGCAATTTTGGATGCCGAGGCAGAGAGGAACAGAAGGAATATTGTCTATGCTCCACTGTGGACATTGCATCCTTTTGGAACCTCTGCACCACATTCCATAAATGGGGCTAATAGTTTGAACTGACCATGTTTGAGGCCCTGCTGAAATTCATTAGCAGCAAAACCATCTATGGTTTTTTTGTGTGAGTGACCCCCTCAAAATTAGGGAAGATTTTACATTTATAATTCCTAGTGAAATCCACATTTGGTTCCAATTCTTCCCTCTTGGTCTTATTTGTTGAATTAGAGTGGGATGGAGATGGTATAAAAATAGTTGCTCTAATTTACCCACCATTATAAAGTTTGTCCTAGTTTATGTCTGTCTGCTCTACCAACAGAGTAGATGCCAGAGTTTTAAGTGGCTTTCATTGTGAGAAGAGGATAAGAAGGAGGTATGATGTGGATGAAACAGGGAAGGGAAAAGGTACAGCTTTAAGTTTGTTTTTTCCTCCTGAGATTCATATAGAGTTGTGTAGGTAGAACAAGACTTGCAGCCTTCATGCTTATTTTTCTAACTTAAAGTGATACTACTCCCAACATTGAAGTGGACTGTTGTGAGAAATATTTCTGGGAAAAATAATAACCGTGACCCCCAGAAGTAACTGAAAGAGAAATGATGTGTGCTTCAGTGTCTCTGGTGAAGTAGACAGGGAAAAGTGCTATCCAGCGCACACACCGCAAGTGTTTCTTGAAATGGTCTTTACATTGTTTATTGAGAAAAGAAACTCATAGTGCAATTGAAGCTTCTTTGTCCCTGAAACATCAGCTTGTGTCATCACTTTCCCCAGGCAGGGATTTGGATTTTAAATGAGTGAGAGAAGCTGAAAGCAGTTAACACTTGCAGAGGGAATCCTTCCATCTGGCAAAGGAAACTTAAAAAGTTGGGGTAGGCCAGACGCAGTGGCTCACGCCTGTAATCCCAGCACTTTGGGAGGCTGAGGCGGGTGGATCACGAGGTCAAGAGATGGAGACCATCCTGGCCAAAACCTTATTCTTTGAAAAAGCTAATAAAAAAGATAGTCCCCTAGACAGGAAAGTTAATAGAAAATAACAAAAAGATAATGCAGAGAATCAGTAAAACCAACACCTTATTATTCTTTGAAAAAGCTAATAAAAAAGGTAGTCCCCTAGACAGGACAGTTACTAGGAAAAGCAGGAAAAAATAATTAAGATTTTTAAGTGGTGGCATTTATGTATCTAAGACACTTGATGCAAACACTTAGACACTTAGACTCAAGCAGAATGAAGCCAAACACGGTGGCTTATACCTGTAACCCAGTACTTTGGGAAGTGGAGGCAGGCGGATTGCTTGAGCTCAGGAGTTAGAGACCAGACTGGCAAGACCCTGTCTCTACAAAAATTAGCCAGGCATGGTAGTGCCCACCTGTAGTCCTAGCTACTCTGGAGGCTGAGGTGGCAGGATCGCTTGTGCCCAGGAGGTAGAGGCTGCAGAAAGCTGAGATTGTGCCACTGCTCTCCAGCCTGGGTGACAGAGCCAGACCCTATCTGGAAAAAAAAAAAAAAAAAAAACTCAAGCCAAATGGCATAAAGATTGAGTTGTATGATTGTTTTCCCTTAGAGTACTGACTTTGTGGCCCCTTCATTGCTGTAATAGGTTCTGCTTCTGAAACTCAAGAGCTACAAAAAACAAACAAACAAACAAAAAACCCAGTACCCATTTTGCTACTTTCTGCTATCTCCTTTCCCAGATGCAAGAACACAGACCAGTCTAAGAGTGTGACAAATGGATTTAGGAAATGGAGGTGGGCTGCAAATGCTGCTAAATAATACAAATGCCATTGTAACATACACACTTAGCTCAGTTCCAATTGAACTCAAATGCATGAGACTCCAAAGTGACAAGAGCAATCTTCTCCACCAAATAAAAACCTAGAAGTTAACCATACAGCAGAGTCAGTTTGGAAAGTAAGTCACAATCTATAGGGTTAAATAAAACCCATCTGATGAGAATTTATGATTTTCAGGGTATGACTCTCCAAGCCCCTTAGATAGGAATTTAGGCAGGATAAAAAACTGGAGTTTAGTCCTCACAGGTAATAATCACTAAATTGCAGAATTTTAAAAAACAGGTTATAGAAGTTGATCCTGCAGTTACGCAGCTTATAAAGTGTTGGATTGATTTCAACACATGGCATCCTGGCAATTGTTTTATTTTATTTTATTTATTGTATTTATTTTTTGAGACAAGGTGTGTGTCTGTTGCCCAGGCTGGAGTACCGTGGTGCAGTCTCTGCTTACTGCAACTTTCACCTCCTAGGCTCCAGCCATTCTCCCACCTCAGCCTCCTGAGTAGCTGGGACTACAGGGACAAGTCACCACACCCAGCTAATTTTTGTAGAGATGGGGTTTTCACTATGTTGTCCAGCTGGACTTGAACTCCTGAGCCCAAGCTGAAGTGATCCGCCCACCTCAGCCTTCCAAAGTGCTGGGATTACAGAACTAAGCCACTGCACCTGCCCGCTTTTCTTTTCTAAGCTAGACTTGATGTCATGGGGAATGCCATTCTCTTTGTGAGCTATGCTCATATTTTCATTGTGAGTCTCAAGCAGAGGCCCATATGCCTACTAATAACCCACTTCTCATTGGTCCACATGTTAGTGGCTTGTATTATAGGAATCCCCAAGGATTCTTAAGCTTTGGTCTTGAGAACTCTCATACATTATGTTATTTTTAAGACAAATAGCTACACAGTGTCACGTGGCCTTTCCATCTGTTAGACAAGCCACTTAAGCATTCTTTATGCCATCATCATTGGCCTTTGTAACCCCTATTGATCAGTGCTCAAAACCAGAAAACCATTGTGTGCCCTTTACTCCTTTTTGTTTGAATTCTTAATTTAATTTACTCATATTTTCCAACTTAATTTTATCTCAATTACAGCCCTCAAGAATGAGACTGTATCCAGATACATTGTGAAATCTTGCTCTGTTTTGCTAACGGATAATTTTATTAGGTGATTCTTTCTCACGTTCATGGCATTTCACATTCATGACGTTTCCCCTCCTGGGTTTTATGTGCTGGACGAGTGGGTATAGGATGCATCCCCTCTACAGACATCACGAGCAAATACAGCACCTTCACAGGTCGGGCCCCTAATTCAAAATGAACCCTGGGGCCAGGCGCGGTGGTTCAGGCCTGTAATCCCAGCACTTTGGGAGGCTGAGGCAGGCGGATCACCTGAGGTTGAGAGTTCGAGACCAACCTGACCAACATGGAGAAACCCCATCTCTACTAAAAATACAAAATTAGCTGGGCGTGGTGGTGCATGCCTGTATCCCAGCTACTCGGGAGGCTGAGGCAGGATAATCACTTGAACCCGGGAGGCAAAGGTTGCAGTGAGCCGAGATCGCACCATTGCACTCCAGCCTGGGTAACAGGAGTGAAACTCCATCTCCAAGAAAAAAAAGCCCTGGGATGAAAGCAACTAAAGAGACGATCATTTTGACCCTGTGCTTCATTTTTTCCTGTGGGCTTGATATGATTGTTTCCTTCAGTCTAGGTTATTTTTCAAAAACTGAACCTGTTTTTGAATACTAAGAAGTTCATTGGGGTGAACTTTGCCTTTTTAAGCCCTGTGGTACTTCTTTGCAATGACAACCACCTCCACAGATTTTGGGCATCTGCTTTGAGAAAATGAGAAATCAACAACCAAAAAGAATGCAGTTCAATAATCATAATTCAATTACAAATATAATTATCTCAACTAATAAAGAATAAAACCTGATCATCCAGGCCAGACACAGTGGCTCAAACCTATAATCCAGCACTTTGAGAGGCCGAGGTGGGCGGATCACCTGAGGTCAGGAATTCAAGGCCAGCCTGACCAACATGGAGAAACCCCATCCCTACTAAGAATATAAAATTAGGTGGGCATGGTGGCGCATGCCTGTAATCCCAGCTACTTGGGAGGCTGAGGCAGGAGAATCGCTTGAACCCGGGAGGCAGAGGTTGCGGTGAGCCGAGATCACTCCATTGCACTCCAGCCTGGGCAACAAGAGCAAAACTCCATCTCAAAAAAACAAACAAAAAAACCCTGATCATCCATATTGTCTTGTCCTTAGAAAAATAAATCATAATTCCTCAAGCAGGAAAATAATATCTACTAGTAAGAAAATTAAAATAATTGTTCTGAGTGAAAAAAGCCAATACTAAAGGTTATATACTGTATGATTCCATTTATAACATTCTTAAAATGATAAATTATAGAAATGAACAGCTTAGTGGTTGTCATGTATAAGGGTTGGGGAGTGAGGTAGGTGTAGTTATCCAAGGATACATGATGTATCCATGGGGTGATAGAAATGTTCTGTAGCTTGGCTGTATCATTGTCAATATCCAGGTTGTATGATTGTACTAATTTTGCAAAATAGTGGTTATCATTGGAAGAAACTGGGATTTCTCTGTATGATTTCTTACAACTGCATGTGAATCCACATTTATCTCAACATTTAAAGGTTAAAAATTTTGAAACATTACATTTAAAACGTCTCCTTTGATCATCCTTACTTAAATCTAGTCACTTAATTCCTTTCCAAAGACAGTGTTATCACATTGTCATGTGTCCTTCTACAGACATTTGATACATATGCACATAAAAATATTAAGTAATATTTGGTAAGATGTAGAAATACAGTTGCACAATCTCTTTACACTTACATATATGTTTCCAAGAAAGAGAAATGCAGAAATGATGAGGAGAGATGATATCACTAGGTAGGTGTATATTAACAAATATACAATATATGAAACAATAATGGTAAGTGATTTACACAGAGTGAACAGCCTACTGAACAATAATATCACAAAATTTGAGAGGAAAGTTGTAAGACAAAAGTGTTCTAGTGTCATTCTATTGGGAGAATTGTAAACATGTTGATTAATTTTAATTGTTTAATTATGGGTCTTAAAGTTTTATGACAAATGCAAAAAGTAATAGATATAGAATATAGAGCTTCTAAACAAATGGGACACAAAAATTGATTTTGAAGAAAAAAAAAAGTACAGCCATCTCTCAGTAGGCGCAGCAAATTGTTTCCAGGACCCTGTGGTATACCAAAATCTGGACTTACTCAAGTCCAGCAGTCAGCCCTGCAGAACCACGGAAACTAAAAGTCAGCCCTCCCTGTAGGCAGATTTCACATCCCACAAATACTGTATTTTCCATTTGCGTTTAGTAGGAAAAAAATTCACGTAACAATGGACCTTGGTAATTCAAACCAGTGTGGTTCAAAGGTCAACTGTATAGCCATAAAAGACAAGAAAAAATGAATCATATTTTATATTGAAAAAATATTTTATATTGAAAAGAGAAAACTGAGTTCTAAGCTTGCAGTGGGAAAAGCTAAAAATCAGCCTAAGTTACACCACAGGATTTTCTAAAGACTCAGAAATTTATGACCATAGGTACTTCTGGATCTGAGGGATAATTGGTGAAGGGCTAAAATAAGGAAGAATGTATAAAAGCTCTCTCTCTCTCTTGTCTTTCCAACCCTGGCAGAAAGAGGATGAAACAGATAGTATCTTGAATGAAGGACACAAGGCACAGATGATGTGATGGGTAGCATGGAGTGGGAGGATGGAAATAGAATTATCACACAAATTTATTCATGCTAGCTACAAAATCGTGGCAGTCTTATCCAACTCTACTGCCAGATTTCAGGCTAGGCAGTCCTTAGCTTCCAGGCATGTCATTGAAAGAGTTCTACTTGGTAAATCTGACCAAGTGAAGAGGAGAGCTGTAAAGAAACGAACATCATCAATGCCGAAAACATGGCCCTACCACATTACCCTCTAGTGAAGATCACTGTCAACAAGCCCCACTACATTTTAAATGTTGCCAGTTTTTTTGTTTTTTTTTTGTCTTGTTTTGTTTTGTTTGAGATGGAGTCTTGCTCTGTCGTCCTGGCTGGAGTGCAGTGGCGCGATCTCTGCTCACTGCAACCTCTGCCTACTGGGCTCAAGCAGTTCTCCTGCGTTAGCCTCCTGAGTAGCAGGGATTTCAGGGATGCGCCGACATGCCCGGCTAATTTTTGTATTCTTAGTAGAGATGAAGTTTCCCCATATTGGCCAGGCTGGTCTTGAACTCCTGACTTCAAGTGATCCACCCACCTCTGCCTCCCAAAGTGCTAGGATTACAGGACAGGCGTGAGCCATCGTGCCTGGCCTGCTGCCAGTTTTTAGCCTATGATTTTTAAACATGGATAGATCAAATAAGAAACACCAGGCATCTGAAAAAAATCTGAAATAAATGAATGGGAGGGAGAACCATGGATGACAGAATATTCAAGGAGAAAGTTATCAGTATGCACACACAATAAAAGTTACACGTAAATGAAACAAGGAAAAGATGTTGATGTTAAAAATATGATAGCAAAAATGAAAAATTCAGTAAATGTTTGGAAAATAAAGATGAGGTTTCGGACAAAAAGAATTTTGATAATAAGAAAGAGAAAAAAAATGTTAGAGGAACAGCCCAGGAATCTCCAATGCCAAAGTATTTGGAATTCCAAAGAAAACAGATAAAATAGTTCATTAGATAAAAGAAAATAAATGTTAACCCTAAAGAATATAGGTTTTCAAATTGAAAGACCTGCCAGTAGGCTGGGTGCGATAGCTCACACCTGTAATTCTAGCACTTTGGGAGGCTGAAATGGGTGGATAACTTGATGTCAGGAGTTCCAGACCAGCCTGGGCAACATGGCGAAATCCCATCTCTATTAAAAATACAATAGTTAGCTGGGCATGGTGGCACACACCTGTGGTCCCAGCTACTCAGGAGACTGAGGTGAGAGGATTACCTGAGCCCAGGAGATCAAGGCTGCAGTGAGCCATGCACTCCAGCCTGGGTGATAGAGTGAGATTCTGTCTCAAAAAAAAAAAAAAAAAAGGAAAGAAAGACCTAGTGTCTCAGAACTGTGGATAAAATGGACCCAATTAAGGCATGTCATCTTGAAATTCAAAACACTACGATGAAGAGTAGATTTTATTCACTTTCTCACAGAAAGATACAGATAACATACCAAAACTTAGGAATGAAAATTTTCTTCTTATGGCAACATTGAAAGCTATAAAACAATGGTCATGCCTTTAAAATACAGAAGTAAAATGTTTTGTGGCCTACAATTCCTTAACCCATCAGATTTTTAATTAAACGTGAGGGTTAGCCTGGCGTGGTGGCTCACGTCTGTAATTCCAGCACCTTAGGAGGCCAAGGCGGGTGGATCACTTGACATCAGGAGTTTGAGACCAGCCTGGCCAACATGGTGAAATCCTGTCTCTACTAAAAATACAAAAATTTGCCGATTGTAATGGTGTGCACCTGTAATCCCAACTACTTGGGAGGCTGAGGCAGGAGAATCGCTTGAGCCTGGGAGGCGGAGGTTGCAGTGAGCTGAGATGGCGCCACTGCACTCCAGCCTGGACAATAGAGTGAAACCCTGTCTCAAAAAAAAAAAAAAAAAAAAGTGAGGGTGACAAAAATACATTTAAGGTCTCAAAAATCTATCCCAAATGCACATTTTCTCAGAGAAAATTTGACAAGAGTTTCTCTCTTGTTGCCCAGGCTGGAGTGCAATGGCACAATCTGGGCTCACTGCAACCTCTGCCTCCCGAGTTCAAGTGAATCCCATGCCTCAGCCTCCCGAGTAGCTGGGATTACAGGCATGTGCCACCATGCCCGGCTAATTTTTTGTATTTTTAGTAGAGACAGGGTTTCACCATGTTGGCCAGGCTGGTCTTGAACTCCTGACCTAAGGTGATCCACCCGCCTTGGCCTCCCAATTTGATGAGATTACAGGTGTGAGCCACTGCGCCTGGCCAAGAAAAATATTGAGTGATATGATCCATTGAATTGAGTGAAGAAACCAAGCCACGAGAAGATATGAGATAGAGGGAAAAGGAGATTTAATACTGCAGAAACACAAAATAAATATCCAAAATAATGATAGGAGAGTTACTGGAAGAGAATGAAATCTAGACACAGACCTTACAACTTTCACAAAATTTAACTCAAAATGGATTATAGGCCTAATCTGTAAAACACAAAACTATAAAACTTCTACAAGATGATGTAGGAGAAAATCTAGGGACACTTGATTTGATGATTTTTTTTTTTTTTTAGGAGTTTTGCTCTTGTTGCCCAGGCTGGAGTGCAATGGTGCCACCTCTGCTCACTGCACCCTCTGCCTCCTGGGTTCAAGCAATTCTCCTGCCTCAGCCTTCTGAGTAGCTGGGATTACAGGCATGCGCCACCATGCCCAGCTAATTTTGTGTTTTTAGTAGAGATGGGATTTCACCATGTTGGTCAGGCTGGTCTCGAACTCCTGACTTCAGGTTGATCCACCTGCCTCAGCCTCCCAAAGTGCTGGGATTAGACGTGTGAGCCACCACGCCCGGGCAATGGTGATTTTTTTTAGACACGACACCAAAAGTACAATCCATGAAAGACATAACTGGTAAGCTGAACTTCACTAAAATTGAAAACTTCTCTGTGAAAGATCGTGTTAAAAGAATGAAAAGACAAGCCACATATTGAGAGAAAATGCTGGCAAACCATGTATCAATAAAGAACTTGTATTCAAAATATACAAAGAAGGCTTTAAAAATTCACTAAGAGGGGCCGGGCGCGGTGGCTCACGCCTGTAATCCCAGCACTTTGGGAGGCCGAGGCGGGTGGATCATTAGGTCAGGAGATCGAGACCATCCTGGCTAACAAGGTGAAACCCCGTCTCTACTAAAAATACAAAAAATTAGCCGGGCGGGGTGGCGGGCGCCTGTAGTCCCAGCTACTCGGGAGGCTGAGGCAGGAGAATGGCGTGAACCCGGGAAGCGGAGCTTGCAGTGAGCCGAGATTGCGCTACTGCAGTCCGCAGTCCGGCCTGGGCAACAAAGCGAGACTCCTCTCAAAAAAAAAAAAAAAAAATTCACTAAGACAACAACCCAATTTTTAAAATGGCAAAAGATCTAAACAGACACCACCAAAAAAGATATACAGATGACAAATTACCATATGAAAAGATACCCAACATTGTATGCCATTAGGGAACTGAAAATTAAACCAACAATGAAATTGCATTACACACTATTAGAATGTCAAAAATCCAAAACACTGACACCACCAAATGCTGGCCAAGATATGCAACAGTAGAAATTCTCATTCATTGCTGATAGGAAAAAGCCATATGATACAGCCACTTTGGAAGACATTTTTGCAGTTTCTTTTAAAGCTAAACATAATCTTAACATATGATGCAGCCATCCTATTCCTTAATATTTACCCAAATGAGTTAAAAACATATGTCCACACAATAACCTGCACACAGATGTTTATAGCAGCTTTATTTATAATTGCCAAAACTTGGAAGTAACCAAGAAGTCCTTCACTACGCAAATGGATAAACAAACTGTGGTACATCTATACAATGGAATAGTATTCAACAAATAAAAAGGAATGAGCTATCAATCCACAAAAAAGACATGGAGGAACCTTAAAAGCATTCTTCTAAGTGAATGAAGCCAATCTTAAGGGGCTACATACTATATACTTTCAACTATATGACATTCTGAAAAGGATAAAACTAGTAGAAGACAGTAAAAAGATCAATGTTCTCCAGAATGGGGGTGAGTTGGGGGAGGGACAAATGGATAGAGCACTGGGAATTTTTAGGTCAGTGAAACTATTTTTATGATACTGTAGTGGTAGATATATTACATTATACATTTGTTAAAACCCCTATAATGTACAACACAAAGACTGAACCCTAATGTGAACTATGGGCTTTAGTTAAATAATAATATATCAATCTTGGCTCATCAGTTGTAATAAATGTATCACACAAATGTAATATATTAATAGAAGAAACTGTGGGTGGTGTGGGGGCATATAGAATCTCTCTGTACTTTCTGCTCAAGTTTTCTATAAACCTAAAAGTACTTCAAAGAAATAAAGTCTATTCGCCAGGAGTGGTGGCTCACACCTGTAATCCCAGCACTTTGGGAGGCTGAGGCGGGCAGATCACCTGAGTTTGGGAGTTCGAGACCAACCTGACCAACATGGAGAAACCCCGTCTCTACTAAAAATACAAAATTAGCTGGGCATGGTGGCACATGCCTGTGATCCCAGCTACTGGGGAGGCTGAGGCAGGATAATCACTTGAACCCGGGAGGCGGAGGTTTGTGGTGAGCTGAGATTGCACCATTGCACTCCAGCCTGGTCAACAAGAGCGAAATGTGGTCTCAAAAAAAAAAAAAAAAAAAAGGAAAAAATAAAGTCTATTAATTAACATTTTTAAATTTTATTAAAAGATGAAGTCAAAAAATATAATATTTTAATGGTTGCTGAAACAGTTGTGTCCTTCTTAAAATAAAAATACTGGTTTTCAGATATAAAGACTGACACAATAACTGTCAACAAATTGATTGCAAAAAAGATTTTGTCTCTGGCCTTAAATACCTTCATCATTAAGTGGTATTCATATTATACTCTATGAGAAAAATTAAAGGCTCTGAAGATGTTATGCCTTTCCTATCTATTTCATCTTTACATATCCACTATTCATCTTTATAATACCCTTAATCTAGTAACACTTTCCCTTATCTCATTTCTCTTTTTCTTTCTCTTTCTTTCTTTCTTTTTTCTTTCTTTCTTTCTTTCTTTCTTTCTTTTCTTTCTTTCTTTCTTTCTTTCTTTCTTTCTTTCTTTCTTTCTTTCTTTCTCTTTCTTTCTTTCTCTCTCTCTCTTTCTTTCCTTGTTTCTTTTTTTTTTTTTTTTTTTAACAAAGTCCCTGTCTTTTGCCCAGACTGGAGTGCAGTGGTGTGAACATGGCTCACTGTAGCCTCTGCCTCCTGGGTTCAAGTGATCCTCAGCCTCCTGAGTAGGTGGGCCTACAGGCATGCGCCACCACACGCAGCTCATTTTTTTTTTTAATTTATTTGTAGAGATGGGGTTTCGCCATGTTGCCCAGACTGGTCTCGAACTCCTAGGCTCAAGCCATCCACCTGCCTCAGCCTCCCAAAGTGCTGGGATTATAGACATGAGCCACTGCTCCAGGCCCACACAATATTTTAACTTCTGTTTGTGAACTACCCATACCCCTTATAGTTCTCTTGGAAACTCCTTTGGATAACCCTGATTTAATTTTGTTTGTTCAAGGTTCATACCTGAAAATAAAAACTAAAACTATCAATCAAGCTAAGCCAAAACTGACATATTCACCATTGGTATTTGAACCTCTTCTAGAAGCTAAATCAGCAAACAGCTAAATCAATGTCTTCAACTGGAGGTGAAGACAGCTAGTACAGGCCAAACCCTATTTTTCTAAAAAAATTAACTTCCCATCTCTTCCTTACTGATTTCTGCAGGTTCCTCTGGGGTGCATTCTGGTTTACCACAGGAAGCTTAATAAATCTAATTTTGTTTATCTGTAAGTGTGCTCCCTGCTGGCCTTTGGTTGGTGGGCTTTTGCATTAAGTGTAATATTCTATAAGTAAAATTATTAAACTTGTGAAAAAAGCAGAAGAAAATCTTTGAGTTCTAGTGCTAAAAATTAAGAGTTCTTAGACTTGACACCAAAATTACAATCCATAAAAGTAAAAATTGGTCAATTTGCCAGACCTCTTGGTGTAATGATTAGCACTCTGGACTTTGAATCCAGGATCCACTGGGAACTGATCATCTTCATTCCTCAAAACTGTGAAAGACATCAAAACTAAAAATATATGTATGAGAAACTGGCATAGCCAAGAGGAGCCTAAGGAGATATGACAACTAAATGTGGTACCTTGGATTGGATCTTGGAACATAAAAAGGACATTAGGTAAAAACTAAGGAAATATGAATGCTACATCTATTAGTTAATAATGTGATAATAATGTAATAATTAGTTCATCGATTGTAACAAATAATTATACTGCTATAATATGTTAATAATAGAAGAAATTACAAGAAGAAGAAATAAAAGGCATCCAGATTGGAAAGGAAAAGGTAAAACCATCTCTATTCACAGATAACAGAATCCTCTATGAAGAAAATCTCAAAGAATCTACAAAAGGCTACTTGAGCTACTAAACTAATTTAGCAAAATTTCAGTTTTCAAGATCAACACACACCAATCAGTTGTGTTAATATACACCAACAGTGAATAATCAGAAAGGGGAAATTAACAACCAAGTCCATTTATAATAACATCTAAAATAATTAACTGCTTAGGAATAAATCTAACCAAGAAGCTGAAGGACATGTATACTGAAAACTACAAAACATTGCTGAAAAAAATTTACAAAAAATAAATGGAAAGACATCCCACATTCATGGATAGGAATACTTAATATTCCACTGCTAACACTACCCAAACTGATCTACAGATTTAAAGAAATCTCTACTAAAAATCCAACAGCCCTTTTCACCTAAATGGAAAAGCAGATTCTCAAGTGCTTATGGAATTGCAAGGAGCCATTAACAGCCAAACCAATCTTGAAAAATAAGAATAAAATTAAAGGATTCAAACTTCCTGACCTGTCTGAAACTTACTATGACACTCCAGTAATCAAAACTGTATAGTAGTAGCATATGAAGATATAGGTCCATGGAATAGAATAGTGTCCAGAAATAAATCCTCAGATATATGACTAACTCATTTTTGATAGGGTGGCAAGAGAATTCAATGGGGAAAGGAGAGCCTTTTCAAGAAATGGTGCTAGAGACCCACATATTGTGAACAAAAGTTCTCTGAAAAGAAATTTACAGGAAAGTGACTTTTGTCCAGTGAACAGTTTGCAAATGGGGAGATGCAGCAGCCTTTAAAAACAAAGGTGTGTTCCAGAGGACAAAGAGAGGGTTTTATAGCAAACGTTCCCGCCAAGGTTCCCAATTAGTCCCTTTATGCAAATTAAAGTTTGAAATTTGCTTTAGTTCCCATGGGTTGATGCAGCTGAGTTCTGATTCATCAATACAGCTGAGCCCTGATTGGGTGGTACAGGTGAGCTCTGATTGGTTGGCTCAGATCAGCTCTGAAAGTTCCTAAGTTGAACAGAGATAGCGTTTTCAAGGAATCTCAGTGTACCGGTGTGACCTCTAATCAATAAAAGGCCACTTGGCTGTATTTTAAATCTAGGCCCAATTAGCCACTTAAGGTCCATCTTAAAGATTGGCTCTTTCAGGTTCACATTTGTTCACAATGTGAAAGATTCAAGTTAGACCCTTACTTTATATCATACACAAAAATTAAACTCAAGAGCTAAAACTATAAAACTTTTAGAAAAAGAATTGGGGGAAATCTTTATGACATTGGATTTGACAACGATTTCATAAATATGACAGACACCAAAAGTCCAGGCAGCAAAATAAATAAATAAATTGGACTTCATCAAAATTAATAACTTGTGTATCACAGTACACTATCATAGAAAGTAAAAGACAACCTACAGAATGGTAGAAGATATTTGCAAATCATATCTCTGATAAGAGATTAATATCCAAAATGTGTAAAGAACTCCTACAACTCAGTAGCAAAAACAACTAATTTTAAAATGGGCAGTGGACTCGAATAAACATTCCACCAAAGAAATGTTAGGCTAGTTCTAGTATCTAATATCTAAGAAGTCTTTGCCTAATGTCAGCTCACAAAATTCTTCTCATGCTTTCTTCTAAAAGTTTTAATAGCTAATTTAGATTTTACATTTAGGTCTATGATTCATATTAAGTGAATTTTTATATACAGCATGAAGTTTTGGTGAAGGCTTGTTATTTTTACATACGGATGCTGAATTGTTTCAACAGCGCTTGTTAAAAATACTTTATGTGGGGTGCAGTGGTTCATGCCTGTGATCCCAACACTTTGGGAGACAAAGGCAGGAGGCTGCTTTGAGCTCAGGAGTTTGAAACTAGCCTGGGTAACATAATGAGACCCCATCTTTACAAAAAAATGAAAATTAGCCCGGCATGGTGGTGCACACCTGTAAGTCCCAGCTACTTGGGAGGCTGAGGTAGGAGGATCACTTGAGACCAGGATATGGAGGCTGCAGTGAGCCATGATCATGCCACTGCACTCCAGGCTGAATGACAGAATGTGACCCTGTCTCAAAAAAACAAACAACAACAACAACAAAATACTTTATTTTTTCTCCGTTGAATTCCTTTGCACCTTTATCAAAAATCAATTGCCCACACTCACGTAACAGTGTGTGTTCAAAAAGGCCTTTTCAAGTTTCACTGAAGATGCTACATTCAGAGTTTCATCCCTGAACTGTTTGTGATCTGTACTGTTTTCCAGTGACATCTGTTTACCCACTGCTACTTCTTTAACTGTAAACGGCCTGTGATTCAGTTAGTATGTTAAAAAAAAAAAGTAATCTTCAATAAAAATACATATCTGAATCAGGAATTATGGCTGTAGATTCGGCTAAAAAAGACAAAGCTGCTCATGAGCAAGTGTCTTCTGAATCTGTGTTTGACTTTGTAGTTCTTTGCTTGTTATCTTTTCTATGGCAAAAAGTTATACTTTATTATTTTTTGGTCCATTTTCTTTTTTAAAGAATAGAAAATTCCAGAACGTTTTTGTTGTTCTTTTTTGTGGCATTTCTCAAGAAACCTATCAAAGATCATGATTCCTTGAAAACCAGGAGAAATAAGGCCAGGTACATGCTCTCTGTTGTTCATCTTTGAACTGAGCATTAAATCTCTGCACAACGTGTATAATTTTGAAAGCATCCTTTTTTTTTTTTTTTTTTTTTTTTTGAGACACGAGTTTTGCTCTGTCACCCAGGCTGGAGTGCAATGGCGTGATCTTGGCTCACTGCAACCTCTGCCTCCCAAGTTCAAGCGATCCTTCTGACTCAGTCTCCTGAGTAGCTGGGACTACAGGCGCACGCCACCACGCCTGGCTAATTTTTGTATTTTTAGTAGAGACAGGGGTGTCACCATATTGGTCAGGCTGGTCTCAAACTCCTGACCTCGTGATCCGCCCACCTCAGCCTCCCAAAGTGCTGGGATTACAGGCATGAGCCACTGCGCCCGGCTGAAAGCATCCTTTCCTATAATGTCAGTCTGTCAATTTTAAATATTTTCTTCATTCTATATTGACATGATTAGAACATTAATATGCAGACAGATATTTTAAAGAAAATGAGGAGATGATGGAGTCCCTTGAGTTTTTGACACTAAAAGAATAAGTGAATTATTCTTAAATCTCTTAATATTTTTAGCTATGATGTTGTGATTAAAATTATTGATTTTGTATGAGTTCACAGTTGTTTTCTTATTCATTTCCATTATACATAGTAAATGGCCTTGCTCTAGATACCACACACATATTTTTGATAATATCATTCCAAACTCTTTCCTCTGTCTCTACTCCAAATAAAGTAGTATAATTTTCAAGGAAAAAAAATCAACTATGTGTATTTGTATGTGTCTATTTCTGGACTCTCTGTTCTATTTCACTGGTTTGTGAGTCTATCTTTTCACTAATACCAAACTTTTTTTTTGGGTGGGGGGTGGAGGGGAATGGAATCTTGCTCCCTTGACCAGGCTGGAGTGCAGTGGCATGAACTTGGCTCACTGCAACTTCTGCCTCCCGGGTTGAAGCCATTCTCCTGCCTCAGCCTCCTGAGTAGCTGGGATTACAGGCATGTGCCACCACACCAGGCTAATTTTTGTATTTTTAGTAGATACCGGGTTTCACCATGTTGGTCAGGCTGGTCTCGTGATCCGCCCATCTTGGCCTCCCAAAGTTCTGGGATTACAGGCGTGAGCCACCGAGCCCAGCTGCCAAACTTTTAATGACTGTTTCTTTATAATAATTTTTATAATAGCTAGTTTGAGATCTCCAATTGTGTTCTTTTTCAAAATTGTTTTGGCCATTCTGATTCTTTGCCTTTCCATATGAATTTCAGAATCATCTTGTATACATATACAAACAAAATAATGATGGGTTTTAATTTAAATTGGGTTACATTCATAGATCAGTTTGTGAGAACTAACATCTAAACTGTGTTTAGTCTTCCAATCTATGAACATGGTATATCCCTCCATTAATTTATCTGTTCTTTGATTTAGGTCTATAACACTTTGTAAATTTTAATATACAGACTCTGCACATGTTTATTAGATTTATATCTAAGTAATTTAATATTTTGGAGCTTCTGTACATAGTATGTTTTAAAATTTTAGTTTCCAATTATTCAATGATAGTATATATAGTATTGATTTTTTATGATGAATTTGTATTCTGCAAACTCATTACTTATTGGTGCTAAGAATCTTTTATTTTTTATTTTTTTGAGATGGAGTTTCACTCATGTTGCCCAGGCTGGAGTGCAATGGTGCAATCTCAGCTCACTGCAGCCTCTGCCTCCCAGGTTCAAGCGATTCTCCTGCCACAGCATCCCGAGTAGCTGGGATTACAGGCATGCACCACCAAGCCCGGCTAATTTTGTATTTTTAGTAGAGACAGGGTTTCTCTATGTTGGTCAGGCTGGTCTTGAACTCCTGACCTCAGGTGATCAGCCTGCCTGGGCCTCCCAAAGTCCTGGGATTATAGGCATGAGCCACCATGCCCAGCCAGTGCTAAGAACTTTTTTATAGATTTCCTTGGATTTTCTATGTAGACAGAAATGTCATCTGTGAATGGGAACATTTTTTATTGCTTCCTTTCCACTTTTTATGCCAATTTCTTGCCTTATTACACTGTCAAAAATATCAGTAAGACATTGAATAAGAGTGATGATAGTGGGCATCTTTAACTTGTACCTGAACTTCAGGAAAAGCATTCAGTCTTTTGCCATTAAATATGCTGTCTAATATACATAATTTGTAGATGTCATTTATTAGGTCAAAAATAGTTGCTAGGAACAGCAAACTCCTCCTAGTTTGCTGAAAGTTTTAATCATGAATGGTGGTTGATTTTTGTCAAATGCTTTTTCACATTCATTGATATGATAATGTGATTTTCTTTTTTTAATCTGTTAATGTAGTAGAGAATATTGATTGATTTTCAAATATTCAAACAGCCTTGCACTTAAGGGATTAACCCCATTTACCAGTGGTGCGTTTTTAAATAGATTTATTTTTTAGAGAAGTTTTAGGTTTACAGCAAAATTGAGCAGAAAGTACAGAGAATTCCGACATACCTGCTACCTCCTCCACTATGCAGAACCTCCTCCACTATCAACATCCTGTACCAGAGTGGTACATTTGTTAAAATTGGTGAGCCTACACTGACACATCACTATCACTCAAAGTCTATAGTTTACATTAAAGTTCACTCTTGGTATTGTACATTCCATGGACTTTGACAAATGTATAATGACATGTATCCACCATAATAGTATCATATAGAACAGTTTTTCCCTAAAATCCTCTGTACTTTGTCTATTCATCCCTCCCTACTACCCTCCCTTACTCTTAACTCCTAGAAACCACTGGTTCTTACATTGTCTTCATATAGTTTTGCCTTTTCCAGAATGTCATATACATTATTTGGAATCATACAGGATGTAGCCTTTTCAAATTGGCCTTTTTCACTTAGTGGTATGCATTTAATGTTCATTTTGGGTGGGTGTAAATGGTATTGTGTTTTTAATTTCAAATTCCACTTGTTTTTTGTTGGTATATAGAAAACATTTCACTTTTGTATATTAACCTTATATCCTGCAACATTGCTATAATCACTTATTAGTTCCAAGAATTTTTTTCAGTTCTTTCAGATTTTCTACATAGACAATACTGTGAACAAAGACAGTTTTTATTTCTTCCTTTCCAATCTGTATACCTTATATTTTCTTTTCTTGTCTTATTGCATTAGCTAGAACTTCCAGTAAAATGCTGAAAAGGAGTGATGAGAGGGACATCCTTACCTTTTTCCTAATTGTATTTCTAAATATATATTGCCAGATTCAAATTCCTATTATTTTGCTGGGAATTTTTGTGTCTATATTTATGAAGGATAGTAGTAGTTTTTCTTTTCCTGTACTGTCTTTATTTGATCTTGATATCAGGATAATGTTGACTCTTCCAATGAACTGTTTCACATCTCAGCCTCCAAACTCTTGGTTTCCAATCCATTCTTCCAAGTTGCCAAAATGAACTCTTTTTTTCTTTGCCTTTAAAATTAAAATTATGGCTGGGCGTGGTGGCTCACACCTGTAATCCCAGCACTTTGGGAGGCCAAGGAGGGTGGATCACCTGAGGTTGGGAGTTCAAAACCAGCCTGACCAACATGGTGAAACCCTGTCTCTACTAAAAATACAAAATTAGCTAGGCATGGTGGCACATGCCTGTAATCCCAGCTACTCGGGAGGCTGAGGCAGGAGAATCGCTTGAACCCAGGAGGCAGAGGTTGTGGTGAGCCGAGATCGCGCCATTGCACTCCAGCCTGGGCAACAAAAACAAAACTCTGTCTCAAAAATAAATAAATAAATAAAATTATAATTATGTTCACTGTTTTGTTACTGGAAAGATATAATACAAGTAGAAAATTTGGAACAATATACCACTATAACATTGCCATTCCTCCCAATCCAGTCCCAAACCAGAGTTAATCACTTTATTACAGTTCAATCTATATCCTTTCAATTGTTCTTTTATGCCTTTGTAAACACATCTCTATCTATATATCAATAGCCATTTTAAAATATAAATAGAAGTATGATTTACATAATATACTGTGTATCAGGGACAAGATACAGAACACTCACACACACAGTCTGTCTTGTCTGTTTTCCCATCACATGACTTTATCTAAATTATCTTTATATTAATTAAACACTCCAATTTTTTTTTGGATATTTCCATTGTTTCCATTTTCCACTCTCCACTCTAATAAAGAAGCCCACTGTGAACACACCCCAGATCTGTGCTGAGGTCTTGGTGCCTTATCCAGACTTCCAGCACTGAGGTGTCTCCCTGCCACATCTCCATCAGGCCTGCACTGCTCGCCCCGGTGTTGATGTCCTGCTGCTAAATCCTTCCTCACCCCCTGCTGCTCCCTGGGGTCTGTGAGTTGGGAATATCCCAATTAGCTTTACTGATAACTCATTTTGTATCCAAAGGTTGAGGAGCCCTTGAAATAACAATTTTTTATCGTTGGGCAGTATAAAGGTGGGTTTGATGTCCCGCGTAGGATGAGTTGGAGTTTGGAGAGGCTGGAGATGCAGATCCTATGGGAGATCAGTGCGAGAGCAAGGGCAAAAGCAGCTCCACATTTGACTCCTGAGAAGCACAGGACCAAGATCCCATGGTCTGTCTTCAGAAATCACCACCTCCCCAGTGAATTCTAAATATAATCTTGTCCTTTCCCGATAACTTCCCTCCCATCCTTGGTGCACAATCTGAAGTTGTCATAGGTGAGAGAGACGTGAAGGAAGAGGGACCCAGGAAGAATTTTCACTCAACGAAAAATTTCTAAAGACCTGTGGGGCAAAAACCCTGGAAACTTGAATTTTCCTGCGAGAGAGTTTGCCATTTGACCCTTTCCTCCCGGGATCGCCAGCGATGGGCAGTAAGAAGAAAAAGCCAGAGCCCCCAGAGACCGAAGAATGAAGGTGGCACCTTCCACACCACCTGCCTGCTGTGTCCGAGGCTCCCCGCGATCCTCAATCCCTGAGGTCTCAAGCTCCAGGAGGGGCGCCGCCGCAGGGACTCAGGGAATGAGAGGGGCCAAGGGCCTCTCCCCGCCCGTCCCCTCCTCTCCCGAGAGGCAGTTCCCTGGAAGGCCGCTACCACGCCGCTGTCTGGCGCTCACCGTCAGAATTTCTCGGGTAGTCTCGGAAAGGCCGCGCCGAGCATTTGACCTGGAGAGGGGGGCTCGGAATTCGGGAAAGGGAAGTAGCGCCGCCCGCAAAGACAGAGAAAGAGGAAGGGGAGGCGGTCAGCGCTCCTACGCTTCTTCCCGACCCCTCCCAGCAAATTCTCAGCCTGTGGCCTTCGACCCGCACCAGGGCCCGGTGTGGGTGGAAAGGTAAACCGACTCTCTTCAAGCTGAACCTTGAAGCCGGGATCAGGGAGCGCGAGCCCCCTGTACCCAAGCTCTGTCCGCCCCGAGGGACCACTGCCCCACAGTCCCCAGACAGCGCGGCGCTCCTGGGCTAGCGCGCTGCAATTCCCAAAGAGCCAATGTCTGTTATCCGCAGCTGCAGGAAGAGGGGCTAAAGCCCTGTCGCTGGGTCCTCAAACTAGAGAGTAAAACATCAGCATCGATTAAACACACCGTCCGGCGGCACGAAAACAAGTCAGGCAGTCTGGATCTTGGCACCACACCGGAAGGGTGAGGTCCCGCGGCGCTGCGCAGGTGAATGAGAAGGTTCTTGGGCTGGGAACCCGGCTACCGGGAAGCCCGCTGTTTGTTAAGGAACCTTCCCCGGCAACTTGCCTTTAGGGTCCGGACAGCGCGGAGGGAGAGTTCCCGTGTGCCCGGGAACCCAAATCTGAGACTTCCAGCAGTTAAGCAGGAGCGGGAGATGAGGCAGCCGGGTAGGCCTATCAGTCCTGATGCCCGGGCTCCTCTTTCGCAGGGTTTGTTTTCCTTTGGTGTCTCCCAAGCCCTCGCTAAGGCAAGTGATAAATGAGATGGCTGGACGAGAAACTGGTGGGGACGGGGGTGGCAGAGCTGGGGCTGGGGACGCTCTTTGGGGTTGTCGCTATACCTCAGTGGTCCCTAGTGCCCATGTGCTGGGCGCTGGCTGTCTAGAAGGGCTCCAGGGCCGCGGAAGACCCGTGCACATCATTCATCCCTGACGGTCACCTGTCACCAGAACACTGTGCACTTCGCGCGGGGTCTCATCGGCAGCCAATGAAAACTCCCTGGAGGCAGTATCCAGCTCGAAAACCCAGGTCCAGCCACATCACTCACCAAAGGTAGTTCTACATGGAGAAGCCTGATCCCTCACCGCCGCCTTCCTAGGGGGACCAGGAGCTTTCGGAGAAGCCCGCCAGCCGCTGGCTCTCTACGACCCTGCAGTGTTCAATACATTGATGTGTTTCGCCCCACTCCCTTCCACAGATTAGCCAGGAGGTCACCCTGCAGGAGCCTGGTGACCATCAAGATTGCTTCCCCTGACCTCATCCAAGTGAGCCAGTTTCCAGTACCAAAGCCGACTTTGAGCTAAGCACCCTTAAAGCTTCCAGACCCTTATGGCACAAAAAATCAAACCGAGGCCCTCAGAGAATGCAAAAAAATGAAAGTGGAAGACCCAATATTCCCTGAGCCAGGACAGGAAAACAAGTCTCCAGGAGACCAGATATTCACATTCAACTGTGATAGCCAATGGGATCCCTGTTTATTTGGTGCCCGAGTCCCTTGAAGCCAAACCTCCATTCCCAGAGCTCAGATGACCACTAGAATAAGTCTCATCATCCCTCCAAGAGCCCCTTGACCAGCATATTCCCAAGTGGTCCCCTCAGCTCCAACAGAAATGACATTGGCAGCTCCTACAGCTCTCCTGGAAACATTTCAAAGACAGGGAAGAGAGGAGGTCCCAGTTTGCAATTTCACATCCCTCCTGATGTCTAAAGTACTCATTATCCTCTTCCCCTAAAAAAGGCACAGAAGAGCTTGAACCCAGGAGGCTAAGGTTGCAGTGAGCTTAGATCATGCCACTGAACTCCAGCCTGGCGTCAGAGCAAGACTCCCTCTCAAAAACAAACAAAAAGGCACAGAAAAACATCTGTCCACACTTTGCTGTATAGGGATTAAACAATGAGGTTCAGGCTGCAGACACTCCCTCACAGAAGAAAACAAAGCAAAACTCAAGGAATACATCGCCCACATCTGTTAGTTCTGGGCCTCATGAAAGCAAAACTTTGCTACAGCCTTCTAAGCCATAGGGGGAGGGTATCCTGTCTTCAACTCCCCAACTTGGTTATGCAGTCACTGCAGAAAACTTGGACAAGAAAGCTGCACTCTGGTAGGTCAACGAAGTCATAAAGGAGCAGACTGAGGCCACCAATGACTATCCCTGAGATTGTGCCTGCCACTCAGCCCATCCTTTCTGTCACCCTACCTGCTGCTGGGACTGCACCATTTCCAACTACCCCTCCATTTGGGAGCACTAATCCAAGCTGGAGAGCTTGAAAGTGATGCAGAATACCCCAGGCCCACTGGCCTTCCTATAGTCCACTGGAGGGATAACCTGTGTGGCTGCTTTGCCTCAGGAGACATCCAGCTTGCTGACCCCTTTGGTGTCCTCGAAGTCAGAGACACTTCCAGGCACCTCTTCAGACTTGAGGCCAACAGTCACTTACTCCTGGTTGACTCCTGCTTCTACCACATTACTCATCACTGACCCCACCAAGCCACCTCTGACCCCTCAGGCTGACAGGTCTGCCAAGTCCCCAACCATCCCTGCTCTAAACCAATTCCTGTAAGCATCCCAACCCTTAATTCTCCTACATATACAGATCCTTCTGGATCTTCTGATCCATCTATATTTAGGCTAGTATAGAAGCCCAATCTAAAAGAAAGAAAGAAGGCCACTTGGGTCCCACACAGTCACCTGACAATGAGGCCACTGGCTCAGCGTTTGATAGCACAGCCCCATGAGCCTTCCTTTTGGAGAAATGCCAATCCTAAGGCACTGGTGCTTTAGGATAGGTCTGTCTAGCTCAGTCAGGAGTTCCATTTCTGGAGCATTCATCAGTGAAGCAGGCCCTAGTAGGACCACTGGTGCCATCAGTCTTTTGGGGTATACTTGGTCCTGAACACCCAGGATCCTTTATTCAGGGCACATGATTTTCCTTCAAAGGAGACAGCACCACAGAGTAAGCCTGGGTTTCGAAACCTCTTCACTGCTGCCTCAGTCAGAGTGTCCTGCTTAGAGTGGGCCTGTTAAGCAGCAGAAGTGCCCCTAGGGAACCAATGCCCCCTGACTAGGGTTCAGTGGGAGAAGGACCTGTCAGAGCACCAGCACCTTCATTTTCCATCAGTTTGGGATATAAGACAAGAGCTCAGCCACAGCTGCAAGCCCAGAAGCAACAACCTTTGGGAAATTTCCACAACTTTTCTGCCCATGCTATTGACACTTCTCTTTTTATTTTATTTATTTTTTATTTTTATTTACTTTTTGTTTTTTGAGACAGCATCCCTCTGCCACCTAGGCTGGAGTGCAGTGCTGCGATCTCAGCTCACTGCAGCCTCTGCCTCCCAGGTTCAAGTGATTCTCCTGCCCCAACCTCCCAAGTAGCTGGGATTACAAGCGCCCTCCACCACACCCAGCTAATTTTTGTATTTTCAGTAGAGAAGGAATTTCACCATGTTTGCCAGGCTGGTCTCAAACTCCTGACCTCAAGTGATCCACCCAGCTCAGCTTCCCAAAGTGCTGGGATTACAGGCTTGAGCCACCGCGCCCGGCCGGCATTTCTCTTTTCAATATGTAAGCTCAGATAGGAGTCTTACCTTCCTGCTTTTCCCTGGGAATATGCTTGCCTGAAGAAAAGGGAAGATAGTCTTTCCTCACTTGCATCTTGGGGGTGGGAAATTGCATTTGCCTTTAATCTTTCCCTTCCTTGGTCTGGCTTTAAAGTGTGGTTTTCTTCCTCTGGCTTTTTTTGATGGAGTTTCGCCAGATTGGCCAGGCTGGTCTCAAACTCCTGGTCTCAAGTGATCCGCCCACCTTGGCCTCCCAAAGTGCAGGGATTACAAGTGTGAGCCACCAGGCCCGGCCCCCTCTGGCTTCGTAGGGAGCCTGTTTGTCCACATTTCACTAGTTGTTCATACACAGTCCTTGGAGGAGCTCTAAGAAAATCTTGAATCTAGCTTATCCTTGGGAAACATTGATCATCCCCTGAGAGACACTGTGGATGCTACTCCTGCTGAATGACTGCCTCCCACCAAGTCTGCACTGTCCCTTAGAAAGATAATACTCAGACTGGGCACGGTGGCTCACGCCTGTAATCCCAGCACTTTGGGAGGCTGAGGCAGGTGGATCACCTGAGGTCGGGAGTTTGAGACCAGCCTGACCAACAAGGAGAAACCCTGTCTCCACTAAAAATGCAAAACTAGCTGGGCGTGGTGGCACATGCCTGTAATCCCAGCCACCCAGGAGACTGAGGCAGGAAAATCACTTGAACCTGGGATGCAGAGGTTGCGGTGAGCCAAGATCATGCCATTGCACTCCAGCCTGGGCAACAAGAGTGAAACTCCGTCGAAAAAAAAAAAAAGAAAAAAAAAAACAAAAAAAAACAAGAAAAGAAAAGAAAAATGATGTTCCATCCCCATCCTCTCTCTGCCCATTTAGCCTTAAACACCTAGAGGTTTAAGACTGTTAGCCTGGAAAACATCAGTCAGATTCCTTGCTCCTTGAGAAAGAACCTCTTAGACAGTTTTCCTACAATTTTGGAGTGGGCCGAATGCCCATTGCTGCTTACAGCTGTCACCTCCCCTTCCTTCCCCATTTGTTTTACTAGACTCATCTCTGTCTCCCCTGGTTTGCTTATGAAAAGCCTTTCTCTTGTGACTTTGTCTGACATTTGTGTATATTTGCTCTTTGAGTTGGAGGAGGAATTGACTTGCATGAAAGATGATAAATTAGTTTTACACTGCCTCCATAATAAATCACCTCAAGCTTGGCAGCTTAAAACACCACCCATTTATTATTTCACAGCACTTTGAGCTAGGAGTCTGGGCACAGAGTATTCCAACTGGGTGCTCTGCTCAGGACCTCACGAGGCCAAAGTCAAGGTGTTAGCTGGGCTGGACTCTTATTTGGAGGCTTGTAAAAAAATTCTCCTTCCAAGATCGTTCAGATTGCTTGCATTTTTCAGGTTCTAGTATTCTTATAACTAAGGTCCTTGACTCATGGACTCCTTTATCTTAAGGCCAGCAATGGCTTGTCAAGTCTTTTTCTTTTTTCAAATATCTGGTTTCTCTTCCTTCTGCATCTCTCTGAATTCAAAGTTCTCTGCTTATAAGGGTTCATGTGATTAGATTAGACCCACCCAGAAATCCAATATGATCTTCCTATTATAAGATTCACAACGTTAGTTACGTTTGCAATGTCTGTTTTGCCATGAAATGCTGCACATTCACAAGTTACAGGGATTAAGACTTAGATATCTTTGAGGGAGTCATTCTGTCTACCAAAGATGGTATGTTGGTAAGAACTGAACTTTACTTCTTAACATATTCTGGGGCCAAGTTTTCAGGATAAAGAAAGCAGCACCATTTTATGTCTTCAAATACGAATTTCTGAATTGTCAAACCATGCATTGATTTTCATCAGTGAGGGTTTAGGAAACAGAGGAAACAGGGAAGGAATAGGGCATGGCTGACCCTTGCTTCTTTCTTCTTTTGGTTCTTGTCCATCTTTTTGACCTCAGTACAGCCTATGTCACCCCTAGTGTATGTTAAGAATTCTGAATAATGAACATACTTTGGAATAATTTTCTTTTGTTTTGAGATAGGGTCTTGATCTGTTGCCCAGGCCGGAGTGCAGTGGTGCAATCTCGGCTCACTCTGCCTCCCAGGTTCAAGTGATTCTCCTGCCTCAGTCTCCTGAGTAGCTGGGATTACAGGCATGTGCCATCACGCCTGGCTATTTTTTTTGTTTTTTGTATTTTTAGTAGAGATGGGGTTTCACCATGTTGGCCAGGCTGGTCTTGAACTCCTGACATCAAGTGATCTGCCCGCCTTGGCCTCCCAAAGTGGGGGGATTACAGGCCTTCACCACCATGACTGGCCTAATTGTCTTTTTAACACTTAAAGACCTTTCTCCTAACTTAGAATTATCCCCCATGCCCATACTCTCCCAAATAGGACAGGCTTGTTAGCTAGGTGGCAGCTTCCTGGATCATCTCAGCTCTGTAACCAATGAAAATTCTAAGTTTGGATGGGGCATATTTATTTTCACTTTTACCATTTTGATTTTCAAAAAAAAAACAAGAAAAACATCCCAAGAACATTGAGGTTTGTTCTCTGTCCCTGAAGAGCATATATCCTAGTTGGTAACAAAATACCATGTCTTCAATATGACTGTAAAAACCTAGAAGTTTGTAATAAAGCATGAATACTAAAATAACTACCCAGAGGTCTATAACTGAGGTGTACATGATATAATGTAGTCATTTGGAGGACCTGGAGATTCATCCAGTCTGCAAAGAGAAAAACCTGTGGGGAAAGACTTGGGCCTGAAACGGTGGGCAGGATTCGGATAGACATCAAGGAGAAATAAAGTAGTCAGCAACTCAAAAACCACGTGAGGCATTTCAACATGAAGTTCATATAGGGAATGCTTGCTCAGGTTTTAGAAATCTAAAACACAAAAAGGTAACACAGAGTTGAAAACTGCAGCAAACAGCTCCCACTCACTATGGTGGGGAATAAAGGAAAGGAGTTGGTATCAGAAACTAGAAAGTGAGAAGAGAGATCCCGGCATGTGGGCTTAGACCTCTGAAGAGAAAGTGCATCCTGGCTGCCGTCAGTACCTCAGGAGCTCCTAGGATTGGGGTCTTGTGGAGCTGAGACTCAGTATCTGAAAAGGAGACACTTCCTAGATGACCCTGGCACCTCTGAAGGTGCAATGAGCCTGGGTCTGCAGGCACTTTTCAAAATCTGGAAAGTGAAACAAACTGTTCTATCACTGCCAGGGTGAAGGGCTGTTGCCCTATAATAAAGTAACAGAGAATGAACAGGCTCCTGGGGCCCTCTAGTGTCAGAATCTAACAGGGAACCGCAAGCAAAAGAGAAATATGTTTTGCAGAGCCCAAGCCCCACATCTCAAAGCCCAGTACTTGAGGGTGGATTCAGGGCTGGGACACAATCGTGTGATAACTGGCACATATGACAACTGGCATCATTTTTATATTGAATTTGTGTGTTTATGTGAGTTTTCCTACTACAAGTTACCCCACTGCAAGAAGTTTTAAAAGTGTTATTTCCAGACCTTATTGCAGAGGTAAACTTATACCTTTACATGTTTGTTGCAAAGTAAATTGAATAGAAATTAAGAAATGATTAAAAATTTCTTATAAAATTCCTTTTTCCCTGCGCTTAAGATCCAAATCTGAACTTCAGAAAACCTGGACTCTAGATCTGCCTCAGTTACTGGAATATGTAGTGCTCATGCAAATATATACTGCTTATTCCCTCACACAACCCTAAAACCAGCAACACATTGCTTTACCCCATGGTCCTCAATGTTTCTTCCCATATCCCAAATTATCATGCTAATTTTGGCAATATACAGATGATTTTTTAAAAAAAATTAAATTGTATTAGTAAACAAGTTATTTTGACATTTGTCTAAGAATTATAATAAACACAATTTATGACATAGAAATATGACCTTTGCACTTCCAAATTTCTCCAAATGCTAAACTGCTCATGTCAGACTTCCACTGAAGTTTTTGTTATAGAAGACCAGATAATAACAATTACTATACTTATACTATCTCTTCTAGGATATAATGGAAGCACTAAGATTTAAAATTCTATCAGGCTTCCATTTGATCCAATTTTATAACTACTTAACTAACATTATTTGCATTGAATAAGAGATAATTCAGAATTAGTTGACACAAGGGACCAAAGAATTCCTCACTATGGTTTTGGATCTTTGGATTGAGTTTTATTTGAAAGCTCAGCTAACCCTAAGTGCGGGTCACATCTACCTTCAGGGTTTTCAAATGGGAGGGGAGGAATACAGCAATTAGGAGAGAATAACTTGGCATTGTAAATGGAGAGTGTGTTAGGTCCTGGAAATCACTTAGGAGAACAAGCACTTGGGGAACATCCATATATACTCTCCAAAGAAGGGCGAGCAAACAGAAGTCTTTGGAACATGAAATGCCCCTGGAGTTCATGAGAATGTTTGGGACTCTGACTGTGAGATGGCAGAACTATGCTTGAGCCAGCCGTTCCACTTTCAGGTGGGGGAGACAAGTCACTTGTTCTCATCAGGTACATCTTTGTAGTATTTCTATTGGACTTTATTTCCATTTAAGGTGTACTGAAACTTCTGAAGTCTTCAGATTCAGCAAGTCTATCAAAGTCAAAAGGCTTTTTGGAGCAAGATCTGGATCAGAATGGAATCGTTCTAGGGAAATCATTTGTCTTTTATCCTAAGTTTCTTCAGGTCCTCACAGGACAACTATGGATTCTAGATTTCTGAGCCCACCTAGCTTAACCTTCCTTAGTGATCTGATATTCCAGGGAAACATATTGTCCTGGGCCTTTCCAAAGTGGCCCTGTTAGAACAGGAGCATGTGGATCCTCTTCCCAAAAGCTGCATGTGATCTTGGCTTCAATATACTTTGTTGGTTGTATGCATTTTATGTTCCTTTATATATAAAATATAAAATAAATATAAAATGCATACAACAAATTTTTAATTTTTTAAAAAATAGAGATGAGGTCTCACTATGTTGGCCAGGATGGTTCTGAACTCCGGCTTCAAGCAATCCTCCCACCTTGGCCTCCCCAAGTGCTGGGATTAAAGGCATGAGCCACAATGCCTGGCTCATTTTATTTTCTTATGTAACTAAGTTTTTCTCAGCAAGCAGATTCGATGACCTCCAGTTATCATAATTTTTCCTCATGGGAACTCATCTGGCATTGTGAAGAACAAATAGCACTTTCAGGATTTTCTGTAAGACGTTTGGCCCATTTTCTGTAGAAATGCAACTTTCATGTGCATGGCTCAGATCATCATCTATTTTGGGACATTTTTTTTCTCCATATTAAGTGGAGCAAACATTGTCCAGACTTTCATTTCTTTCTGTTGTCATGCCGCTAACTCTGCTGAAGACTTTAAAAGTCACTTCAAATTGGGTGTTTTCTGTGTGCATAGATTCTTTCCAGTTTGTATATATTTAATATGATCTGAAAGTGCTTCTTCTATATTTTTTTCAGCCAGTTCAGCATGTTTAATTTCTTTTTCCTCCAAAAGGTTTCCAAGAAACACTTGAGGTCACATGATAAATCAGTTTCTCCAATGATTCTTTTGATGAATCATGAAAGAATGTCCATTTTCTTTAAAAAAAAAAAAGGGGGAAAAAAAAGACTGTCCATATTCTAACTTATTGCTTATATACAATTCTAATTTACACCATCCATATTATCCTCTCCAAGTATAGCAGCTAGATTGGTCAGCTTTATCCACTCTTGAGAAACTTGATATAACATTCCTTATCAGTAGCATTTCTTGCATATGCACCATAGAATCCTTAGCCAAGAGACCCACTGGCCTTTGTTTGTTTAATGGTGTGTGTGTGGGTGTGTTTGCACACGTCTGTGTGGTAGCACTGAATTCCAAAGAAAAAACTAAACAAGCCAACCAGAAGTCCAACATGGAATATAGTGATCCGTAGAAAAGGGCATTCTACATTGAGCCACCAACCCAAATCTCTGAAAATGGCAAATACAGAATTCTTGGTCGTAAAATAGATTATGAGGTTTGTCTATTCCTAAATAATAGACATTTACATCCTTCCTAACTGGTATCTTCATCCAATCCCAGGGAGCACCTCCTCTCAAAACTCCCCATAATTGCTGTTGAAAGATCTATCCAGTTTCTTTTGTCTGTTTCAGCCTAGGTTCTCAGAGAGACATCTTTTAAAGACAAAGATGGATATATCAAAACTCCAATAAGCCATTCCAAAATATCATAAACAAAGAGGCCACCCTAACTTGCCTGTTTAATATTGCAAACCACATACCTCCCACTCCCTGGTCCCCTTACCCTGCTTGACTTTTTCTTTGCTCCATAGAACTTATTACCTTCAAATAGATACAATTACTTATTTGTGTTTATTATGTGTTTCTCCCCAGCTTGAAAAATCCACTCTAGTCTCTGCTGTGTACTGTTGATGTATCCGAATGCCTAGAACTGTGCCTAGCTTTTAGCAGACACTCAATAACTGTTAGTTGGGAGACTAAACGAATAGAGGACATCCAAGAGTCAACAGTTCAAGTTGAGGACATCATCCTAATGTAACCTGACTCTTGGGCTTAAATGTCACTGAAAGGACTAGAAAGACAAATAGGGTAGTGAATATCACAACATCCACCCACCCCCTACCCATCATCGTACTTCAAAGGTCAACCCACATATGCTTAAGAAAATGAGAAAAACAGGAACAAATTTAGAAAATCCTAATATTCAGAATAAAACCCAGAAGAAAATGATTAGAAGGTATACATACTGGAGAATGAGAGGAAGGCAGAAAGAAAAAGAGGAAGCAGGAAGACAGGCAGAAAAGAAATAAAATCTGTCACCAACTTACTCTTTAAAACACAAATATAAAGTATGATCGCAATTTCAGGCTCGCAGTTTGGTGGACAAGCACTAATGTGTAGGAGTTTCTGGTTTCATGTCCTGGTGTTTGGCCCCTTACTTTCCCTTAATATTTGTATCAGATTTTCCATTAAATGGTTTTCCCCTCTGCTCTTGCTGGTGTCTTTCTCATTTAATATATTTCCTTCTATGCAACAGCCTTCCAGTGGTTTCTCTCTCAACTGAACTATCAGTGAAAACTTCCTTATTGAACCGAAAATAAATTCTTTCCTTTGATTCTACTCATACTTATTTTGCAAAACGCACCAGTCCCGCGTCCTGCTCTCCACCCAATTAACACTCTTATGTTCCTAAGAATAATATCTGTATTATTACAAACCTCTGTGTTTTGTTGTTGTTGTTGTTGTTGTTGTTGTTTGAAACGGAGTCTTGCTCTGCCACCCACGCTGGAGTGCAGTGGCGCGATCTCGGCCTACTGCAACCTCTGCTTCCTGGGTTCAAGCAATTCTCCTGCCTCAGCCTCCCAACTAGCTGGGATTACAGGCGCCCGCCATCACGCCCGGTTAATTTTTGTATTTTTAGTAGAGATGGGTTTCACCATGTTGGCCAGGCTGATCTGGAACTCCTGACTTCGTGATCCGCCCGCCTCGGCCTCCCACAGTGCTGGGATTACAGTGTGAGCCACGGCGGCAAGCCTATAAACCTCCGTTTTTAAAACACATTAACATAGCAACAATGAGAGTCAAAAAAAGGGAAAACATTTTTCCAATACACGGAGAAGCAGCCTCCTTTCTAATGTATTGTTTAGACTGAAAAAAAGTAAAATAACCTTGTTGGAATGGAGATATTCCACCACATTCATTTCTGTGGCACAATTGGTTAGCGCGTTCGGCTGTTAACCGTAGGGTTGGCCGTTTGAGCCTCGGGTGCCGGAATTTCGTGAGAAACGGTATTTTCTTACTTCAGGGATTGTGTCTGGCAAATTAAATGAAAATCCAACCATTATTCTTCCCCTGGTGTTCCTTGGGTATTTTCATTTCCTTGTTTCTTGATTAAATTTACCAAGCTCCTTCTAAATGCCAGTAGATATGAAAGCAATCCCATGTTTCTGAACCACTTGTTTTGTTTCCAAACTCCATCTCTCTCATGTGCTGGTCCATCCAGTAGAGTCCCCACAGCAAAAAGCAGCAGAAGTCACTCGGCCAAGGTCTTGCAGAGCTTGCCCCCTACACTGAGCTGGCGTCGCCTCTACCTGAATCAGTTCCTTGGGTCAGGCTTTGGACGTCACAATAGAGCACGAATAAAAGGGGTGGAGACCTCTAGCTAGGTTTCCACCTGTATTCCTGTGACTGGTATTTTCCTGTGACTGGTATTTTCCTAAATTATCAGACTCTCAATTTTTTTCTTGCTAACAAAATAAATACCAAAGATGGTCTCTCTTAGACTCTGCAATTCCGCTTCTGACAATTTTTACACAATAGCTGTATTTGTACAACTAAAATTGACTCATGTCAGCATTATTCTTTTAAACACTTAAAAGAAAAAAAGATTAGAAGAAGCTGCACGTCCAACCATAAAGTCCTGATTAAATAATCAATGATAATTGACACAATGGAATTGGAGGCAAAGGTGAAAAACAAAAAGAAGTTCTCTGAATTCATTTGCAGGCAATGTGCTGGGGGAGCTCACTGGAGTGCGCTAACCCTGATAGCCCAGGTCAGCCACAGACTGGCCACAATAACTGCTGAAGGTGGCTGGGCACACACCATGCAGCTGCAAAAGACATTGCCAGGTTTCCGATGGCCTCTCCCCTCCGCCCGCCTTCGTGTCTCCAGTTAACAAGGGGTGCGAAAAAAGTGTGGTTTCAAGGGCCCTGGTAACAGAAGATAGAAAATTTTTCATTTTCAATCTCGGCTCACTGCAACCTCCGCCTCCCGGGTTCAAGCAGCGATTCTCCTGCCTCAGCCTCTTGCGTAGCTGGGATTACAGGGGCCCGCCATTACACCCGGCTAATTTTTGTATTTTTAGTAGAGACAGGGTTTCACCGTGTTGCCCAGGCTGGTCTCGAACTCCTGACCTCAAGTGATCCACTAGGCTTGGCCTCCCAAAGTGTTGGGATTACAGGCGTCAGCCACCACACCCGGCCAATTTTCATTTTCTTTAATATTCTGTCAGGTATTGATTTCAAGATGGGAGCCGAGCACCGTGGCTGTAATCTCAGCACTTTGGGAGGCCAAGGTGGGTGGATCGCTTGAGAACGGGAGTTCGAGAGCAGCCTGGGCAACACAGTGAGACCTCATCTCTACAAAAAATATTTTAAAAATTAGCTGGGCGTGATGGTGCATGCCTGCGGTCCCAGCTACTCAGGAAACTGAGGTGGGAGGATTGCTTGAGCCCAGAAGATGGAGGCTACAGTGAGACAGGATCATGCCACTACACTCCAGCCTGGGTGACAAAGTGAGACCCTGTCTCAAAAAATAAAAGGGGGGTGGGCAGGGACCAGCAGATCTAATACTGGATCTTAAGCAATTCACTAAAATTCACATTAAGCCTCCTGGGAACTGAGCATGTCCCTAGACTTCCACCAAAGGATTTTCCCCTCATAATTCTACTGTAATATAACAAGATAAATGCAGGGAGAAAGGTTTTATAAGGAATCACAAAAAAAAAGGAATTTGAGAGTAGCTGTAAATACGACTTTTGAACATTTTTAGGGCAGGGCGTGGTGGCTCATGCCTGTAATCCCAGTACTTTGGGAGGCTGAGGCGGGAGGATCGCTTGAGCCCAGGAGCTCAAGGCCAGCCTGAGCAACATAGAGAGACCCTGTCTCTGAAAAAAAAAAAGAGAGAGAAAGCTTTTAGGCACCCAGACATACCCTATTAAAGCCCTCTTACTCTACCAGGAGTCCCACCTCAACTTATTTGGAAAGAAATCAGCCCACTCCATTGCCATCAAATGCAGAGTCCCAGCTTCTCAGTCAGGAGTGAAACTAAGTTGAATCAGAGTATACACTACAACCACAGGATCATGACTGAGAATTATTACTCAGTTTGCTACTCTTGGTGCTAGATAAAATAAATCCACTCATATTGGCAGGTACACTTCATTCTCTAGTCTATAACATGTGCATTTCTCATGAATTTCCTGTAATAAGCATTCACCATATGCACACTGGGAAAAGCTGGGGAAAAGGTGAGGAACAAAGGATAAAATATTAAGAGGCAAATTGAGTCATCTCTCTGAGCTCAGTTTTAATGGGGGGATAACAATATTATATAGTTGTGGATTAAATGAGTTACTTCATATAAAAAAACAAGTGCTGTTTAAATAGAAACAAAATTGTGGATGTAAAAAATTATTTTCCTACACTCAATGGGCTTAAAGTCAAGATGAAAGTTCCTAGGATATTTTCTTCCACCCATTTATTCTCATTCCTCACTCCACCTGTGACTTACTTAGCTTGCCTGGCCGCAGGTGTGAGCTCTTTGTACAGAACTGTTTTGGAGATGGACCCTGAAATACCAGCCCTTGAACATACTGTTATCTAACGCTGTCCACCGTGGGAATGCAATTTATTTCTTCATTCAAGAAAGTCTTAAATAAAACCCCAGTATGTCTACTGTACTTTCTAAGCTGTTAGCAACTAGAGGGAAAGTTTCTTCTTCACCTTGGTATCTCTTTATCTAGCAGAAGTAGCAATGGGCACTTGGAATTCTGAATAAATGAATATGCCAGCCTGTCAAATTCTGATTCTGGATTTTTCTGTTTCACTTTAAGACATCAATGATCTGAGGAAACAATTCACATGAAACAAACCCACAAGAATTAAAAACAGAAACAAGACGAAAGTTTCTAAATGGAAACGTAGTTTGTGTGCCAAGTATAAGAGGTATGTGGGTTGTGAGAAATGTTATACCAGCTTTACCGTATGGTCCTTTTTATTCTCCCCAGTAAAGTGCACCTGTCAAGATCATAATGTGATTAGGGTATTTTACAGCCAAAGTAGACAAATCCACTCTACCCTATAAAACACAGATCATCACATTGACAGATGAAAAACAAAAACAAACAGCACAAGCAAACAGAAATTATAATCATACTCTATCACTTCATGCAACAGCCTGGAAAATGATCAGAATTTTGGTCTACGTGAGACTGTGTAGACTGTTTATTGTGACACCTAGGTTTTCAGTTCCTTTTAGTGGCTTACACTGATTCTTTGAAGCCTACAGGGCTGCTTTGCCTCAGCCCCACCATATGTAAGTGCACCTGAGGTGCACTGGTTCTCTACTAGGCTTTGCCCACCTTTACAATGGTTCCAACTCAACACTCCACCCAGGAAGCATTCTTTGTAATTGTGGGAGCACTCCACACTCTTTCAGACTTATTATTCTCCCAGTTTACTTTGTAGGAATGATCTGGAAAACTTGGTGAGGACTGACTCACCACTGAAGACTGTGATCATCAATCAGGTTCCCATTGAGAGGACTCTATGACCTGCCATGGCTCCCATTCCACCCTTTATATGCATCTACCACGATGCCTATCTTATACTAGTGGCCTGTAAAACTCTTAATACTAAGATGTGTTATTACCTATTGTCACTGTTTCCTCAAACAATGGCTTAGAAAATGCTGACTTAAGATAACTGATTGATAAACTGGGCTAAGATATTAGACAAAAATTAAATAGAAAAAAAAATCCAGGTTAAACAGTAAGGTGGGTGGCAGGGGGAGGGGGGCTCTAAGATCAGGATATGAAGGTGAAGGGAACACAAGATGAAAGTTGGAACTTGTCCAATGACCTCCCCACCAACAAAAATAAAAAGGCACATAAAAATATTTTTATTTTCTATAAATACATTAGGAAATGTATTTCTTCCCAACCCAGTCCACCCCATTAACTCAATTTTTTCTACATAAAAAAGATGCTAATACCACCCTCACCTGTGACTGCTAAACAGAGAAAGATTGCCTGGACTAGGCATTATCCTCCTAGTTGGAAATAAAGGCCCTTTCTGGGGGCAGGAAGTGGGATTTTCAGGGGACCCTACAGACGTAGGCAGCCAAGAGTCAAACAAAACAAGCATATGCAATAGTCATAATTATGCTAGTATGACAGTATGAATTAGGTGACTCAGCCAGGCACATACAGGAGTTCGGAGTGGGGACAGTGGAAGCCCACAAAACTCCATGTTTGGGCCATCAGTAGACACTTGGTCTGAGAAACACAGTAAAATGTCTGCCCGGGTAGTCACGATCATTCTAGTATGAGGTAGACAGGAAGCAGAGCAGGGCCAGGAAATGGAAGGGGCCACCCAGGCCCTCAGGAGTCCCTGACAAGGGAAGGTCCCTCCATGCTCTCTGAGGGTGGCGGGGCTCCAAAGATCCTGGCCAGGAGCCCTTTGTTGGAGCGGGCCTTGTCCTGGGCAGTTGCCAGGCGAGCCCGTTCACGTCCCCCTGGCCGTGCTGCTTTACGGGCCCTCAGTTCCTGCTCAGTAGGACGCTGGGCAAATGTCCAGGAGCCATCTGGGCGAGCAGGGTCCCCATCGGCCGCAAGAAAGCGTTGTCCCCGTTCCACACTTTGAAGATAGAAGTCGGTCTCACGCTTGGCTTGAGCAACCTCCGCTCTCAAGCGCTGCCTGCGCACCTGGCGCTCAAAGGCGAGGTGCTCGCTGAGGTGGGACCAGGTGAAACGGTGCAAGTACTGTGGGCAGAAAAGAAGAAAAGATCAGGATAGTGCAGATTAGGGAGAAAGATGAGACAAGGGGACAAGGCCAATGAGAGGCCATGGGGATACTTGGGCCAGAGTTGGGGAGAAGGGAGGGTGAGAGGTGTGGCAGAAAGATCTATCTTCTCACCTTGAGGTTCCAAAGATCATAACGGAAGGGGCTGCGCCTGCGGGCACCCATAGGCGTGTTGTGTAGACTGGCCGCCACGCGCTTGGCTATGCGCTTGTCACGGAACTCCACCCATCCCTCGGTGTAGTCCTTGGTGTAGGACCGCTTTTTCCCTCCGGCAGCTGCTGCTGCCTTCTTCTTGCGTCTCACGAACCGGTCTGCGCGCCAAAGACAAAGACCCGTCCAGGACGCCTATGCAGCACTCACTCAAAAGCACCTCCCACTGCCCGCAACGTTCTTCACATCTGCCAGTGGGAGTCCCACCTGAAGAGTTTTTGCCCAGGAGGAAGGGAACTGTAAATCGCACCCTTTCCTCTAGCTAACTCAATTCTTTCCTTAATTGTCCACTCCTTAATCTGGCCAGCCCTGAACGCTACTTAAAACCGGCACAAGTCCTCAGCCTCAAAGTAAAATTGAGGGTGGAAAGAAGAGGGGCGGTTGATCAAATAGTTTCTTGACCTAGGCAGCAATGCTAAAGAGTTATGTTCAGTTTTGTAGAAAAGCTGACGAGACTTTTACTCAGGTTGTATTCATGTAACAAACCAGTAAACAGGTCCGGAAAGAGAGGTGAACAGAGCCGGGATAAGAACACAAATAGTAACAATCCGAGAACTAAAGAACCACCAGACACACTGCGCTACCCACTCTCCCCATATCCCCTCCGCCCGCCCACCCCAGCATCCTCACAGACTGATTCACCAGCCAGGAGCCAAGCACCGCACTCCCCACCCCCAAAATCCAGCAACTCGTGCCTCAGCCTCGCGCAGCGAAGCAACAGGACATGCATGCTTGCACCCCGCCAGCGAGCGACAACCTCCTCCTGTCACCGTCAGGGCCTGCATACTTACCCTCAGCCTGAAAGAAGACGCGTCCGACCTCGCCATAGGCGCTGAGAAGGTTGCGGACGTGCAGGGGCCGGAAGCGCGGCGGGATATGGCCCAGGTACACAATACCTGGCACTACCCGCTTCTTGCTGCCACAGGCCGCTTCTTCGGATTCCTCCTGCTCCTCCTCCGCATCTAGTGTCTGTTCTGTCCCTTCCAGCGGCTCTTGCTCCGTTGCGGCCTTCTCCGATTCCTCTGCCTCCATGTTGACTGACACGAGCGGCACGACGGCCGTAAAGTGCCTTGCCAACTGACGCAAAACGCGTGCGACGGCCTGAGACGAGGGGGCGGGTCCAAGGTGGTGATGACAAATGAAAGGAAATGATTGGGCAATACAGTCGGGTCCAGGGGAAGGCCGAGGGGAGAGGGAGGAAGTGGTGTGTCAGGTCGGAAGCCTGATTCAGAGCGTGGAAGCGGGATGGGAAACTTGGGTTAGGCTCAGATTCCCGGTCAGATCTCCAACTCAGGACAGGCAGAACCAGAAAAGGCAGATCCCCAAATATAACCTACCCTATAGAACGCCTTGTCGAGACGCTAAAAGGCGGGTTGATGCCGGCTTTTTAGGGAATTTTGCAGAACAATTTTAGAGAAGTTTCTATGTGTTCTAGCGATCAAAATAGCATTTTATTCAAGGGCCCCGGGTGCGATTCCAGCTGAGGAATGACTCACCTTTTAAAGTTTATAAATTTCATTTAAAAATTTTGAGTTTTGAGGTTTTAACTATTTCTGGAAATTTACCTCGGAATTTTGAATATTTTAAAATTTAATTTTGAAAACAGTTCAACTTTGGAAATTTAATTAGATTTAATTTTTGAAAATTTAAGTTGTGAACTTTCAGTTTAATATTTTACATTTGATTTTGTGAATGTCTGAAAATTTAAATGTGTGACAATTATTTGAAGAATTTGTTTGGCATCTATTACACGTGTGTATTGATACATTATCCATATGCATACTTATGTTGCAAATACTTGTCAGAGGCGCACAAGCCTCCAATTCTGGCGACCCCCCGGCGGCGCGCTTATTTCTGCTCTCCCTGGGTCTGTCCTCAGATTCCCTATCAGATCACAAACCACTTTTCCTTCTATGACCTACGCAACCGCAGAACGGACCGGGCCACGGCGGTCCTGCTCCCACCAGGCGGCCTGCGGACCATCCCTAAGCCAAGCTCAGGGCAGTTTTCCCCGCGCGGGCTCGGGTCCTCAGTCTCTTATCGTCGCCCGAGGGCGCGACCAGCAGGGGGCGCCGTCCCCACCCTTGAGGCGTTTCAGTTCTTCCCATCGGCGCCAGCGACAAGCTGACTGCAAAGGACAGTGCTGGGAACCGCGTACAAGTAATCCGGTTAGCTTTCTGGAAGCAGCCCGGGGCGAGTTTGATGACTATCAACATAAATCCGTCCTTGCTGCGGCCTGACAAAATTTCCCATCTCGCTCCAAGAGCGCAGAGTAGCCCAGAGAATGGAAGCAGGGAGTAAATGTGTCCACTATTAAAATCAGAGATGACAGTTTTTGCCAGTCCCCAAGTATATTTCTAAAGTAACAGGGCCCTGCACTCTTTCATGGAGTGTCTAAAAGTCTAATAATAGACTTCTCGAATTCAAACACGCCTGTTTCATTAACTTTATTGAAGAGAACTTTCTGTCAGGTAGGTGTCCACTGCTCCTTTTTTGAAGAGGAGCGGGGTACGATGAGAGCGATAAACTCCGTCTACTGCTATTTAATTATAAACACTGACATCTTCAAAACACAGTACAGTTAATGAAATGAGAACACGTGTTGGGGTGGCTTTAAAAGATCTGGAGCTAGGGGAGGGGCATGATGGATGCAAGAGTGTCGGTAAGTTGTGCCAGTGTGGTGGCTAATGGTAGCTATTAGCTATTTTCTCTACTTTGTATATATTTGAAATTATCATTAATAAAATGTTTATTCACACCAAGTATCAATATAACAGGGGGTGCTAAAGGACCGTGGAACCGACAAAAAAAAAAATATGAAGCCTTGGGGCAGCGTGTTCTTCCCGTTCCCCACATTCCTCATGATCCCTTCTCAACTTGGTGAAAATCGAGTCCCACTCAACTGTCTGTGAAGCAACCCTTGTTAGCAATTTTCAGGGTGGATTATTTTCCTTCTCTGAGCGTCTTACAAATTCATGAATAAGCAAGCTGCACACTGCGTTCTCCAAGTTTCCTTATTTCAGGCCCAGAAGAGACACTTTTAAAAATGGAACTCCTCCGAGCCGGATTCGAACCGGCGACCTAAGGATGACCACATTCAAACCCCTACAGTCCTCCGCTCTACCAGCTGAGCTATCGAAGGATGTCATTACCCTCGTTTTGGATTCTTTAGGATTTACCTATTGCTTTTGACTATCCTGTATTCTTGTTCATTTTGAAAATATAGGGAAACGTGAGGAAATTTTCTAGGATATTAGAAATGTTCCAAAATGTTCTAAAATGTTCTTATCTGAGTAGGGATACTGACTATACAAGTATATGAACAATTCTCTTGAACATTTAAAATTTGTGGGTTTTACTGTAAAAATGTTTCACATAGGTCCAAAAAAATAAAAAATAAACAAAACCACACCAATATTCCATGTCCTCCTCCCTTAGAATAGATAGGACCATTGCCCTTATTGCGCGTGTTGTCCAGCTGTCCTGTCCGCTTAGCACCTCCTCTCTCTATAGGAAGTAAATAATAAAGACAAGGTTATTTTAGACAACTGGGTTGAAGAGGGGGGACCTACCGCCTTGAAGCGAAGTTACTGCCCAGTTCATTTCGGAAACATTGAGATTCTCCTTTCTGAAGGGCAAGGAAAATTACACAATTTGTATAATTTGTAATTTGTGTTCGAGACACAAAACAGAAGTGCGGTGTGTGTTCATATGTTTAGGAATTGAGCGGCTCATATGATATTGCACAATTGTAATGGGACAAGTAAATGAAACACAACACTTCTCTCTCCCCCTACAATTTAAAAAAGAAATATAGCATTCTATTTACAGGTGTCAACCTAAATAACAAAGAGAAGCTCTCTGAAAGAAAATGATGTTTATTTGGGAATAGAGCATTGCAATGAAAATACGAGTGCCATAGGAAACTATGTATATTCAGGGAGGTAAAGGAAGACAAAGGTGTTTGTTTGTTTGTTTTTGAGTTGGAGTCTGGCTCTGTCGCCCAGGCTGGAGTGCAATGGCGCAATCTCGGCTCACTGCAACCTCCGCCTTCCGGGTTCAAGCAATTCTCCTGCCTCAGCCTCCCGGAGTAGCTGGAATTACAGATGCCCGCCACCACGCCCGGCTAATTGTTGTATTTTTAGTAGAGACGGGGTTTCACCATATTGGCCAGGCTGGTCTCGAACTCCTGACCTCATGATCCGCCCGCCTGACCTCATGATCCAGAATATAAAGTGCTGGGATTACAGGCGTGAGCCACCGAGCTCAGCGACAAAGATTTGTAAGGGAAAAAATGAGAAGGATTATATAACTGTGTTGAGGTAATTATTGTCTGCTACAAAAATGGATAGCAAAGAGGAAGCTAGTCCGAGGTTGGACAGGCAGTTGTGGGGCAGATGTCCTTGTAGAAGTATTTTTTGTGTAAGATTGTGATGGCCTGTGCAAGATTGTGGTTTTTGCAGTCTTTTGTGATAGTTTTTGTTATCAAGCATGGCCTTTTCCAGCTCTATTAATTAGCGTTTTTAGTTTGTTTTGTGTGTTTGTGTGTTTTAACAATAGTGACTCCATTTTGATTCTGACAGTTTTCACAAAGGTATGCTGTCATGCTTTGCTAATAAGTACCTATCATGGTATTCAGCTTCCTCGTGCCTAAAACAGAAATGAACACCAATGGGAAGAACGGGAAGGCATCTGGAGAGACTTTTCTTTTTTATAAAATTATTAGAAGTATATGGAAATTATAAATTGTGAAATTTATGGAAAGGAGTGCTGGTGAATTTATTTATAAAAGATCATCACTTATTACAGTTAAAGTTCTCCATAATTGTAATCTTGACAAAAATACGGTTTTTTTTTTTCAAAAGATCCTCTCCAGCGTTTCCCATGAGAAATATCTGCAGCAACATAACTAATATTTAATTCAGTTATTCAATTCATTGCCATGAGAAACTAAGAATATATGGTCTGGTAAATTCCTTTCCAATAATGTAACCTAGTCGGGGAAAATACGAGAAGCCAGAGAAGAGAAATGAGCAGATTCTTATGAGATGGTCTCTGCCCATATGAAGTGTACTAACTGAGCCTTGGACACCAGATGTGAAAGCAGTTGACCAACCCTGCCATTTCACCACCAAACCCCAGGATCTCAGTTCACATGCTTTCTCGAATAAAAGCTTCACTAATTTTCACAGGGGGCAGCAAACATACAGAAAAAAATGCTCAGTATGTTTCTCATCAGTTACTGCTATGCTCAGGAGCTCCCAGAGCCTCCTGACTCTCAGTGACACGGTACTATAGAGTTGATTTTGATCAGGAAGAACTCCAATAGCTAATCTCATCAATTATTTTCTTTACCTATAAACTAATCTTAGCATAAGAATCACACCTCTGGGCTGTTAAAGTTGGAATTTCATTTGCCTGAAATGCTCTTTCCCCTGATAATCCCCAATATTTGCCTCCTGGGAATACAAGAACAAGTAATTAGTACCTTTCCGCACTAGATTTCTGTATCACTTTGAGGGAAGACTTCCTTCTTCCTCTTCTTACAGAATCTGGTGTCAGAACGGCCATTCTATTTATTCCCTCTTGTTGCAGACACAAGTTCAAAATGGGTTTATGGCTAAATCTAACTATCTGAAATAATTCTTGGAAATGTATCATCATCACTTGATTACAATCTCACCCTGTAGCTTCTCTATTGTTTTAGCACCTTTTCAACTTGCGAATTGAGTCCTACCTAGATGGTTTTAACTTCTCTTGAAGCTTACAGACCACTATAATATTCCTATGGAATAAAAAGGAACAAACTATTGGTAAACGTAACAACAGGGATGAAACTCATCTGCATTATGCTGAATTTACAAAGCCAGATACAAAATGCTACATACTATATTATTCCTATGAAATTCTTGCAAGGGCAAAGCTATAGGGACAGAAAATATCCTTAGTTGCTACTGGGGTAGAAGATAGGGGAGAAATTAAGTATAAAAGAAACATAGTGATTCAGTAAGAACAAAATAGAAAAAGAAGAAGAGGAAGAAGAAGGAGAAGGAGAGGAGGAGGAGGAAGAGGAGGAGAAAGAAAGAAGGAAGAAAGAAGAAGAAGAAACAACTTCTTTCTTCTTTCCTCCTGGGAGGCTAGGCCTGGTGTCATGCCTGTAATGGCTTGAGCCCAGGAGTTCCAGCCTGCAGTAAGCTATGATGGAAGAACTGCACTCCAGCCTGGGTAACAGAGCATGACCCTGTCTATTAAAAAAAAAAAAAAAGAAGAAGAAGAAGGAGAAGGAGAAGAAGAAGAAGGAGGAGGAAAAGAAGAAGAAACATGCAGAAATTTGGGGGTAGAGTGATATTATTATTCCATATCTTGATTGTAATGGTGATAACACGACTGTCTATATTTGACAAAATTTGCTACACTAAGGAGAATGTACATTAAAACTGATGACATTACTGTATGTGAATTGTACCTTAATCTAAAAAATGGGAAGAGTAACTTTCAAAGAATTAAAGAAGAAAAGAAAAGTGTAGCTTAGAATTTAATTTTGAAATCAATGTAATCAGTGTAATTACTTTATTATCAGACTAAACAGGAAAAGCCATATGATTATTCCAGTAGGTGTAGAAAAAAGCAATTGACAAAATTCAGATACATTTGTTAGAATTTCTGCAAAGTATAAAAGACATATTTAAGAATTCAACAGCTAATATATTTAGTGATGAAAAACTCAAATGTTTTGGCCCTAACATCAGGTCCAGAGCAAGGATGTCCACTCTCACAACTTCTATTCAGCATTATCCTAGAGATTCTAGCCAGTGCAATAACACAAGAGAAAGAAAAAAATACAGATTAAAAGGAAAAAGTGAGACTATCTTTATTTGCATGTAACATTATTGTCTACGAGAAAATACTGAGGAAACTTCTACAAAGCTACTACAACTAATGAGTAAGCTTACCAAAACTGCAGGACACAAATATAATAAATTGTAATTCTATTTATTAATAGATTGTATTTGTTAACAATAAATAGTTAGAAATTGAAATACAAAATACCATTTGAAATAGTATAAAAAATATGAAACATTTAGAGATAAATTTACCAAGATGCAATGAAAGCAATGCATTGTTTCCAGAACAGAAAATTTAAACAATTTTCAGATATCAATTCCATATCTTTCAAATTGACTGATACATTTAATGCCATGACTATCAAAATCTCAATGATTTTTTTTAGAAATTGGCAAGCCAAATATAAAATGTATAAAATGTATACAGACAGTCAAAAGATGCAAAATATCCAAACCAATTTTGAAGAACAAAGTTGGAAGAACACTACCTGATTTCAAGACTTACAACAAAGCTACATAGAGTCTAGAGATAAACTTACATGATTATGATTAATTGATTTTTGACAGAGGTGCCAAGGTAATTCTACAGGAAAACAATAATCTTTGCAAAATGATGCTAAAAAACCTGAATATCCATGTGCTAATAAGTGAACTTAGACCCTTATATCACACAATGTACAAACATTAATTCAAAATTAATCAAAGACTTAAATGCAAGGACTAGAACAACAAAACCTCTAGAAGAAAACGTAGAAGGAACTCTTTGTGACTTTAGGTTAAGCAAAAAGATTTTAAATGGGACACAAAAGCATAAACCATAAAGGAAAAAATAAGTTGAATTTCATCAAAGTTTAACAAAAAATCTGCGCTTCAAAAGATACTGTTAAGAAAAGACAAGTCAGGCCAGGCATGGTAGCTCAAGCCTGTAATCCCAGCACTTTGGAAGGCTGAGGCCGGCAGATTGCTTGAGTCCAGGAGTTCAAGATCAGCCTGGGTAACACAGCGAAATCCCCTCTCTACCAAAAAAAAAAAAAAAAAAAAAGTCACAGTTTAGAAAAAGATACTTGGAAAACACTTCCCTGATGCAGGACTTATAACCAGAACAATAACATACTCTTGCAACTCAATAATAAGACCAGACAATACCTTTTTTTAAATGGACAAATGATTTGGACAGATATTTTACAAAAGAAGCTGTACTGATGGCCAATAAGCATAATAAGATATGTAACATCACTATTCATTAGGCAGATGCAAATTAAAGCCACAATGAGATACTTTACACACCTAAGAGAATAGCTGAAGTTAAAAAAAAAAAAGGTGAGAAATTAACAGTGCCGAGCGCCGATGATGATGTGAAATAACTGAAATTCTTATATATTGCTGGTGGGAATACAAACTGGTCCACCTTGAAAAACACTGTCAGTTTTTAAAAATGAAGTTATACATATATTTGCCATAACACTACATGAATATTTATAGTAGCTTTATGCATAACTGCCAAAAACTAGAAACATCCAAGTATCTATCAGCTGGTGAATGGATAAGTTGTAGTAAATCCACATAATGGAATACTGCTCAGCAATAAAAGGAATTAACTACTAATATATGCCACATTGATAATTTTTTTTTAAGACAGAATTTCGCTCTTATCACCCAGGCTGGAGTGTAGTGGCGCAATCTCGGCTCACTGCAACCTCTGCCTCCCGGGTTCAAGCGATTCTCCTGCCTCAGCCTCCCGAGTAGCTGGGATTACAGGTGCCCGCCACCACGCCCGGCTAATTTTTTGTATTTTTAGTAGAGAGGGGGTTTCGCCACGTTGGGCAGGCCGGCCTCCAACTCCTGACCTCGGGTGATCCGCCTGCCTCGGCCTCCAAAAAGGCCACCACATTGATAAATCTTAAAGCATTATGTTATATAAAGAAAGTCAATCATTGACTGGGCGGTGTGGCTCACGCCTGTAATCCCAATACTTCGGAAGGCTAAGGAGAGCGGATCACCTGAGATCGGGAATTCGATACCAGCCTGGCCAACATGGTGAAACACCGTCTTTATTAAAAATACAAAAATTAACCGGACGCGGTAGCGGGAGCCTGTAACCCTAGCTACTTGGGAGGCTGAGGCAGGAGGATCGCTTGAACCCGGGAGGCAGAGACTGCAGTGAGCCAAGATCGCGCCACTGCACTCTAGCCTGGGTGACAGAGCAAAACTCTTGTCTCAACAACAACAACAACAACAACAACAACAACAACAACAACAACAGGGAATTACAAAGGGATACATTCAATTTATTATTATTATTATTTAGACAGGGTCTCAACTCTGTCACCCAGGCTCTAAAGAGTGCAGTGGTGGGATCTCGGCTCATAGCAACCTCCGCCTCCCGGGTTCAAGTTATCCTCCAACCTCAGCCTCCCGAGTAGCTGAGGCTACAGGCACGTGCCACCACGCCCCGCTAATTTTTGTAGAGGCGGGTTTTCGCCTTGTTCCCCAGGCTGGTCTCCAACTCCTGACCTCAAGTGATCCACCCGCCCCGGCCTCCCCAAGTGCTGGGATTACAGGCATGAGCCACGGTGCCTGGTCCCAAATTATTTCATTTATACAGTTAGAGAAAAGACAAAAGTATAAAAACCAAAATCAGGCCGGGCGCGGTGGCTCACGCCTGTAATCGCAGCACTTTGGGAGGCCGAGGCGGGCAGATCACCTGAGGTCAGGAGTTCGAGACCTGCCTGACCAACATGGTGAAATCCCATCTCTACTAAAAATAAAAAATTAGCCGGGCGTGGTGGCACATACCTGTAATCCCAGCTACTCGGGAGGCTGAGGCTCGGAAGGCTGAGGCAGGAGAATCGCTTGAACCCAGGAGATGGAGGTTGCAGTGAGCCGAGATCGCGCCATTGCACTCCAGCCTGGGTTGTCAGGGGCTGAGAATGGATAGCAGCAATCGACTGTAAAAGGGCATGAGACAGTTTTGGGAAGCAAAGGATATGTATTTATCTTTGTATTTGTGTTGGTTACTTCCAGCATACATTTGCCTGAACTTGCTAAAATGTGCACTTTCTTCTCAACACTTACAGACTGCTGTCAATTTTTTTAAAAAAAATTTTAAATGCACACTTTGAAAGTTTTACTTGTACAAAACCCTGACTTATAAAGTAAACAAAATACTTTATAAGTTGTACTTTATAGGTTGGTGCAAAAGTAATTGCGGTTTTGCCAGTAAAAGATGGGAACAACCGCAATTACTTTTTGCCGTTTTCTACTGGCAAAACGGCAATTACTTTTGCATCAACTTACTGTATGACTAAGAAACCCTGTCTCTACTAAAAATACAAAAATTAGCCGGGCGTGGTGGCGCACGCCTGTAATTCCAGCTACTCGGTAGGCTGAGGCGGGAGAATCGCTTGAACCCGGGAAGCCGAGGTTGCAGTGAGCGGAGATGTTGCCACTGCACTCCAGCCTGGGAGACAGAGGGAAACTCTGTCTCAAAAATATAAATAATAAATAAATAAATAAATCACTCAGAACCAAATAAATGAGAGATATAACATATTTATGGATCAGAAGATTTGATACTGTGGAGCTGCCAAGTCCCTCCGGTTAATTTATGGATTCAACACAATCCCAATAAAAATCCCAGTGGGTTGTTTTTTTTTTTGTAAAAATGGTCCAGATTATTTTACAAAATTAACTTGGAACACAAATAACTCAGAATAACAACAGCCATCTTAAATAAGAATTACAAAGTTGGAGGACATACACTGTTAAGTTTTCAAGATTTATTTAAAAATTAAGTAATCAAGACAAAATGGTGTTGGTGTAAGGATAGGCCTGCAGATCAATGGGACAAACTAGAGAGCCAGGAAGCAGACTCACATACATATTGACAATTGATTTTTGAGAAAGCTGTCAAAATAATTCAATGGAAAAAGGATAGGCGTTCAGTAATTGGTACGGGTACAATTGGACATTCATGTATTTAAAAAAATCTATGGCCCCACATCAGCAACATATTTAATAATTAAAACTTTATCATAAAATTGTAAAACTTCTAGAAGAAAATTTGTATGACCTTTGGTTAGGCAAAAAATTCTTTAAAGGAACACACACACAAAAAAAGCTATAAAAATATAAATTAATAAATTAGACTTAATCAAATTTAAATGTTTGCTTTATAAAAGACACTGCTTAGGCCAGGCATGGTGGCTCACACCTGCAATCCCACCACTTTGCGAGGCAGATGTGGGAAGATCACCTGAGGTCAGGAGTTCGAGACCAACCTGGCCAATGTGGTGAAAGTCTGTCTCAACTAAAAATACAAAAACCGGCTGGCATTGTGGCAGGTACCTTCACTGGGCATTGGAGCAGGTGCCTGTAGTCCCAGGTTCTTGGGAGGCTGAGGCAGGAGAATCACTTGAACCCAGGAGGCAGAGGTTGCAGCGAGTGGAGATGTAGCCACTGCACTCCAGCCTGGGCAACAGAGCGAGACCCCGTCTCAAAACAAAAACAAAAACAAAAAATAAATCAAATAAAAAATAAAAACAAACAAAATCAAAGTATTCTCTAAGATTTAGGGGAACTAAAAGAACTGTTTGTTCTTTTACCCATAATAATTATGTTCTAACGTATTATACAACAATACGTTTGTTTTCACCATATTTTGTCTCCAATGCTTTTGTTCTGATGTTTTCATATTATGTACAATATTTTTTATTGCACTAAGTTTCAGATTTGGGAAACTTGCCTAGCTGCTTTTATGAAAATCAACATAGAAACTACTGCAATCCTTCATCAATGGAGGGACCACCATGGTTCAGAGATGCTAGACTTCCAACTGGCCCATGTTCTAATGGACCTTTGTGTTGTCTCCCATAGGGAAAAGCTAAATGTATTTGGCTTTTAGGAAGGAGAGCAGCCAGAATAATTGGTGGCCCTATGGTGCTCTGTGATGGTCATATGGTCATTCTGATCCACAGTCTTCTAGTAACGTAGCATGTGCAGATTGTAGTTCTTACTTCCTCAGAAATAGATGTGGACATATGACACATTTGTTCTGGAAAATGAGGTGTCCCTTCCAGATGTTTGAGAGTCAGTGAGCAATCTATCGGGTCCCTTTTTACCTTACCTTGACAAAATAATTGATTATTTTGATTGTAGAGGATCTACAAATCAGGGTTTATTAGTGAAATAGAGACCACCAACCAAATCATGATAGATTTTTATGACACAGAAATAGGAGTTTATGGTTATAAGCCAGTATGATTTGGCGTGGGGGAGAGGAATTACTTATTATTGCAGCATAAGCTAATGTATCCAGATGGATACATCCAGGAAATTCAGAAGTATGAATTCATTAAGAAGACCAGATTCCTTTCTAGGTAAATATCCAACAAAATTGTGTGAACTTGAGCACTAAGAGGTATGCTAAAAGTGTTCATAGAAAACAGGTTTTTAAATATACATATATATTTTAATATATTAATATCAACATATCCCAAGAAAAAGCTTAGTGAAGTATTGCCAGTGGTCTACGTACAGCCTAATATCACTTTATATTATGATAAGCTTAGGAAAATGTCTAAAGTTTCTTTGGTTCTTTGTGGTAGAATTCTAGAACATTTAAATGTATTGAGCTAAAAGTAGTAAAAATCTCAAAATTAGAATGAACACAGATCTAAGATTGGGATTTTAAAATACTATGGCAGTTTTTCAAGCCTGGAAAGTTCAGTCATTAGGATTACAGCAAAAATAATTATTAGACACAAGAGGCATTTCACCTGCTCTGTCTCTTGGCCCCATATGCAGCCATAGTGACTGTCCTTTTTCTCCTTTTCTCCCTTGCCACAGCACCCACAATTCAGATTGCTTTCCTTTTTCCCTCATAACTTCTACCAACCATTTGCTTCTTTGGGGACAGATCTTCCCTAAGACAAATAGAAAATTGTAGCATGAATCATAAAATCTTAGCCTCTTAAATCCTTGCTGCACCTGAAAATTACCATGCGAGATCATTTCTTAATGTTGAGTTTTATGCCTAATTATTATTAGTAAATAGACTGAGCATCACATTCAATGGAAAGTTACATGACTATCTTATATATGCATGCTGTATCTGGTCTAAAGTTTCTATTTTCATGGCTAAAATAGCTACAAGGAACCTGATCATTGTCTTATCTTCTACTTTTATTCCCAATGGCAGGTAGGGCTTCCTAATACTCCTAACTCCTTCTAATCCAGCAGTAGTTCTTCAACATCAGTGTTCCTTTTGTACAACACTGGTTTCAGTTCTAGGAACATCTCAGGCTCTCTAAGATATCTGAGCCTTTTTTAAACTGTTTATTCTCCCAGGAATGACCTGGAAAATGTATTGACCACTGACCAACTTTTATTTTATTATTATTATTACTATTATTATTACTTTGTGTGTGTACGTGAGATGGAGTTTCGCTCTTTTGCCCAGGCTGGAGTGAAGTGGTGTGATCTTGGCTCACTGCAACCTCCACCTCGCGGGTTCAAGTGATTCTCCTGCCTCAGCCTCCCTAGTAGCTGGGATTACAGGCATGTGCTACCACGCCCGACTAATTTTTGTATTTTTAGTAGAGACGGGGTTTCAGCATGTTGGCTAGGCTAGTCTTGAACTCCTGACCTCAAGTGATCCACCTGCCTCAGAAACTGCTAAGATTACAGGCATGAGCCACGGCACCTGGCCACTGACCAACTTTGAAGACCAAGGATCAAGGATCAACTCCACATTGAAGATGTTGGAGCCTCACCATATTACCTCTGGCATCCCACCAAGAAGCCCCCCCCATATCCCCCTGACCTTCACCATGTCAATGTCCACCAGGCTGATTTCTACCTGCCGGTACTTGCATCTTATTGCATGAGAGCTTTCCCCACCTGCTGATCACACTTTGCCCACATTCATGGCAGGCCAGATGTTCCACTGAATTGGAGGTTTAGAATAGCTCCCAAGCAATTTTTGGTAAATGGTGTATGACTATCCCAGCTCCCTTACCCTTGAAGTTTGATCATTTTTAGGCATATTTTCAACATTGTTTCCCAGAGTTCCTCCTCTGAGGATTAAGAGGGGTTAAGAAGGATTAAGCTTGAATAGCCCAGAGTGGTATTCCTTGGTTTCTTTTCTTTTCTTTTTCACTTTGTTTTTTCCACACCAGTGTTTTCTGGATTAAACCACTTGCCCCTAAATCCTTGAATAAACCACCCCACCCCACCCCAGAAAAAAAACAGTAGGTTTTTGAAAGGTCATCCAATATGCTGTGGAAGAATAGGTAAGTAGTCAGGGGCAGAAGCAGGAAGGCAAGATTGATTCAGGCGAAAATTACGATGTCTCCAAAAGGAGTTGTGGCAGTAAGAGTGGTGAGATGCTGTAAGATCATGGATATGTAGTGAAGATAGAAGCAACAGAATCACCCAATAAATTGATGCGGAATGCGACACAAAGAAGAATCAGGCTGACTCCCAGGTATCTGACCAGAGAACTGTGAAGGATGGAATGGAGTGAGGGTGACTGTGGGTGCGACAGATTTGGGAGGGAATGAGATAAGGAGTCCAGTTTTGATGATTATTAGCTTCTAAGTGGAGATGATGAGTAGGTAGGAATACTGCAGTAGGATCAGTCTGCAGTTTGCGGGAGAGTCTGGGCTGGAGATATAATAATGTGAATTATCTGCACAGAAACAGGTTTAAGTTCATGACTCTGGAGGAGACTCTGAAAGAATTGGGTGTAAATAGATAACAGAAGAGGACTAAGAACTAAAGCCTGGGGAGAAAAACAATATTAAGGAGTCAGGGAGAAGAGGAAGAACCAGTAAAGAAGACTAGGAAGAAGCTATCAATGAGGAATGAGTAACTCAAAGAGAGTGTGATGCCCCAGAAGCCAAATGAAGAAAATATACCAAGAAGAATTGAGCAGCCCAATCTAATGCTGCTACTGATGAACCATGTAAGAAAAGGCAGATAATTTATTATTAGATTAGCAACAGTGAGGTCTATGGGAACTTTGAAAAGAGCCATTTATGTAGAGATGAAAGACAAATTGGAGTAGGTTTAACACAGAGGACAGGCTGGATGCAGTGGCTCAAGCCTGTAATCCCAGCACTTCGGGAGGCCAAGTCAGGAGGTTCGCTTGAGACCAGGAGTTGGAGACCAGCCTCGGCAACGTGGAGAGACCCCATCTCTACAAAAATTAGCCACAGGTGTGGTGGCACACAACTGTAGTCCTGGCTACTCAGGAGGCTGAAGTGGGAGAATAGCTTAAGCTGAGGAGGTTGAGGCTGCAGTGAGCCGCTATCATGCCACTGCACTGCAACCTGAGTAACAGAGCCAGAACCTGTCTCACAAAAAAAATAAAAAAAAAAAAAATCCAGAAAATGTCAGACACTGTGGTGTGTGCCTGTAGTCCCAGCTACTCAAGAAGCTAAGGCAGGATAGCTGGAGCCCAGGAGTTCAAGTCCAGCCTGGGCAACAAAATGAGACCTCCCTGCCCCCACATCCCTCTCTCTCAAAACAAAACAAAACATCAGGAAGAAAGTCCCATTAAATATACTAAAATAAAAACGTTTTCCTTCTTTCCACAGTCTCTCTCTTGATTTATCATGGTGCTTTTATTTGCTATTTAATGTCATTCTAAGTAAAAATTAAACTTTTACATTATTAATTTTACTGTTAATCTTTGTTGTTCAGTGCCAATTTTAAATGCAAATACAAGGATATTTAATTCATACTTGGAATCACTGACATTCCACAATTTACATTTAATAGCTCAATACAAGCCTATATATTTTGTTCTTACCCCAACAGTGGAAACACTGCCTAAAACTAACTCATTAATTAACTCACACACATTTTACCAATACTATCTTTGGTTTACTGATAAGGAAAGACTAAAAGGAAAAAGAACTATGGGTTGCCCTATCTTTCCATTTCCTCCTCTGTCAATATTTTCAGTGTAAGTGATTAGTTTATGCAGGGACGTAACATGAATAAACAAGGATATGATGGGCTGTTTCTTAGACCCTGCCATTGCCTTCTTTCTGCACCCTAAGCAAGTTTTGGTTTGAACATAAACTGTGGCCTCTGGGGGCTGTCAGCACCTCCACTTCTTTTAGTCACAGAGGTAACATGTTTATATGTGCTTTGAGTCTTAGCATCATGGTTCCCCCAAATTTTGTGCTCATGGGGCATTGCCAATGCTGTATGTGAAAAGGGTGGCAAGGAATTGAGGCTGCCACCTGACCTGTCTCCTCTGTTATGTGAATGTTCCATTGTCCCATTGGACATCACGTTCAAAACACAAATTCAAAAATTATATTATAATGAATCTCAAGATGGCAACAACAGAGTATTAAACCAAGAGCTAGTCTTTCTGAACACAAAGCCCTGTGCAACTGCACAGGTTGCATATGCATAAAGCTAGCCTTGAATGTAAAATATCAGGAAGTGAGGGGGCGGGGGAGATGATGTAGGAATGATAATCAGGACAACAGCTGGAGTGTCATCCTTGAGAATGGGATGGGATCTAGTGCCCAGGAGGACCAATACGATTATGTAAGAGTATCTGTAAAATCAGTACCTCTACTAACTTGTTTAATCAAAGTAAATTGTCCATTAGCTTGGCATACAAATAGGGATCCACCATTCACACTTGATCCTGAACCTCCCTTTCTGACAGACCTTTGCTTCCTTGACAGCCTCTATTTGGGAGGCTAGAATAGTCTCTTGACTCAGACTAGCATCTTCCACGATGCAAGAGAGTGGCAACAATCACTTTTTAGAAACCCAGAATGTTTCTAAATGAATGTTTCCATTTCTGCTGCCAGCATAGTACATCAGTATCACCCTTCACTATCTCTCATGTAACCTTTTAGAAAACCTCTCTGCCTTTCCCCCAAACTCCTTTTCCATCCCCCTTTCCAACAGTATTCCCCACTCTCATGGTGCTACTAAATGCTTTATAAAAAACAAATCTAAGAGGGTAACTATATTTGATAAACAGCTGTAAAGCCTATCTATTGCCCTCAGAATAAAGAAAAAAGTCCTGGAAGTCCTAGCCAGAGCAATCAGGCAAGAGAAAGAAATAAAAAGCATCCAAGCTGGGCGTGGTGGCTCACATCTGTAATCCCAGCACTTTGGGAGGCCTAGGCAGGCAGATCACCGGAAGTCAGGAGTTTGAGACCAGCCTGACCCCATGGAGAGACTCTGTCTCTACCAAAAATACAAAATTAGGTGGGCGTGGTGGCGCATGCCTGTAATCCCAGCTACTCCGGAGGCTGAGGCGGGAGAATCTCTTGAACCCGGAAGGCAGAGGTTGCGGTGAGCTGAGATCTCACCATTGCACTCCAGCCTGGGCAATAAGAGTGAAACTCTGTCTCAGGAAAAAAAAAAAAAAAAAAAAGCAACCAAATAGGAAAAGAATAAGGCAAATTTTCTCTCTTTGCAAATGACATAATACGATACTCAGAAAACCTTAAAGGCTTCTAGAACTGATAAACTACCTTGATAAAGTTTCAGGAAACAAAATCAATGTACAAAAATCAATAGCATTTCTATACACCAATAAGGTCAAGCTGAGAGCCAAATCAAGAATGCAATCCCATTTACAATAGCCACAAAAAGAATAAAATACCTAGGAATACAGCTAACTAAGGAGGTGAAAGATCGCTACAAGAAGAATTACAAAACACTGCTGAAAGAAATCAGAGGTGACACAAACAAATGAAAAAACATTCCATGCTCATGGATAGGAAGAATCAATATTGTTAAAATGGCCATACTACTCAAAGCACTTTACAGGTTCACTGCTATTTCTATCAAATTACCAACATCGTTTTCCCCAATTAGAAATTAGAGAAAACTATTTTAAAATTTATATTAAATCAAGCTGGGCATGGTGGCTCACACCTGTAATCCCAGCACTTTGGGAGGCTGAGGTGGGCGGATCACCTAAGGTCAGGAGTTTGAGACCAGCCTGGCCAACATGGTGAAATCCTATCTCTACTAAAAACACAAAAAACAGAAGGGTGTGGTGGTTCACTCCTGTAATCTCAGCTACTCGGGAGGCTGAGGCAGGAGAATCGCTTGAGCCTGGGAGGCAGAGGTTGCAGTGAGCCAAGATCGTGCCACTGCACTCCAGCCTGGGTGACAGAGCAAGACTCCATCTCTAAATAAATAAATAAAATAAAATCATATGAAATAAAAAAGAGCCCAAATAGCCAAAGAAATACTAAGCAAAAAGAACAAAGCCAGAGGCATCACCCTACTCACCTTCAAACTATACTGCAAAGCTACAAGTAACCAAAACAGCATGGTACTGGTACAAAAACAGACATACAAACCTATGGAACAAAATAGAGAACCCAGAAATAAAGCCACACAACTATAACCATCCAATCTTTGACAAAGTTGACAAAATAACAAGCAATGAAGAATGGACTGTGTTCAATAAATGGTGCTGGAATAACTGGCTAGCCATGTGCAGAAGATTGAAATTGGACCCATACCTTTCACCATATACAAAAATTAACTCAAGATGGATTCAAGATTTAAATGTAAGACCTCAAACTATAAAAATCCTAAAAGAAAACCTATGAAATACCATTCTGGACATCAGCCTTGGCAAGTAATTTATGACTAAGTCTCCAAAAGCATTTGCAACAAAAACCAAAATTGTTAAGGGGAATGTAATTAAACTAAGGAGCTTCTGCCCAATAAAAGAAACCATCAAGGGGCCCGGTTCACTGGCTCACACGTGTAATCCCAATACTTTGGGGGGTGGAAGTGTGTGGATTACTTGAGGTTAGGAGTTCGAAACCAGCCTGGCCAATATGGCGAAATCCCATCTCTACTAAAAATACAAAAATCAGCCAGGCATGGTGGCACACACCTGTAGTCCCAGCTACTCAGGAGGCCGAGGCATGAGAATCACTTGAACCTGGAAGGCCAAAATTGCAGTGTGCCGAGATCACACCACTGCACTCCAGCCTGGGCAACAGAGTGAGACTCTGTCTTGAAACAAACAAAACAAAACAAACAAACAACAAAACCATCAACAGAGTAAATAGGCAGCCTACAGAATGGAGAAAATATTCACAAATTATGCATCCAACATAGCTCTAATGCCAAGGATTCATAAGGAACTTAAATAATTGCATGAGCAAAAAACAAATAACTCCAATAAAGAAAATGGGCAAGAGACATGAACAGACACTTTTCAAAAGAAGACAAACATGCAGCCAACAAATATATGAAAAATGTTCAACATCACTAATTAGAGAAACACAAATCAAACCTCAATGAGATACCATTTCACATCAGTCAGAATGGCTGTTATTAAAACATCAAAAATAATGGATATATGGCAAGGTTGCAGAGAAAAGGGAATGCTTACATTCCCACTGTCGGTGGGAATGTAAATTAATTCAGCTACTGTGCAAAACAGTTTGGAAATTTCCCAAATAACTTGGAACTACCATTTGACTCATCAATCCCACTACTGAGTATAAACCCAAAGGAAAATAAATCGTTCTACCAAAAAGACACATGCATCAGTATCTTCGTTGCAGCACTATTCACAATAGCAAAGACATGGAATCAAGCTACATACCACTAAGGGTGGAATAAAGAAAACGTGGTACATATACATCATGGAATACCACACAGCCATGAAAAAGTACAAAGTCGCGTCCTTTGCAGCATCATGGGTGCAGCTGGAGGCCACTATTGTAAGTGGATTAACTCCGGAACAGAAAACCAAATACCTCATGTTCTCTCACTTATAAGTAGGGAGCTAAACATTGAGTACACACAGACACAAAGGTGAGAACAATAGACCCTGGGAACTACTAGAGGCAGGATGATGGGAGGAGGATGAGGGTTGAAAAATTATCGGGTACTACGATTACTACCTTGGTGATGGGAACATTCATACACTAAAACCCAGCGACACGCAATTTAGTCACGTAACAAATCTGCCTATGTAGCCCCTGAACCGAAAATTTAAAAATAAAAAAGTTCTCAATTTTTATTCTTCATTTTCTGTGCCTAAAGAATAAACAAGTATTGGCCAGGCGCGGTGGCTCACTCCTGTAATCCCAGCACTGCGGGAGGCCGAGGCGGACGAATACTTGAATCCAGGAGTTCGAGACTAGTTTGGCCGACATAGCGAGACCCTCCCACCCACCCCTCGTCTCTCCAAAAATAGCTAGGGGTTCTGACTTGCGCTTGTAGTGCCAGCTACTCGGGAGTCTGAGGTGGGAGGATCGCTTGAGCCCGGGAAGTCCAGTGAGCCGAGATTGCACCGCTGCACTCCAGTCTGGGCGACAGAGCGAGATTGTCTAAAACAACAACAACAACAACAACAACAACAACAACAACAACAACCACACAGAGAAACAGAGAGAGAGAAGAAAAGTAACAGGATAACAGAGGACCCCAAAAGTCATCGTATATCCTAACCTCCAGTAAAAACTGAAACGAAAACCTTGGGGCCAGAGTGCTCCTGTCATTCCCCACACCTCCCACGCGCCTTCTTAACTGAACTGTGTTGCGGGCGTTGGCTGTGGTTTGCTGGTCGAACGTCAGCTCGGGTCGGGGATGGAGAGGGGAAGTGGGAATAAAAACTGCATTTGACGATCAGTAGCCGGAAATAAGAATGGCATCGAGAAACCAAGAGCCAGCCAGCAGGAGACTCAGGGAGGGAGTGGAGGTGAAGAGTGTTGCGAGGTACAAATTTCACAAGGAAAAAGTGAAGCCTCAGACTTCCTGGAAACGCTGCTTTTCATCTACGCAGGTGCCCTTCGGTGAAGCTACCACATTTCTAGTTTATTCCTAAAATTTTTTACTCATGTAACCAAAAATGGTTTACTTGTGCATGTTTGAGCATAAAGAGCTATCTAATACATTTTTTTTGCCTGGATCCTTATTTTTTGTAAAGACCGTATTGTCTGGAATTATTAGCTTGGTAGGTCAAAACTACCGTCCTCCGAGCCGGATTCGAACCAGCGACCTAAGGATACCTTGCTTAATGAGCCTACAGTCCTCCGCTCTACCAACTGAGCTATCGAAGGACACGGAACGCTGTCCTTTTTAGACACGTAGTTCTGCGTTCTCTAGAATCCCCAAAATAATGTGCGTCCTGGAAGTTTCTGGGTTTTTAAGTCTTGTTCCATTTAGGAGATTTGGTTTTAATTAATTATATTAATGCTCATTTTTTAAACTACGATCGGCTTTAAAGCAGTATTCTCATACACCGGAAGTATTCTGTGTAATGTTCTAGGTAATTGGCTTCATGGGTTTATAAATATGTAAAAGGCATTGGGTTTTATATTGAAAACATTAGGATATTTATGTATAGCTCAAACCAAAAACCTTACTGGAATCCCCCGTCCTCCTCCCCTAGATATACACAATCTCCCAGATTACGCCCTCTGTCCTGCTGTTTTGTCTGATTAACTCCTCCTTTCTGTCTTAAAAGTGACTGGATTTGCTTGATAAATGCTATGGCTTTTCTATTTGCTTGATAAAATGTATTTGCTTGATAAATACAGACAACCGGGTTGATGAGGATCCCAGGGCTGTGAACAAAGCATTCTGGTATCATTGCAGTTCTCCTTCTTGAAAGTCGAATGATAAATTGTGTGTATTCACAACTGTAGTGATGAAACGTGGAAGTGTCATCTGTGCGTGTTTGTGTAAATTTGAGTGTATATTACATAATCATGGTGGAGCAGTTAAAATGAAGCAAAAATTTTTGAAAACTTTACGTGGAAATATAAATATTCGTTTTTCAAAGCAAATTGTCCAACATAAAGGGAGGTTCTGTGTAGATTGTTGTCTGCTCAGCTTCCTTATACCTAAGGCAGAAATGGGGAATATGTTAAAACTATCTCGCAAGAAAAGGCTTTAAAAGGAAAAATCCCAAATTTTTCTTCAAATGGCAACTGCTAGTGCCTCTTGTCAGAAATATTAATAGCATACAGTTGATATTGAACTCTGTAATTAAGTCCCTTGCATGAGTAACTAAGAAAATAGTATATGCTAACTTTCAATGTTTCTAACCTAATAGAGAGCTAGCAGCTAGAGAGGAGGGATCCCAGGATGTGGACAGTCTCTCCTGACATTATTGTGTGTCCTATCTGTGCCTTAGACACCAGGCGGAAAAGCTACAGGGATGCCAATAAGAAGTGAAATTTCAAGACGGGGCTGCTACAAAATTGTTGTCTCTGTTAGGATTACTGGGGTGACACCTAGAGAAACAGGAAGGCCCCAGAAAGAAAACAAGTTCACTTTCCCACCTTCAGCCTTGGAGTCTCTAACCACCCTTTTGGCAAGGCTTACCCATAGGGTCAAGTGGTGGAACTGCAATGTGATTAACAGAGTCCTACTTCCTGTATCACAAAGGGGATTAAAGAAAGGATTAAACAGCAGTCTAATACATCTTCCTGTCTAGATCCTGATTTTCGTAAAGTTCCGTTATTTCTGGAATTATTAGCCCGTAGTTCAAAACTTTCGTCCTTCGAGCCGGATTCGAACCAGCGACCTAAGGATGCCTTAGTTTAATGAACCTACAGTCCTCCGCTCTACCAACTGAGCTATCGAAAGGACCCCTAGCCCTTCATCTTCTAGAATTCCTAAAATAATGTGTCCTGAAAGTTTCTGGGTTTTCAAGTCTTGTTGCATTAAGGAGACTCAGTTTTAATTACATTGATACTCATTTTTAAAACTACAATCGGCTTTAAAGCAGTTTTTTCAGACACTGGACGTACTCTGTATAATGAATCCATTTGTGCTGTGTATCAAAATACCTGAGACAGGGTAATTTATAAAGAGTAGAGGCCAGGTGCTGTGGCCTAGCACTTTAGGAGGCCAAGGTGGGTGGATAACTTGAGGTCAGAAGTTCAAAACCAGTCTGGCCAACATGGTGAAAACCCATCTCTACTAAAAATACAAAAATTATCTGGGCATGGTGGCTCACGTCTATAGTCCCAGCTACTGGGCAGGCTAAGGCAGGAGACACTGGGCGGCAGAGGCTGCAGTGAGCCGAGATTGCACCACTGCACTCCAGCCTGGGTGACAGAGCAAGACTCCATCTCAAAAAAAAAAGTAGAAATTTATTGCTCACAGTTCTGGAGACTGGGAAGTCCAAGATCAAGGTACCAGCAGATTCAGTTTCATAGATTCAGTGTCTGGTGAGACCTGCTTTCTCCTTCCAAGATAGCACTTATGTTTGTGTCCTCACATGGCAAAAGAAATGGAGGGCAAAAGGAAGAAACACTGTGTTCTCATATGGCAGAAGAAAGAGAAGGCCCCCCACAAAAAAAAATGGCCGAGCTCTGATGGCCAAATGACTTCCTAAAGTCCCCACCTCTTAATACTATCATATTAGGTCTTAGATTTCAGTATAATGAATTTTGGAAGGACACAGACATTCAAACTATAGCAGGCTGCTATGACAAAAATACCACAGACTGGATGGCTTAAAACAACAAAAATTTATTTTCTCACAGTTCTGGAGGCTGGGAAGTCCAAGATTAAGTTGCCAACTGATTTGGTTCTTGGTAAGGGCTCACTTCCTGGCTTGCAGATGGACACCTTATTGCTGTGTCTTCACATGGTTTGAGTACTCTGTCTCCTCTCATAAGGAAACTAATCTTAGGGATCAAGGTGCATCCCTATGACCTTATTTAACCTTAACTACTTCCTTACTCCAACTAAGTCACTTTAAGGATTAGGGATTCAACACAGAATTTTAAGGAAACACAATTCAGTCCATAGTAGTGGGTTTGGAGTTGAGAGTCAATAGTTTAACAACTGCTAACAACTGTTAAAACTTCCATGTGAAATTTAAGATTTTTTTTTTTTTTTTTGAGGAAGGGTCTCAGTCTGTCACTCTGTCACCCAGGCTGGAGTGCAGAGGCATGATCACAGTTCCACAGCTTCACCCTCCTGAGGTGATCCTCCCACCTCAGATTCTCTAGTAGCTGGGACTACTACAGGCACATGCTACCAAGCCCGGCTAATTTTTGTACTTTTTGTAGAGATGGGGTTTCTTGACCTTAATTTACTTCTGTGGAAGCTAAGAAGTTGTAAAATTTGATACCTAATCCAATGTTGCTAGAAACCAGAACTCCCAATTCAAAAGCCCTAGGCAAACCAATTGCTCCCAGTTTACAGTCATGCCAATACACAACCCATGGATCTGAACTATGGGATTGGGCTAATTTTCTTTCACCTCATTTCCACACCTGCGCGCCTAATAGAGTCATAGAAAATAAACAGAAAAGAGTAAGGGGAGGCCAAACTGACTGGGTAAATTCTGTCCAGGGTTGAAGAAGGAGAAAGCACCTAGGTGGTGTGAGCCTCAAAGCAAGGCTGACTTTGAGCCAAGTTCTGAGATGAATGGTGGGTTTCTACACTTGCTTAGAACATCTGAGTTGGTTTTTTGTTTGTTTGTTGAGAGAGTCTCGCTGTGTCACCCAGGCTGGAGAGCAGTGGTGCAATCTCTGCTCACTGCAACCCCTGCCTCCCAGGTTCAAGCGATTCTCCTGTCTCAGCCTCCGAAGTAGCCAAGATTACAGTCACCCGCCACCGCCCACGGCTGATTTTTGTATTTTTAGTAGAGACAGGGTTTTGCCATGTTGGTCAAGCTGGTCTTGAACTCCTGACCTCAAGTGATCCAGCCGCCTCAGCCTCCCAAAGTGCTGGCATTACAGGAGTGAGCCACTACGCCTGGCTAATATCTGAGTTTTTAACTCTCTTGTCTAAAATGGTGGGGGCAGGAAATTGGGAGGTTTTCTTCCAACAGAGTTATCCACTTTTTGTCAGCCCTGATTGCAATGAAAAAGCAAAAGAGAAAAGCAAGTATTAAAGGTTGTCTTAAGGTCTTTAAAAGACCTACTATGCCCTGCGCAGCAAAGTTACTTTCTTAAATAAGATATTTTGTCTTCTCCACTTTCAATTTTTAGTATCTTGCCCCAATTTCATAGAGACTAGAAAATAAAAAGAGGAAGTTTCTAATGATGGAATTTCTGGAAAAGAAGCAGTTGAAGGTGCAGATGTTGGGTGACGGCTTTCGTATGGCTTTTTTGAGAGTGATGGGACTCTAGTAATGCCCAACGGATCCTCCTTTTCCCAACTAGCTTCTGCTGAACAGTACCTAGCACCTAGCACCTGGCACAGTAGCTGGTACTCAATAGGCCCAGAAGAAAAAGTGGCAACTAAAGCATTTGTCTTTGTGCAAAGACTCTGCCTCTAAGTCTGCAGCCATAAGTATATTCGCTTCTCTTGCTAATATTTACCTTAGAAAAATAATTTGTACACCCCTGGATCGAAATCAGGACTACAGAAACCAGAATAAAGAAATCAAATGGGACGCACGCCCCCTTGTGGCCACAAGGTCCTCCGGCAGCGACAAAGCCAGACAAAAAGCGGATTTGTTTTTTTTTTTTTTTTTTTCCTTTTTGAGAGGGAGTCTTACTCGGTCGCCCAGGCTGGAGTGCAGTGGCGCGAACTCAGCTCATTGCGACCTCTGCCTCCTGGGTTCAAGCGATTCTCCTGCTTCAGCCTCCCGAGCAGCTGGGATTACAGGTGTGCGCCACCACGCCCGGCTAATTTTTTGTATTTTTAGTGGAGACAGGGGTTTCACCATATTGGCAGGCTGGTTTCGAACTCCTCATCTCAAGTGATCCACCCGCCTCGGCCTCCCAAAATGCTGGGATTACAGGCGTGAACCACCGCACCCGACTTTAAGGGATATTCGTAGATCTACAAAGACGCTGGATAATCTGTTTCTGGAACCAGATGAATAGATGGAAATTTTAGGGGTGCGGAGAGTGGTAGAAACTATTGGTTAGGCCAAGGCCGAACCTCATTGCTTGAAAAACTTGATTTTCCCTTCTGGCCGCATCCTCAATTTGCTTCCAGTTCCCGGTTTCCGCAGATGTGATTCCAGTGTTAAACTCTTCCCGGACCCCCAAGACAGCTGTTTCTATGGACTTCGCCTCCCTGGTTCACCTGCACTCGGTGGGCTTCTCCAGACGGGATCCGACATGGTAAAACAGGTTATAGATGGCGCTGAGGGGCGGAAGTCATGCTGAGGCTCTTTAGTCACCATTGTACACAGTTCTTCATTTTTTTCCTATTGGCTAGTGACGAAAGTCAATTGAAATAGCGAGAGTCCTGAATTACTTCCAGATATCAAAGAGGGTAAAGGATATAAGAGACGTTTTCCCACACGGGGAATTAGCTCAAATGGTAGAGCGCTCGCTTAGCATGCGAGAGGTAGCGGGATCGATGCCCGTATTCTCCAGTTTTATGTGGTTTCCTCTCCCACCTTACCCTTTGGCCTTTACTCCTATCTTTCCATGAATATCTTGCTGACACATAAGCAGCTAACAACACACTCCCGTATCATAATGGGGGTGGTCTTTCCTTCAAGCTCAAGATTCTCTCACCACCCATGAAAACCCATCTACTCGGTGGTTCCCTAGTCCTCAGATTGTTCTATCGTAGACAGAGCTGGGTACTTCGAATTTCTCTCACTATTTTCAGTTCTGAGTGTTGGCCTCTGCCAGGTGCATTGGCAAATCTATTATACACTTCGATCATTTATGTATTACATTTTTATCACAGCAGACTGAGGACGTATTACAAATTTTTTTCTTTTCCTTTTTTTTTTTTTTTTTTTTTTTTTTGAGACAGACTTACTCCGTCGCCCAGTCTGGAGTGCAGTGGCACGATCTCGGCTCACTGCAACCTCCGGCTCCCGGGTTCAAGCGATTCTTGTGCCTCAGCCTCTGGAGTAGCCGGGATTACAGCTGTGCGCCACCACACCGGCACATTTTTAGTAGAGACGGGCTTTCACCTTGTTGGCCAGGCTGGTCTCGAACTCCTAACATCTAGTGATCCACCCGACTCGGCCTCCCAAAGTGCTGGGATTACAGGCGTGGGCCACCGCGCCTGGCCCTGTATCACAAATTTTAAAAGATTTTTAAAATTACATTTTTATTCTTGGAATCTATTTCCTACATGTCCGACCTATTGAGGACCACCTTAAGTTGTTACAATTGTAACAAAGGCACTCCCATTATCTCAATAATATGGTGGATGGGCCAGGCGTGGTGGTTCCCGTCTGTAATCCGAGCACTTTGGGAGGCCGAGGCAGGCTGATCACGAGGTCAGGAGTTCGAGACCAGCCTGGCCAACATGGTGAAACCTCGTCTTTACTAAAAACACAAAAATTGGCCCGACGTGGTTGCGCATGCCTGTAATCCCAGCTACTCCGGAGGCTGAGGCAGGAGAATGGCTTGAAACCGGAAGGCGGAGGTTGCAGTGAGCCGAGATCGGGCCACTGCACTCCAGCCTGGGCAACAAGAGCGAAACTCCGTCTCGAAAAAAATAAATAAAATATATAAAAATAAAATGATGGAGAGCCAAAGGGTATGTAGGTATGTTTGAGGGTTTTTGTTTTGTTTTGTTTTGACGTTCACTCTTCCTCTTCTGAAGTCATCTTGCTATATCTTGCCGGAGGGTGGGGTGGGGGGGTCTGCTGCTGTTACTGGTGCTGGCACATAGGAGGAGAATTGTGACAGAGAATCTATCTGGACTGAAATCTATTGTGCCTTGGCAAGAAGCTTAGTCCAGGACTATTTAACAAATGTTGCATTCAAGCCCCAAACATTACCTTTGAAAATACCTATTTGTTTTGTTTTGTTTTGTTTTGTTTTCTGGCTGGGTGCGGTGGCTTGCGCCTGAAATTCCAGCACTTTGGGAGGCCGAGGTTGGTGGATCAACTGAAGTCAGGAGTTCCAGACCAGCCTGGCCAACATGGTGAAACCCCGTTTCTACCACAAACACAAAAATTAGCCCGGCGTGGTGGCGGACGCCTGTAATCCTAGCTACTCGGGAGACTGAGGCGGGAGAATCTCTCGAATCCGGAAGGTGGAGGTTGCAGTGAGCTGAGATGGAGCCACTGCACTCCAGGCTGGGCGACAGAGCGAGACTCCGTCTCAAAAAACCACAAACAAAAGGCCATTTTTCTTTTGCCCCCAACCAGCTTTCAAAAAGCAAGTTCATGGGGGAGCTATCAGTTTAGATCCATCTCCAGCCCTTAATAGGAGTGGCTTCCAATGCGTTTTGGGCAGGGCTCTCCAACCACCACCCTAATTCAATAAGCCTGGGCTTCTGTGTTTTTTGTTAGTTTTCCAGGTGGTTCTGATATCCAAGTTTGAGAATTATTTTCATAAAGAATAAAAGTTTGGAAACATGGGAAGGAACATACAAGAAATTACCAGGCACAAAATCCTCAGAAAACGCTTCCTTACTTTGATCTAGACAAAGATATTTGTCATTAAGAACTCTTCCATAGGTATCTGGGATCACATTTTTGAGACACAAAAGGGTACAATGGGATTAATATATTGTAATTAGATTGGCACAAAATTAGCAAATATGTACCACTGTTATGCCAGATCTCTACTTTGTGAGCTAATTCCCTATGTGGGTAGGAAATCCTGTCCATTTTTTCCCTTATGTACTATTTTCTCCTAAAATGATTCTCTTCTACCAGTGTTTTTCAAAACTTGCAGTACAGGAAAGTCAGCTGGTGAGCTTTTGAAACTACAATACCTGAATCTTACCTCCAAAGAAACCCAAGCATAGATGCTTTGTAAAATCTCCCCAGGTGATTCTAATATCGACCACATATTCTCTGCTAGGGTCGAAAGACACCACCATGACAATTAAAAGGAGAAGGGGGAATAGAACTCCTGAATTTCATCCCGGCTTCAGATGTATAGGGTTCAGACGCTAGTGGTTCAGCTTGTAACTGACTCGCAACGATTCAGAACTCTGAACACCAGGGCACGCGCGTGCCCCACCAATTACCAGTTGCTCCGAGTAATTCCCACCAGCCGCCCCTTTCCCCCGGCTGTGGATCCGGGGTTGAGGGGTGGAGACGCCTCTGTGGATCTCTAGCCCAGTGGACCAGTGTCTGATTCACTTCCTCAGTGCCCAGGGCTTCTAAGAGGGTTGGATTATACGAATTATAGGGATGAAGTCTTGATGGCGCGTGTTAAAAATTGTTACGGAGAATAATAAAAAATTAAAGAGATTCACTGCACATCCAGAATAGTTTTAAATAGATTCTTATCGAGGATATGTATAAGTGAAATACGCATTTCTGAGAATGAATTTTAAAACTTACGCAAAAAAAAAAAAAAATTGTGAACTCCTTCGAGCCGGATTCGAACCAGCGACCTAAGGATGTCTAAGGACACAGCCAACTACAGTCCTCCGCTCTACCAACTGAGCTATCGAAGGATTCACACGACTTTCACTTCCCGCTGGGGATGCCATCTCTGCGGAAGGTTGGGCAATCGTGGATGCTTGTCGTCCTGTTTACCTGCGTCGTTGATGTTCTTTTGACATCCACTACCCCTTCGGAACTGACTGATATTCAGAGGCCCTTTTCTCTGAAACAGGGAGAAAACGGGAGCACCACCCTCACTAGTTTACAAAAAGAAACATAAAATGTTAAGGAGGCACAAGGAACTGATAAGAATTTAGCAATGACCATCTTTTGTTGTGATGAATGCATTATATAACCAATTTTAACCTCTACCTAAAAATAGAATTTGAAACACTTTAACAATGCAATTTTAATGGGATTTTATTGAGATAACTGACAGGAGGAAGAGAAGGAAGAGCAGGCTAAATAATGCAACTTCGAAAGCATAATAATTTTTTTTTTTTTTTGAGACAGAGTCTCGCTCTGTCGCCTGGGCTGGAGTGCAGTGGCGCGATATCGGCTCACTGCAACCTCCGCTTCCCAGGTTCGAGCGATTCTCCCGTTCTCCCGCCTCAGCCTTCGAGCAGCTGGGATTACAAACGCAAGCCACCACGCCCGCCTAATTTTTATATTTTTAGTAGAGTTGTGATTTTTGCCATGTTGGCCAGGCTGGTCTCGAACTCTTGGCCTCAAGTGATCCGCCCGTTTTGGCCTTCTAAAGCCCTAGGATCATAGGCGTGAGCCCACAGCAGCTGGCCATCACATTAATTCTTAACTCAGCAAAAACCTATCCATGGGTGTGCTAAAATGATACATTTTTAAATGATTAACACAAGGTAATATCATTTCAAATATTAGTTTTGCAAAGTGTAAGATTCTTGTCTAGCTTTCTATGACTCTGAAGCTCAGAATAGCTATTATCCTCCCTTGTTAATGAAAAAATCCACTTGTGGTGGAATCTGGCATCCGAAATCTGTTTCATTATGGCCCGGCGCGGTGACTTACCTCTGTAATCCCAGGACTTCAGCAGGCCGAGACGGGGAGATCACCTGAGGTCAGGAGTTCGAGACCAACCTGGCCAAAATGGTGACACCCCTGTCTCCGTTAAAACTACAAGAATCAGCCGGGCGTGGTGGTGGTGGGCGCCTGTAATCCCAGCTACTCGGGAGGCCGAGGCAGGAGAATCACTGCAACCTAGGAGGCAGAGGTTGCAGTGAGCAGATATGTTGCCACCGCACTCCAGCCACTCCACAGAGCAAGACTCCGTCTCAAAAAAAAAAAAAAAAAAAAAAAAAGAAAAGAGAAAAAAAAATCTGTTTCATTCTTTTTCATGTTCCATTAAAGATAATTACCTTGTCATATAATGAAACATGCACAGGGCAAATGATCCTTCTTGTGCAAGTAGGCCATTGAGCCCAATGTTCACTCCTTTATGGCACACAGATTTTTTTTTTCTTTTCTGAACAAAAATTGAAAGTACATTTAACTTGGCCATTAATCTCCTCAAGTCCATGAAACATTTATTTGAGTGGGGCGAGTCTCGATGAATTAAATGTAATGTTTTATCTCCTCTCCAACCTCAATTGCCTGAATAAGTTATCCTATTTCACAGATGTATTTACTTTTATACATTTGGTCAAAATACACTTTTCAAACGGTTAAATGCATGATTCGTATACGAATATGAAATAAACACTTGTCAAAGGTTTAATTCACTAATGAGGGAATCATCAAGATGGTAAAACTGGTAAAACTGGATCGAAGAATTTATTGATAGTCACTGAAAGAAGCAATGCTGTAAATTAACATTGCTAAGTGAGGTAGAGAACTGGAAACTGCCTTACAGGACAATAAAACTGTACTGTTTCTACAGGACGGAAAATAACTAAATATCAGACGAAGTTCATTTGCATCACCACATCACGACGTTCCCTTACAAAGCTGAAAAACTACCCTAATCAATAAATAGTAAACTAGGCCGGGCTTGGTGGCTCAGGCCTGTAATCTCAGCAGTTTGGGAGCCTGAGGCAGCTAAGTCTCTTGAGACCAGGAGTTCGAGATCAGCCATGGCCAACATGGTGAAACCCTGTTTCTACAAAAAATACAAAAATTAGCGGGTCGTAGTGGTCGGGGGCCTGTAGTCCCAGCTACTGGGACTGGCTGAGGAGGGAGGATCCCATGAGCCAAAGAGTGTGAGGCCACAGTGAGCTATGATTGTGTCACTGCACTGCAGCCTGAGCGACAGAGCCAGACCCTGTCTCAAAAATAAATAGTAAGCCAAAACAATGGTACATACTCGTGGAGCAGTAATTTCTCTAATGGAGCAATTTTGCCTTCACAACGGTCATCTGACAATGTAAGAAGACATTTTTAATTGTTGTGACTGAGGAATATAGTAGGTAAATTGTTGTGACTGAGGAATGTAGTAGGTAAAGAACAGGAATGCTAGTAAACATCCTGTAATGCATAGAACAGCCCCCACAACAAAGAATTATAATATCTAGTCCAAAATGTCAATAGCGCTCTATTGAAACTCTGCTCTAGAGAATGAAAATAAGATAATCCTGGGCCTGCAGTTTTCTAATTGGCTCCCCTTGTCCAGATTGGTCCCCTCGGTTCTGTTCTCCACACAAAATGCCAGCAAGTTCTCACTGAGAGGTGTCTGAGGTCCATAAGATTGGCACCATTAAAAGAAGTTCCCCCCGGGCGCGGTGGCTCACGCCTGTAATCCCAGCACTTTGGAAGGCCGAGGCGGGCGGATCACGAGGTCAGGAGATCGAGACCATCCCGGCTAACATGGTGAAACCCCGTCTCTACTAAAAATACAGCCGGGCATGGTGGCGGGCGCCTGTAGTCCTAGCTACTCGGGAGGCTGAGACAGGAAAATGGCGCGAACCTGGGAGGCGGGGCTTGCAGTGAGCCGAGATCGCGCCGCTGCACTCCAGCCTGGGCGACGGAGCGAGACTCCGTCTCAAAAAAAATAAATAAAAATAAGTAAATAAATAAATAAAATTTTAAAATGCAGCCCATGTGGCAAACTAACATGCAGTTAATTCGCAGATTTGATTTCCATTCATTCATTCGGTAAAGGTTTACTGCGTACCTGCTGCGAGCTGATGGAAGAGGCCCTGGGTTCTTTGCGAGCGCGTGGTCCCTTGAGTCCCTTGAGGGTGAGGAAATCGCACCACCGACCTCCACGTGTAGGGGAGGACGTGGTGCAGCAGCGCCAGATAACGCCGGAAGAACCCCAAGTGGAGGCTGCTTGGGTCCCTCGGGAGTGAGTGAAGAACCAATTTCTGTGGCATGTGTTTCAACAGTAACTGTACTGTAATGCTTCCTAAAAAGTAAATATGTATTGAACTAATTGTATACATAGACCCTTTTGAACACAATTTAAAAGTAAATAATGAATTTTGGTAGTAGAAGTTACAGCAACATGGACAGGCTATTTACTCGTATGTATGATGTAATGGAAAGAACACAGAGAGGTATTGGAGCCACTTAGTCCACCTTTGAATCTATGTCTCACTAGTAGTATGACTTCCCTAACTTCCTCATGCCTTATACAAAATGGAGATGATGATAATGAAGGTAATACAGATCCTAAGGGGATAGTTGTGAATATCAAATTAAATAGAATTTGTAACGCACAGTTCTCAGAGTGTGCTGTCCACTGCCTTACTCCCACAGGCTCAAACAGGGGAACCCACAGAGAGTACTTTGAAAGCCTTTTCGCTGGGCCTTATCTTTAGTGAAATTAGAGTATAAAAAATTCAAGAATAACACCATAGGAAGCATACGAGTAATAATGTAATCATTAAAACAAGTCCCAAACAGTACCACAAAAAAAGCTAAGTACACAAGAATTTAGACTATGTAAGAGATCAGATTTGGTTGAGATTAATTAAGGAAAGCCTCCTAGATGGAGTTATAGTCCTTACAGAGGATTTTTTTTTTCGAGACAGGGTCACACTCTGTTGTTGATGCTGGGGTGCAGTGGTCCAGGCTGGGGTGCAGCGGTGGGATCAAAGCTCACTAAAGTCTTGAACTCCTAGGCTCAAGGGATCATCTCCCCTCAGCCACCTGAGCAGCTGGGATTAAGGCACATATCATCATGCCCAGCTAATGGGCTGGTTTATTTTGTTTTTGTATTTTTGTAGAGACTCAGTATGTTGAGTCATAGGTCTCACTATGTTGCCCATGCTTAGTTAGGAATTTTGAAGAAGCGATTGATCAGAATCACTTTTTTTTTTCCCCTGAGACGGAGTCTTGCTCAGTCACCCAGACTGGAGTGGTGCAGTGGCCCGATCTTGGCTCACTGCAACCTCCGCCTCCCAGGTTCAAGCAATTCTTCTGCCTCAGCCTCCCTAGTAGCTGGGATTACAAGCGCCCGCCACCGCGCCCAGCTAATTTTTGTATTTTTAGTAGAGACAGGGTTTCACCATGTTGGCCAGGCTGGTCTCAAACTCCTGACCTCGTGATCAACCCGCCTCAGCCTCCCAAAGTGCTGGGATTACAGGCGTGAGCCACCACTGGGGAATATGGCAAAACCCCGTCTCTACAAAAAATACAAAAGTTAGCTGGGCGTGGTGGCACGTGCCTACAGCTCCAGCTACTCAGGAGGCTGAGATGGGAGGATCACTAGAGCCTGGTGTTAATGGTGGTAATGGTGGAGGGTGTCCAGGTTCTTGGCGTCTTGAACAAAGAACTGGACAAAACGCACAAACAGAGCAAGGAAAGAATGAAGGGTTTTATTGAAAACGAAAGTATACTCCACAGTGTGGGAGTGGGGCTGAGCACAGGAGCTCAAAGGCCCCGTTACAGAGTTTTTGTGAGTTTAAATATCATCTACTTGGGGTACGCCCTATGTAAATGAAGAGGATGAATTAAAGTTACAAAGTAATTTACTCCGTGTATGCCCTATGGAGAGGATATTTCCTGTTATAGCTGAAGTGTGAGTTGGCCTTATGTTCCTTGACTCCAGGCCCTATTTTTCTGCCTCACTGGGAAGTCGAGGCTGCAGTGAGCTGAGATCGCGCCACTGTACTCCAGCCTGGGCAACAGAGGGAGACCCTGTGTCATAAATAAATAAATAGGAAGAAAGCTGAGTGAGATAGCCTGTTTTTTGATTATCCCCAATTCTCCCAGCTACATTACCTTTCATACTGTCCTCCAAAATAATGTAGTGACGTTTTCTTGGAAAGCTTATTACAACATGGCTGTTCCAGACCTATCCCCACTCCTGGTCTTGCCTCACAGAGTAACCCTAATGAGATAGGGCAGGATATCCTTCCACTCCCTGTCAAGATCTCGTCCTGTACTTGTCTAATAGGTGTCAGTGAGAGGTATCCGTTTTCTGACCTCTTTTATATTACTGTTTTTCCTTTCTGAAGTCTCCTTAGAGTCTATTGTTTCTGCATTTAACATTGGTATACTTTCACGTGATAATGCATGCCCCTAGAAGGGTGCCTACTTTTCACAGGGCAGCAGGAGAGAGACTGAGAACCAAGTGAAGGAAGAAGCCCCTTATAAAAACCGTTAGATCTGGTGAGAACTTACCATGAAGAGAATAGCGTGGGGGCAACCGCCCCCATGATTTCATTACCTCCTACTGGGTCCCTCCCATGACACACGGAGATTTTGGGAACTACAATTCAAAATGAGATTTAGGTGGGGAAACAGCCACACCATATCACACCATATCACCAGCTTTATAAACGGTTAAGAGGGACCTGAGGGTAAGGCTTATCAGATGAAGGGCTAGTATTCTCACTGCCTGATTATTACAGCAATCACAATATTGTAAACACACACAAAAATGGGCATCGTACTCCCAGAATGTTGGTTTTTTCCCTACCTCAAGATGATTTTATAAAAGTCTTCATAATCCAGTTCTTGGTTCATAAACACAGTAATTCAGAAGCCACTTTAGTCTTCCTGGTCTCTAAAATGTATATCGCTTTTCTTAGATTAATTATAAATTAATTAATTGATTGTCATGCCCACATCTTAGGTGATTCTGATGTCACTTGAAGCATTTTAGAATTACCAGTGTGAATTTTAAAAGTACAAGATTGTTAATAAACTATTATTTATCTGTAAGTAGTCTTGTGAACTTTTATGGCATTAGATGTGTCTTTAACCAGTTCTTCCAGTCTTTTCTGTTATTTCCTGGTTGTTTGCCTGTCACAATTAATAATTTACATTTGAAAAGAACCATATTTTCTAAATACATTTTTGCTAAATGTTAGTTCCTTGAGTATCAATAGTTCCTTGAGATGTTAATAGATGTTATTTGGTTAAAAAAAAAAAAGAGCATTGACTCCATTCTCTTTACCAGGCCTACTTTAAGCAATGAGCTGTAAATTTCAGAACATTAGAAGATAGATCAGTCGAGATTTTTCTTCATTTTATTTTCCTTCTATGAATAATTAAATATTAGCTGTGTTTTCAGCTCTCAGCTGGTAAGAACTTTGCCTTTTTTAGATGTTGTTGTCCTCTTTCAGTTAACACATATTCCATTACCCTGCCAAACCTCACCAATATTAAGTAATTATTTATTAGCATATAGTGCATACAAGATGCTGCCACTGTACATGCTTTAATACCTAGTTTCTCAAATTTCGCAACAATCCCAATCCAATTTACTGAGCCATTTTCTTTTCTTTCTTTGTTTTTTCTTTTTCTTTTTTTTTCTTGAGATGGTCTGGCTCTGTTCCCAGATTGGAGTGAAAGAGGAGACCACTCCTCATATTGTCTTATATTTAATTTCTTGTTTGCTGAAAAGGTAGAAGTTAAAAGAATAGGCAGAAGTGAAATTCATAGTCAGACAGCCCGGCGCCGCGCCTCGGGCCTGGTAGTTAAAATTCAACCCCTGAACTCACCACTTTTGGTATCTATAGATTCTAGACATTGCATGAAGAAGCATTGTGAAACTCCCTGTTCTGTTCTGTTTCGTTCTGATTACTGATGCAGGCAGCCCCCAGTCGTGTACCCCTCGCTTGCTCAATCGATCATAACCCCCACTTCATGCAGCCCCTTTAGAGTTGTGAGCCCTTAAAAAGGATAGGAATTACTTATTCGGAGAGCTCGGTTTCTAGGACGCGAGTCTGCCGATGCTCCCAGCTGAATAAAGCTCTTTCCTTCCCCAATCCAGTGTCTGAGGGATTTTGTCCATGACTCCTCCTGCTACAGGAGTGCTGTGGCATGAACATGGCTCACTGCAAGCTCTGCCTCCTTGGGCTTAAACCATCCTCCTACTCAGCCTCCCGAGTAGCTGGGAGTACAGGCACCTGCCACCACGCCTGGCTAATTACTGTATTTTTTGTAGAGACTGGGTTTCAACATGTTGGCCAGGCTGGTCTTGGCTTCCCAAAGTGCTATGATTACAGGAATGAGCCACAGCGCCTAGCCTGAGCCATTTTCAAACCCAGTATGTTCAGCCCCTTAATGTGAATCATTAGCTAGGAACTTGCCTTGCTGTATAATCTCATCCATACACAAATTTTACATGACTTTTGACATCTGAAGAAGCTCTTTGGATTAAAACAGAAATAATAAATGAGGACATGTTCTTAGGCTTGTCCCTAAAATAAACTCTTGACTAAACTTTCTTCCTTTACAAAAGAATACAAGACAATGTTTTGGGATTCTCAGAAATGACAAAAGGGACACAATTATCACAGTTTTTAGTTGTGTCATGTTTTTTATGTTGCTCTTGAAGGAGGTTATTTTCGCCCTATAGGGTTTTTACCATGAAAAGTTTTAAATTTACAAAAAGGAGTTGAAATAATATTGCAGTGAACAATATATACACTCCACAATCAACAATTGCTAGTATTTGCCATACTCGCTTTAAATCAATCTTTCTTTCTTGTGTATGGACACACACAGCATGTACATTTCTTTTGCTGAGCTGTTTGAAAATAAGTGACAGATGTGATGACTTTACCATTTAAACACTTCAGCAAGCACTCCTACATGTAAGAGCATTCTACACATCACAAAATTATTATTACTCCTAGGAAAAGTATCAGTAATTTCATTGTGTCTAATAACTGGCTTATGACCCAATTTCTCTAGTTATCCCAAGAATATATTTATGTATTTATTTTTTTGAACTAGAATTCAGTATAGAGTCACTCATTACATGTGACTGTAATGTCTTTAGTCTCTTAATATTTTTATAACATTGACTTTTTAAAGACCATTTGATTCATAGTTTTGTTGCATTTGATCCTCTATGTTCTATAAATTAGAAGGTATGTCTAGAAACTTGATTCAATTCAACTTAAAATATTTTTGGCAAAAGGATTTCGTAGATGTTGCTGGCATTTCATATTGTAATACATTAGACGGCCCAAATATTTTCAATTTTCATTTTAGATTGCTTTTAAGTCGATATTTAAAATCATGTATACATACAAGGCTAATTTTTTGTTTTTTGAGACGGAGTCTCACTCTGTCACCCAGGCTGGAGTGCAGTGGTGCGATTTCGGCTCCCTGCAACCTCTGCCTCCTGGGTTCAAGCGATTCTTGTGCCTCAGCCTCCCAAGTAGCTAGGATTAAAGGTGCGAGCCACCGAACCCAGTTAATTTTTGTATTTTTGGTACAGATGAGGTTTTGCTATGTTGGTCTTGAACTCCTGACCTCAGGTGATACACCTGCCTTAGCCTCTCAAAGTGCTGGGATTACAGGCATGAGCCATCATGCCCGGCAGGCTAATTTTTTTTTTTTTTTTGACAGAGTTTCGCTCTTGTTGTTCAGGCTAAAGTGCAGTGGCACGATCTCGGCTAACTGCAACTTCTGCCTCCTGGGTTCAAATGATTCTCCTGCCTTAGTTTCCCAAGTAACTGGGACTACAGGCACCCACCACCTCACCCTGCTAATTTTTGTATTTTTAGTAGAGATGGGGTTTCACTATGTTGGCCAGGCTAGTCTCGAACTCCTGACCTCAGGTGATCCACCCGCTTCGGCCTCCTAAAGTGCTGGGATTACAGGCATGAGCCACCACGCCTGGCCCCACTAACATTTTTTGATGCTATTTCTAGCACTCAAACCCTAGAATTATTTACAGAAGCATAAAGCAATGCACAATGTTTTATCCTTTTTTATTTAATTTTTTTTTTTTTTTTTTTTTTTGAGACGGAGTCTCGCTCTGTCGCCCAGGCGGGACTGCAGTGGCGCGATCTCGGCTCACTGCAAGCTCCGCCTCCCGGGTTCACGCCATTCTCCTGCCTCAGCCCCCGAGTAGCTGGGACTACAGGCGCCCGCCACCACGCCTGGCTAATTTTTTTGTATTTTTAGTAGAGACGGGGTTTCACCGTGTTAGCCAGATGGTCTCGATCTCCTGACCTCGTGATCCGCACGCCTAGGCCTCCCAAAGTGCTGGGATTACAAGCGTGAGCCACTGCGCCCGGCCTATTTAATTTTTTTGAGACAGGGTCTTGCTCTGTCACCCAGGCTGGAGTGTAGTGGCTCCGTCACAGCTCACTGCAGCCTCAACCTCCTGAGCTCAAGCGATCCTCCCACCTCAGCCTCCCAAGTAGCTGGGACTACAGGTGTGCACCACCACACCCAGCTAATTTTTGTATTTATTGAAAAAGAATTTTTTTTTTTAAATACAGAGACAGGGTCTCGTTATGTTGCCCAGGCTGGTCTTGAACTCCCAGCCTCAAGCAGTCCTCCTGCCTTGACCTCCTAAAGTGCTAGAATTACAGGCATGAGCCATTGCACCTGGCTGCATCTTCATTTCCTATTGCCAGACAATTAAAATATAGCTGTGGATGTAATTTTTGTTAAATCAGTCACATTCACCCAGTAGGTATATGGCAATTTTCTTTTTTATTTATTTTTTCTTGCAGTGCTCTATACATTCAGAGAACCTTCTCTAGTAACAAAGCATAGAAACGATCACTGAAAGTAGTCTTGATGGCAACTTTCTGGAAGGCAGGGACTATATCATCTTCATATTTTTATTAAATGTCCAGCAATGAAAAGGTGCTTAATAAAAATGTGTTTGTCAATTGTTTTGAAAGACACTGTATCTTTTATAAAGTAGACTTAGAGAACAGTCAAGTCTCAGTGTACTCAAGAAAAGTTACTGTGGTCAAATTCATCCATTTTGTGTTAACTCATAATTCTCAGTTTCATGGTGTATATACCAACAATACACCCAAATCCTAGGGAGTCCATCTAGTTAGTTAGTTAGTTTATTTATTTATTTAGAGACAGGGTCTTGCTCTGTCACCCAGGCTGGAGTGTAGTGGTGCAATCATGGCTCACTGTAACCTCCACCACCTCGGTTCAAGCGATCCTCCCTCCTCAGCCTCCCCAGTAGCTGGAACTTGACGTGAGCACCACCACATCCAACTAATTTTTGTATTTTTTGTAGAGATGGGGTTTTGCCATGTTGGCCAGGCTGGTCTCGAACTCCTGAGCTCAAGTGATCCACTCAGCTTGGCCTCCCAAAGTGCTGGGATTACAGGCGTGAACCACTGTGACTGGCCCCGTCCAGTTTAATACTCATGATTTCCTGTGCCCAACTGTAAGTGCCATTTATCTAAGTAGATAAAATATGGAATCATTTTAAAACTGGATATAACATATCACATGGAGCAAGTGATAAATTACTGATAATATTTAGGTTACTGAGTAAAGAAAAAAGGGCCTGTGGTGCCTTATGCCTGTAATCCCAGCATTTTGGGAGGACGAGGGGGGAGGATTCCTTGAGCCAGGGATTTGAGACCAGGCTGGGCAACATAGGGAGATCTACAAAAAAAAAGAAGAAGAAGAAGAAAGGAAGGGTTGGATGGCAGAGGACAGACAGTGGTAATTTGTCACTGTGTCTCCAGTGTGCTCAGAGGTGAGCATTCTTTCAATGCAATATCCATATTCTGGGGCTCCTTACAGATGATGTGGGCTGCAGACCTGATATATCAAGTCTTCACAGTGATATAACTCTTGTTGTCATTGAACCCCTTTTGCTCTGATTATATAGTAGAGAACATTTCATGTGAATTCAGTCTTTCCAAGTTTGAGGGCAATTTTTAAAAAATACACTGGGCCACTTAACACTTTATTCATTGGTATCGATGTATAAGGTTGGTGTTCTGACCTTAAAGTTATCCTTGACTATTCTTCTCGCTCCCATTCAAATCTACCAGGAAATCTTACTGATTCAGCCTTCCAGATAGACCCACTTCTCCTCTTCCCCTGTTAGCACTCTGATCTTTCTTATTACTTTTTGTTACCAGGAGCCTCTTAATTGGTTTTCTTGTTTCTATCATTGTGCCCTTAAGGTCTTTTCTCAACACAGCAGTTAGAATTATCTTCTTAAAAGGTAAGTTAGATTCTGTTACTCTTCTGCTCAGAATCTTCACAGACTTCCCATCTCTCAGTTAAATCTAAAGTCCTTACAAGCCCAGAAGGCTCCATATCTTTTTGACTTCCTCCCCGCCATTCTTCTCTCATACTGCTGCAGCCACTGGGAATGGCAGGAAAACATGTAACATCAAGTTTCTCAACCCAAAAAGCTAATACCTTACACCTATTATAGAAAGATGATGTTTTCCATAAGGCATTGATTTCCTGTGGAATTCTAGACTGAGTAGGCAGCCAACTTGCTATATGTATCATAAAATTAAAAAAGGACCTTATAAAACAATGGTTTCTAAACCACTGGAGATTCAGATCCTGTGAGCCCAGGAATCTAAAATTTTAGAAGTGCCTCAGGTGATTCACATGTACAGCCAGTCTTGGACACCTGAGCTAGAGCATTTTCTTTATATTGTCCTGAGACCTGAAGAGATGAGAACTATGTTAGTGAAGTGAGAGGAAGGTATGTGGCTAATTGGGCTTTTGAAATCAACGAAGAGGTGTGTGGTATGCTTTTTTAACTCATGGTCATGGGTCCTTCCTGCCTCCTAAACCTTTTTTGCTGGGATTTGTGCTTTAGAATCAGCCCAGGAACTTGTTAAATATACAAGAGCTCATGCCCTACCAACGACTTACATAACCTATGTTTAAGTATATCTGGTTTTACAAAACCTCTAGGCCAGAGAAGTGTATCCACACCAGGGATCACTGAGACTAAGTTCAGCTAGAATTTCAGAGAAGGCTGGAATGCGTCAGTCAAGTCAGTAAGGCTAAAATGGTCACGATGATCACACAATTCCCTTCTTCCAGAGGGATGAGCTTTAATAATGCCCTTTTTTTGGACCGCAATGAGAAACCTGAAAACATTTTAGGATTGAAAACCAGAGCGCCCAACGTGGGGCTCGAACCCACGACCCTGAGATTAAGAGTCTCATGCTCTACCGACTGAGCTAGCCGGGCTCACCCGAACGTAGCTCTTCCCCCAATACACTAAGAGAATACATAATTTCTTTGGTATGATTAGGATTCTAGATTTCAATGTCTATGTTGGTTTTATAGGTAAGATGAAATGAAACTCAAAGGACGTAAACGTAACCTGAATCATTAGCATGCATTCCAGTCACTTTCTCTACATTTTCCCTCTTTTCCCCATTCTCACCAATTTGTGTTGATAGGCCGCAAAATGTTTCCAGGACCTAAAAGTCAGTGTCATTGGATGCTTACCAGAGTGACCCCTGCACTGGCACTCCCAAAACTCCAGACCCGGTTACCAATGTGGCTCCAAGCATAGTCCCAAGGACCTTAGGTCCTCGAGCCCAAACAATTTCCTGGACCCTCTCTGTGGCCCAGTGAGGCGTTCCTCTCTTGTTCTCATAACCCATCAATTCTTGCCCCTCCTGCCAAGCTATATGGCCCTCAAGAAAATGTCTGCGGTGTTCTCCCACCTTTGCGGGACCCGTATGTTTGCTCATTTGTTGTCCTTCATAATCAAGGCACACGTAGAAAAGGGGGCAGGGTTGCAATTATATTTTAATATAAAGTATCTGACAACCACTACAATATAGGATGCAGTGATTTTTGTATGTTGTGTTTACCGCCAACCGCAAAAGTAGATTCAGCACAACAGATTAAAAAAAAAAATCTACTTAATGAGTATACCAATGGTACGCTCCAGGAGGAGAGAAAAAATGCTCCTTCTCAGAAGAAAGCAGAACCGTGATCTGTGTGACAGAGTAGTACTTGACGCTGTAGCAACGAGGAAAGTCTAAATAACTCAAAGGTTCCTAACACCTTGACTCTTGATCTTCCCGTTTAAATCCATCCTTTGATGTAATGAATCAATAATAAATAGCATTGAATTAAGATGTGACCATTTTATTTCTAACATATTTCACATGAACACAATCGTGGAGTCGGAACTTCTAGAAGATCCGGAAACGTTTGCCTTTGCAAAAGTCTGTAGAGCGGACTAAAGAGAATCAAAAAAAAAAAAAAAACAAAAAACAAAAACAAAAAAAAACTCCTTAACTAGAGATCGCAACTCACTTGTTGGTTTCTAACGCATATCGATGCCACAATTATCGGCGCTTCTAACTGGCAAGTTTTAACTTATATACTAAGGTTGGGCGAAAGCAGCCAGATTCAGAAGCAAGGGACAAAACTAGGGCTCGTCCGGGATTTGAACCCGGGACCTCTCGCACCCTAAGCGAGAATCATACCCCTAGACCAACGAGCCGCCTGAGCATTTATTATTTTAGATGCGTTAAATATTTACCAAATTTCTTTTTTTTTAAATGTACGTGTAGCTATATGCAACTATAACTGATAATACCTTTAATTAATTTTGTTAAAAAAATTATCAGGTCAATGAGGCTCTCAGAATTTCTCCGAATTTTCCCTCAATCCAATCCTAAGGACTGTTATCTCAAAGGGCTCTTGACACAGCCTTTCTGAGAAACAGCTGTGGCGTTTGTTTAAAACGCAGAAATCTGGGTTCCTTCTCAAATCTGAGTAAAAGTCTCTGGAGGCGAGGCCCAGTAAGTTTCGTTTTTGACAAGCGCTAGAGCTCACCCACAGGTGTGGGGCTAACAAAGCCCACGTGGAGCTCGTGAGTTGCGATCAGCATTTTCCACAGAAAATAGTAAAACACCTGAAAAATCACTCAACAGGCTATACAGCTGTGAGGTCGTAAATAAACAGAGAGCATTAGTTGTACAAGGAACAGGGGATATTTAACATCAAGATGTGGACTGAGCAGTTATTCCCGGCGTTGGCCAACCTGGACCAACAGGTCCAGGTTGCTGATGTGAAAAAGGTAGATTTTGGAAAGGGGCATAGTCCTTTCTTGGGAAATCAAAGTAACAAGAAAATGTTTCTCTCGGAATGGAATTTCTGTCTTGATGTGTGAGTGTTGATCTTCCCAAGTAGGGATCCTTAATTGGGCAATCAGAGATAATGAACACTGCCTTCTCACACTTGCCCCACATTTCATTATCTGAAGATTTATCTGTTTTCAGACTATTTCAAGGACAGTGTTGGGGCACTAAACAAATTGGTGGCACTGTTTTGCCCTCTATTGAATTTAAATCTAACTCCTAAACTATCCTACTGCTTTTCTGCTTCTCATGAGCAAACATTTTGAGCACCATGACTTAAGAAAACAGGACCTCTGGACTTGCTACAAAGGTTTGGACTTCTGGCAAAGTGTTAGTTATAAAGGTTAGCACAGTCTTTCTTGTAGTAACAGTCCTCAGACAATTGATTTTTCCTTGTCTTTGGCCGTAAGTTACGTGATGGAAGAAAACAAAGTTGGCCCGTACGGGGATCGAACCCGCGACCTTGGCGTTATTAGCACCACGCTCTAACCAACTGAGCTAACCGGCCACCTGTCTCCAAGAAGTTTTAAAAACTGCATCAAGAATTTCATCAGTGTTTCGGAATGTTTTCATTTTTGTTATTCCCCTACGGGAGACCGGTGCACTAGAGCAGCCAAATTCGCCCGTGCTGAGCTGAGATTCATCCTTCTTTCGATATTTGTCCTATTTTTATCATCCTATGACTCACAGGACTAACAATAGCCCGTCTTCCCTCCCCTTTCCATGTTCTCAAGCCAAGATTATTTCTGCCCTAAAGGCAAACCATATACCACAAATAGGGCTCATTAATGGGTTCCGGGCAACTTTCCAGGTTGCTCCTCTTCTGTCATCTCCCCATTGGGCATGTTTTTCTGTGTTCTCAATTCCATTTGTTTCACATAGATAGTTCAAAATACTTCAAAGCAATCTTGTTCCCCGTGCTCCATATACAATTCTACATACAGTGGCTAAAAGAAAGCCATAAAAAGTTAAAGAAGTGGAGGATACAAAACACAATTATTTCACATTTTGAAATATAGTTTCTAATAGTATTGGGCAGATAGGATAAAACAACTTGGAGATGCCGGGGATCGAACCCGGGACCTCATACATGCGAAGCATGCGCTCTACCACTGAGCTACATCCCCTACCCTAAGAAACCGTTCTTTGTAGCTCTCCCTAGTTGTTTGTGAAAGATTTCTGCTACCACCCCACCGCCCCGCCGTCTCCGTCCTCCCATATCTGTCCCCGTCCCCATCTCTGTCCCCAAAATTCTAAGATTTGCGGACTGCTGAAACTAAATTCTCTTTTATTTGTCGAACAAAATCCTGAAATGGTTAATGGGGCAGCATCCATCAGTTTTCAAAGTGTGGAAAACCTTCCAGCCATCAGACATGCTTGTCAAATACTTAACCTACTGACCCAGGGATAGAACTATTGACAACTACCTGGAAATCTGACAAGAAAAAGGAGAGTGAGGACGCTTCTTCACAAACTTCTTTAATTTATTTTTCCTTTTTTAAGGAAAACCAAGGCAGGTGAAACCAAGAACTGCTAAATCAGTTTTCTCTATCTTTCGTCTCACAACAGCTTCCCTAAGTCCGTCGCCGAAAAGGTGATTCAATTACTCCCCTTTATGTGCACCAGCGTCAGATCAGGTTACTTTTGAAAATGTTTTGTTTGGGCCCAAGTTTAGAGAGAGGATTTGAGATATTTATCTGGGAAGCCTAGGAACTGAAGGCGAGCATTCTGTTAGTCCTTGACTGGACTGGATTATATGAATACATATATATGCGTGTAGAAAGATAGGTAGATGGGTAGGTGGGTAGATAGATAGATAGATGATAGATAGATAGATAGATAGATAGATAGATAGATAGATAGAATTTTGGGGGGATGTTAGTATGGATTTGTAATATGGTTAGACCTCGGTCTTAAAACGGACCCTCGTTATGGCTGAGCTTCTGTGCTGTTATTAGCAAGAATTTCTAAATTACCAGGTCCTTATTAAAATCGCAGCTGAACCTTCTAAAATCACCTTCTAGGTCAGATACATAGATTAATAAACCAGGGTTGATGCAGTTTGGACATTTTGTATGAAGCTTGGTAGCTCAGTCAGTATGGCCATGGACTTTTAATCTGAGGAACCAGGTTTCAAGTCCCTGTTCAGGTGTCGCTGTATTTCTCCTTTTTTATTTCCATTTCTTCATTTTTAACCCAATACGTACAGTATTCTTTCCTTATCAGCAGGAGATATGTTCCAAGACACACAGTGAATGCCTGAAACCTCGGATAGTACCATAGTATACTATGTTTTTTCGATCTGATAACCAGGATGAATACTAAGTGACTAAGATGTGGGGAGCGCATACCGCGTGGATAGTCTGGACAAAGGGATGATCCTCGGGCGGGTGGGAGATTTCATGACGCTACTGAGAAAGGGGAGTTATTTGAAACTTATGAATTTTTTATTTCTGGAATTTTCATTTAATATTTTTGGACCACGGTTGAAGGGGGTAACTGAGACAGCGGAAGGGAAACTATGGACAAGGCGGGAGAGGTTACTGCAGTTAGAGAGAGGAAGGTTAAGGTCAAGTCACGGGCTGATATCCCCGAATAAATGAAGGACTCTTGAGCTGACCATAGGTCTCATAACCTAGGAGCTGTTTAGAAAATAGATGGGCCTTTTGGAAAGGGAGCCACAGCGCACAAAGCTTTTCATCTGCAATAGGAGTAAAAGTTGCAATAACAATGGCTACAAGTTGTTAAAGGTTAAACTCTTTCTTGAAAAGCAACAAAAATGCACAGGCTCCCTCTTTTCTCTATTAGCGTGCTCCTTTCTGATCCCCTGCTTTCCTGATCCATGGGGTTGCCCAGGTAAACAGACGTGGTTCTTCACCCAGAACTTGGGCCTAGTGGCAGTAGCTTTCATTTTTTTGGTGGTGACCTACAATTTAGTTTAGTTTACATCGTAATTCAGTCATACATATGTAACAGAAACAAAAGTTGCATGAACTATTCCTTACTCTTAACACACACACTGCATTCTGATTATTTCTGATTCTAGTCTATTCTAACTGAAATTTAACATATCTTTCACTTACTAATACAGGTAACAAACCACAATTGAAAGAGAAGTAACTACGACTCTGTCATCAAGAAAAATCACATATTTTTGGCCGGGGGTGGTGGCTCATGCCTGTAATTCCAGCACTTTGGGAGGCCGAGGCGGGCGGATCACCAGGTCAGGAGATCAAGACCATCCTGGCTAATACGGTGAAACCCCGTCTCTACTAAAAATACAAAAACAAAATTGGTGGCGGGCACCTGTAGTCCCAGCTACTCGGGAGGCTGAGGCAGGAGAATGGCGTGAACCCGGGAGGCGGAGCTTGCAGTGAGCAGAGACCACGCCACTGCACTCCAGCCTAGGCGACAGAGGGAGACTCTGTCTAAAAAAAAAGAAAAGAAAAATCACATATTTTTGTATCACAATACAGTTGTTACAAATACCCAAGACAACTGTTTGAAAATTACAGCAGTCATAAGACGGGTCTTGATGTTTAATATTTAATGCATTAATGAGAAGCACACATTACTCTATGAAATTATTTTAATCGTTTGAAAACTGTTTTGTAGTACAATTGGCTTTCTTTAAAATCCTGTGTATTTTTTAAAAGCTTTTAAAAATACAATTTTGAAAAGGGCTCCATGGGCTTCATGCTGGGGCCAGAGGGCTCCCTGGGAGCTAAAAGATGAAGAAGCCGCGGAAATTCGCCATCTGGGAGGAGACCACCGTCGGGTGCCCGCCATCCCCTTCCGCCGGAACTCCACTAAAGAGGACTAGGTGTTAGCGCTGGCGCGGGAGGCCGGAGCAAGGTCTTTAAAGGTCTAAGGTGAAATTCCGGGTGGGAGCTCAGTCAAGCCTCCCCTACCCAACTGGGAATCAGTGCGCCAACCGGAGCACGCCCCCCAGGCGACACCGAGAGGCGCGGAACTCCCAAGCCTAGAGGGCGTCGGAAGTGCATCCCAGAGCGGAGCAGCCAGAGGGGCGGGGCGTCGCGGCGCTGGGGCCGCGCCCTCGGGTATCCAGAGTACGGCTCTTCCAGGCCATGTTGATGACCCAGGGTGGAAGCCATTGGAGAGTTTTGAGAGAAGAAGGAGGTATTTTTTTTTTTTTTTTTTGAGACGGAGTTCTCACTCTATCTCCCAGGCTGGAGTGCAGTGGCACGATCACGGCTCACCGCAACCGAGGGAGGTACATTTTAGCGGGATTTCTGTGAGAGGCATTCGAACCAGAGCGACTCCATTTTGAGTGAGGGCTAGGAAAACGAGGCCGGGACTTTTGCTGGGCTGCATTCCCAGAAAGTCAGGCATTCCTAGCCTCTAGATGTTTATGGTTAAGGGAACAAATTAATAATGTTTACTAAACAGACCCAGACTTGGGAGTGTCTAGATGTCCCCATATCTGGAGAACAAAGGCATTCCAAATTTTGCTTTAAAGATAATAATATCGATTCTTACAAAATATAATAAGAAAATTAATCCTTTATCACAGACCCTTGTAGCAGAGCACATCTCCCCATACTTACAGGTATGTATCTAGGGTGGACACTTTCCTCCGCGTTTCAGGAACACCCTACTCTGTCTATGGAGTAGCTGTACTTTCACTACTTAACTTTCTTAATAAACCTGCTTTTACTTTGCACTGCGGACTCGCCCTGAATTCTTTCTTGCGGGAGAGCCAAGAACCCTCCCTTGGGGTCTGGATCGGGACCCTTTTTCTGTAACACAACAACTATTGAGAAAAGAAGGTAGTGGTGCAAGAACAGATACAGAAAAATAAGTTTCCCTCCCTCTTCTTTCCAACTCTTCCATGCTCAGTGCCTCAGATGTGAGGGTCAGAAATTTGGTTATTAAAAACTCTAGGCCGGGCGTGGTGGCTCACGCCTGTAATCCCAGCACTTTGGGAGGCCGAGGCGGGTGGATCACGAGGTCAGGAGTTCGAGACCAGCCTGGCAAAAATGGTGAAACCCTGTCTCGACTAAAACAAATACAAAAGATTAGCCAGACATGGTGGCAGGCGCCTGTAATTCCAGCCACTCGGCAGGGTGAGACAAGAGAATCACTTGAACCCGGGAGGCGGAGGTTGCAGTGAGCTGAGATCGCGCTAATGCACTCCAGCCTGGGCGACAAGAGTGAAACTCCGTCTCAAAAAAACAAACAAGCAAACAAAAAAACCTCTAGATCACCCAGGCTGATATATGTCTAAATTTATGTTTGTCTAAATGTAAAGTTAAATGAGAACAATACTACTCAGCTCATAGGGTTTTCGAAATAAAATTTTTCATGTAAATCACTGGGCACACAGTTTGGCAACAACACTTAATAATTCTCTTTTATTATAGTCAGAAACCTGATATAATTTGGTTATTCATCTTAATTTTTTGATCCAACAATAATTTATTGAACATCTACTATGCACCTAAGATGACAGCAAGAGGGGTGAAAAAGAATAAAAGTAAACAACTACTATGCACATCTATATGCACTATCCATATTCTCTTAACATCTTCGTAAATGTTATTATTCTTACTGGAAGCCTTTTCCCCACTCCTTGCTTGACCAGCTCCTTTCTGTTTTCATTTTGCTGGTCATATGTCAACATACTCCAGGAAGTCCTCCCTAAGGCACCTTCATGCCCTGGCATCAGGGTTTGGGTCTCTTGCTGTGTTATAACAGAGAGCACACTACTGTATGGTGACCTATCTCTCTATCCCATTCAACTTTTTTTTTTTTTTTTTTTTTTTTTGAGATGGAGTTTCACTCTGTCGCCCAGGCTGGAGTGCAGTGGCGCCATCTCGGCTCTCTGCAACCTCCGCCTCCCCGGTTCAAGCGATTCTCCTGCCTCAGCCTCTTGAGTAGCTGGGACTGCAGGGATGCGCCACCACGCCTGGCTAATATTTTGGTATTTTTAGTAGGAGACAGGGTTTCACTATGTTGGTCAGGCTGGTCTCAAACTCTTGACCTCAAATGATCTGCCCGCCTTGGCCTCCCAAAGTGCTGGGATTACAGGTGTGAGCCACTGCACCAGGCTCTCATTCAACTTTGAGCTGAGAACAGGGAATATTTCTTTTATCTTTGATCCTAATCTGTTGTCAGGCATAAAGTGCAGATAAATGTTTGCTGTTTATCAAATAAAATGGATTGGGAATAGTTGAGCAGATGAAGGATGGTAATACGGCATGACAAAGTAGAAATGCCAGCAATTCACTATTACAATGGAAAAAAATGCTATTATGTAATTCCAGTTTTACTATATATGCTACTTACTGGTTTTAGTAAGGGCTCCATATGGAGTGGCCTGGGTCTCAGTTTTGTGGAGTAATCGAATTGTCTTTTTTCCTTGTTTTTCAGTGGCGATGTAAGATTCTGGGAAATATGAATCTTTTTTTCAAATCTTCAACAGAGCTTTATGCATCAATATGCTAATGAGGTAAATTGCACTACTAGTCATTTCCATAAAGTATCTCTAATTCTTTTCAAAACCTTGCAAAATAGATAATAGTTCTTGCTTTGTTACTGAGGAGATTGTGGCTCAGAAAGGCTAAGCAATCATCCAAGCTTGGCATTATTTACTGCCAACTCTCTCAGACCTCTTCACCGTTCCATACCATGTCCAAATCATCAACATGTTTTGCCTAGATTGCTGTGACAGCTTAGTCTATTGCTCATGCAGCAGCCATACTCACACACACACATATATAAAACACCTTAGATTGTGCCATTTCTTTGCTCGAAACTCTAATGGCACCAGGCATGGTGGCTGATGCCTGTAATCCCAGCACTTTGGGAGGCCGAGGCGGGCTGATCACTTGAGGCCAGGAGGTTGAGATCAGCCTGGCCAATATGGCAAAACCCCGTCTCTTCTAAAAATGCAAAATAATAATAATAATAAAATTAGCCGGGCCTGGTGGTAGGTGCCTGTAATACCAGCTACTCGGGAGGCTGAGGCAGGAGAATCGGGGGCGGAGGTTGCAGTGAGCAGAGATTGCGCCACTGCACTCTAGCCTGGGTAACAGAGTGAGACTCCATTTCAAAAAAAAATGCAGAGACACGGCCGGGCGTGGTGGCGCACGACTGTAATCCCAGCACTTTGAGAGGCTGAGGCGGGTGGATCACCTGAGGTCAGGAGTTCGAGACCAGCATGGCCAACATGGTGAAACTCCGTCTCTACTAAAAATACAAACATTGGCCGGGTGTGGTGGCGCGCGCCTGTAGTCCCAGGTACTCGGAGGCTGAGGCAGAAGAATCGTTTGAACCCGGGAGGTGGAAGTTGCAGTGAGCCAAGATCACACCACTGCACTCCAGTCTGGAAGACAGAGTGAGACTCTGTCTGGGAAAAAAAAAAAAAAAAAAAAAAAGCAGACACCAACACCTAGACTACGCTGACCATTTGAAAAAGAAATTACAGGTATAATAAGGACTAAGAAGAAACAAAATTGTTTGTATACACAGAATATATGGTTGTCTATGTAAAAAAAACAAACAAACCCACAAGAATATGCAGATACAAGAATGAGAGGTAGCAAGGCTGCTGGATACAAAAATCGAAATCAACATTAGCTAAAAACAGAAAATGTGGTAACTAAAAATATACCATACGAAGTAGTGTTAAAAAGCATAAAGTCCCTAGGAAATATTAACAAGAAGACCTTTATGGAGAAAATTATAAACTTTATTGAAAGATATTTCAAAGGCCTAAGTAAATGAAGAGCTGTACCATATTCATGTATTGGAAGACAACATTGTAAAGATGACATGGTTTACCAGATTAATCTATAAATTCAATACAAATCCAATCAAAATTTCAATGCTCTTGGGTTTGTTTGATTTATAAATTGTTGGTCTAATTCTAGAAGTAATATGGAGGAACAGTTGGCTAAGAATAGCCAAGACACTCCAAGGAAGAACAATTTTGTGGTGATACTGGAGACAGAGGTGAAATTGGTTACAATTATGACAAAATGTGGAGGCATCTTGGTTTTTATCAGACCTTTTCCTAAAGTTGCAATAATCAGGACTGTACTGTACTGCTACAAGATTAGACAAATTGATGTCAGTCAGAATAGAAACCATCAAAAGACCCACACACATACACAAAAATTTAATTTATGAAAGAGGCAGTGTTACAAATCACTGGGGAAAGGATGAACTTTTCAGTAAATAGTGCAGAGACAACCACTTCGAATATGAAAAATGTTAAGTTGAATTTCTAACTCATAATTTTCACAAAAATCAGTTCAGGACAGACTAAAGACAAATGTGAAAGGCAAAACTATAAAATTTCCACAAGGCAGTAAAGAATATATTTATGACTTTGGGTAGGAAAGGATCTCCCCCCAAACCAATTTGTATTCAGCTTTATATGATACTTTTTAAAAACATTTACTTTCAGCAGGAAATAGGCAACAATCTATAACATTTTACAATTTCCAAACTCCCCTCCTCCAAAAGTCACCGTAAAAGTTAACAAGATATGTCGTTGCTGTTTTGAACAAGAAAGATTTTCAGAGAGGGTGGACACTTCACATGAGGCATGTATGAGCTTTTCTCAGGCCCACTTTGACATGGAGGGACTAAAGTAAAACCAGCAGGATGAATCCACAAACTGAAAACAGGAATCTTGGCTCTTTTAAGTGACACCATCTCGATGTCATCAACAGAAAGCCTGAGTTTTGTTACCTAACACAGCTGATTTTAGGGTTGCCAAGGCCACATCAAAACTCTCGGTTTAAGGAAGTCAAGTCTATGCTGATGGCATCGGGGAAAGGGGAGACACGAAGTTTTGGTTCCCCACACTGTAAGGCTTCCGTGCCAAAGTGGCTGACACGTGAATGTCAGAGAATCTCTCCTGGGAATCAAGGGAATCAAGAACAATCTTCAAAAACCAGGACAGAAAATCCTATTTTCCCTTATTTCAATTCAGTTTCTGAGATACACCCTATTAGTGGTACTTGCCCTTTCCACAAAAGACAACAAGGAAGTGTCCTGTGTGCTAACAACATAACTTAAAAAAGCCAAAATTCTACACTTTTATAAAACTTGATTTAAAAAAATAGTATTTCAAACAGTAGAGTCACTATAAGTACAGAGCTCTCAAAAATGTACATTTCACTTGGCATCCCCAGTGCCTTCCGCTTTCTGGGACTGGAGTGTAGAGGCATCTCGGTTTTTTGCAGGGTTGTTCCCATCCTTTCCAGCATCTGCTTTCCCCTTTCTCCCTTTGGGAAGCTTCTCTCCCTTCTTTGCAGAGGCCTTTTTAGGCCTGGGCTCTGGTTTTGGAGGAGCTGGTTTAGCAGACAACCGAGCTGATCTCCTCTGTGGCTCATCCTTCACCTTTGCTTTATCACCTTTAGCATCTCCTTTTGCCTTTCTCTTGGGCATGGTAGCAGCAGTGTTCGCAGGTGGCTTGAGCAGTCCTGTTGGGTGCTTCTGTCCTCCTCACGCTGTTCCTGGAAAGATGTCTTTAACAAGACACAAAAAGCGTAAACCATAAAGGGAAAGACTGACGAATGTAAACGTTAAAAATCAAATTGACTATATTGTTAATAATTCGTGTATATCAAAAAAGATAGCATAATAAAAGTAAAACAATAAGTACCAGCTTGGCAAAGATATATGTAAAATATATAATGGACAAAATGTTAGAATCCTGAATACATAAAGCATTCCTATAGATCCATGAGGAAAGGACAAAATGAAAATTTTAAAACTATGGCAAAAAATGTTAACAGGTACTTCTTGGAAGCATGAGTGAGGAATAAGCACCTAAAAATATATAAGAAGTACATATTAAAAGCATAGGATATAACATTTCATATCTATCAAACTGAGGAAAACCAAGTTGTCTGACAATATCAAGGGCTCAGCTGATATGGAGCAATCAAAACCCTTATGTACTGCTGTGTGTGTGTGCCAATTAGTGTATTTGCTTTTGGAAACAGTGGTTATTTGTAAAGCACTCTGCAAACAGTGGTATTGTGTAAAGCAATTTTACTTCTAGGTGTTTACTTAGAGGGATTCTTGGAGGTGTGGACAGGAGATCTCCACAAGAATGTTTCTAGCAACACTGTAATTTCAAAAACCTGTAAATCACCCAAATGTCCTTCAATAGTAGAAGGGATGCATATATTTTGGTAGTATGTATAAAAGGGAATACCATTCAGCAGCAGAAACAAATAGATTACAGGTAGGTTCAAAAACGAGGATGAATCTCAAGAATATAATGCCGAAGAAAAATAGCAAGTTGCAGAAGAATATGTACACTATAGATCCATTTACACATGTAAAACTATGACATGTTGAGGCCACAAACATATAGTAAAACTTAAAAAAAAAGGGATAAATAAAAATTGGACAGTGGTCATCTCTTGGGAGTTGGGAAAGGGATGTAGTTGGAGAAGGCATGGAGGTTAGTCCAGAGATGGGGGAGGTTGCATTCTCTTCTTTAAACTGTAGGGGAAGCACATGGCTGGAGTATTACCTATGTCTTACACAGAAAAATTGTATGTGTCTGCTCAAGAATTAATAAAAGTACTAAAAAATGTGGGTAGCCCAGAGCACAGATTGAGAGCCACACAGGTAGGAAATGGAAAATAGTTTGAGTTTGAGTAATTAGGACTTAGGCCTAGGGCTGGCATTCATGGGCACTGTGTGACTTTTTTAAAGCTTTTGTCTATCATACCTTCTGCCCCACCCTTGAAAACATTTACTGGGAAATTCTGTAACCTTGTGAGTGGCCACCATTCTACAATGTTATTATTATTTTTTTAATCTTGTCTCCAAATTGCTCCAGTTTTTTTTTTTTTTTTTTTTTTTTTTTGAGATAGAGTCTCAGAGTCTCGTTCTGTCACCCAGGCTGGAGTGCAGTGGTGCGATCTCGGCTCACTGCAACCTCTGCCTCCCGGGTTCAAGCAATTCTCCTGCCTCAGCCTCCTGGGTAGCTGGGATTACAGGCGCACGCCACCATACCCAGCCAATTTTTGTATTTTTACTAGAGACAGGGTTTCACCGTGTTGGCCAGGCTAGTCTCGAACTCCTGACATCAGGTGATCCACCTGAGAATTGCTTGAACCTGGGAGGCGGAGGTTGCAGTGAGCCGAGATTGTGCCACTGCACTCCAGCCTGGGGGACAGAGTGAGACTCTGCTTCAAAAAAAAAAAAAAAAAAGGTAATGGTGCCACTGAGACATACAGTTCTACTGATCTAACTACACCTGACCTGCTCTCTTCTGAAGAAATCCTTGCCTAGACATTACATGAATTTATTGCTAATTTTTGTCTTTTTCCCTTTATTTCAAATGCAACATTAAGGAATCATTTTAACAATTTTTAGGAAACAAAAGGAGTTACTCTTACAATGAAGGAACCAGTGAAAATCACTTGGTCTAATGGTAGGGTGACTTGATTTATACCTGTTGCCCTAGTATAATTATTCATAATGTTCCCTTTTACTTTGAAAGGTGACCTAACTTGGGCAATGAATAATAAGGTTACCCCAAATATTCTGCATATATTTTTAGAGGCCTTTATGTTATCAGAGAATGAGAGTGTTTAACCAAAAAGTGAGATTTTGGCCTAGCACACATTTCCCTAAGAATAGATACTCCATACCATTCTCCTTCCATCTCACTCCAAAATTGTTTCTCAGCCCATTTCCTGGTGTGAGAATGCTCACACAGTCTCTTTTCCTGGGTTCAGTCTTCTTCGAGTTAGATCCATTGAAGTCCATCCGAAGTAGGGGGGCCATGATCTCCACATGTCAAAGGCCAAAATACAGCAGGTGACAAAATAAAATCAGGAAAAATAGGCCACTGCCTGGATGCTGTATCTGAGTATATAAATACGGATTTAATTCTTGAAACTCACCTTTAGGAAGCTGATTAGGAGACCAGGTCACTGACTCTCTAGAGACCTTACAAATGTGGGAGACAGATACACACATAATGAAAAGGGACCAGAGAGATGGGTAAAAGCTCTTACCATTTCCATAAAGGACAAGGAGGTTGGAAAAGGAAGGAGCTCTCACCACACAGTGGTTTTAACTCAGAAGAAATTATTTGAGGTGGCGCAGAAGAGATTTTTAGGTAAATGAAACTCTTTTGTATGCTACTGTAATGGCATATATTATAAAATGGTAGATGTTATGCACTTGACAAAACCCACAGAACTTCATACAGTGAGTGAACCCTGATGTAAACTATATATTTTAGTTAATAATAAGCTATCAATATTAGTTCATCATTTGTAACAAATGTACCACACCAGTGTAAGTTGTTAATAACTTAGGAGAAACTGAGGTGGGGGAAAGGAAGTATGTGGGAACTCTGTATCTTCTGCTCAATTTTCTGTAAACCAAAAATTGCTCTGAAAAAAGGAAGTCTATTAATGTAAAAAAAAAATACGCATTTTAAGAGTTCAAAAAAATAATGTTAATGATAAAATATAAAAGTCATTACAAATACTCCTTCATGCATGTGGAAGAAAAGAAAAATTATTAACTGGCAGATAAATCTTACTAGTAATTGTACAACTTTTGGAAACATAGAGAAATGACTTTCAATGGTATCATCAGGGCAAGAAATTATCAAGACAGATACTGAAGTTATTTTCCCAAGACATGGCAACAATTTTAAAAGTTTTAGAAATATAACAGTTCCCCTTTGTTAAAATAACTCTTCCAATAACATTATATTACAAACAACAGAGCAAGTTAGTGAAAGTTTTGAATCACTCGTCTTCATTGCACAGAACTGGACTGAAATTCTCATGAAAGCTCTCAATTTAACTCCTCATTTAACCAGATTGCTGTAGGGGAGAAGAAACATCTGCTTCATCCTTCTTCCAATCCTTTTGTTAGCATGAAGACTTGCATTTTTATCATTAGAAGAAGATCATGATGTTTAAATTAACTGGCAAAAATAGCTTTAAAAAAAAAACTAATAGTGAAATAAAAAGCAAAATAGGGTATTATGGGTGGGCCCTAATTCAATATTACTGGTGTACTTATAGGAAGAGGAGATTAGGATACAGACAACATAGAGGAACACATCTAAGGATGTAGTGGGAGGTGGCCATCTGCAAGCCAAGGAGAGGCCTCAGAAGAAACCAAACCTGCCGACATCTTGATCTTGGACTTCTATCCTCCAGAAGTCAAAGAAAATTAATTTTTGTTGTTTAAGTCACTCAGCCTGTGGTACCTTGTTTCGGCAGCCCTAGCGGACTAACATAGGAGGGAACAGTGTAAGAATTTAGTGACTCAGGCAGGGCGTGGTGGCTCACGCCTGTAATCCCAGAACTTTGGGAGGCCAAGGTGGTCAGAAGTTCGAGACCAGCCTGGCCAACATGGTGAAACCCTATCTCTACTAAAAATACAAAATTAGCCATGGGTGGTGGTGCGTGCCTGTAATCCCAGCTACTAAGGATGCTGAGGCAGGAGAATTGCTTGAACCCGGGAGGCAGAGGTTGCAGTGAGCCGAGATTGCGCCACTGCACTCCAGCCTGGGCAATAGAGTGAGATTCTGTTTCAAAAAAAAAGGAATGTAATGACTAGGGAAACATCTTGGATTAGATTAATTTGGGGGTCTCACCCAGCTCTCAAAATATATTTTTCCATGTTTTTTCTCTTTCATAGCAAGCAAATCCATGGACCAAAATGCCACCTCATTCAATACTCATTTTCACCTCATCCCTAGCAAACACAAGGCACATTTTAGCAGCATCTTTTTGATCACTCGATGGATACGGAACTGGGTTTCTGGGAGGTAGTTCTAACTTGGGTTTTAGCCTCAATCCCACCCCGAAATCAGAAGGTTCCCCTCTCCCTCCCTGCCTCTTACTTAAGGAGAGATCGTGTTTGGGGGTTGGAGGGAAGATCTGGAAGAAAGTTAAGAACACCAAGCTTAGGAAGGAGAGAATAAAGGATATAATTAAAATACAATAAAAAATGCACAGGCAAATGCTGGGCGTGGTGGCTCACGCCTGTAATCCCAGCACTTTGGGAGGTGGAGGCAGGTGGATCACTTGAGGTCAGGAGTTCAAGACCAGCCTGGCCAACATGGTGAAACCCATTTCTACTAAAAATACAAAAATTAGCTGGGTGTGGTGGCATATGCCTATAGTCCCAACTACTTGGGAAGCTGAGGCAGGAGAATCACTTGAGCCTGGGAGGCGGAGGTTGCAGTGAGCCAAGATTGTGCCACTGCACTCCAGCCTGGGTGACAGAGCAAGACCCGGTCTCAAAAAAAAAAGAAAAAAAAAAAAAGATTCACAGGCAAGATGCAGTGTGCTACAGAAGCAAGAGGTCACATGGTGTCAGTCACTCTCCAGGGCGTTTGTTCTTCATCTTCCAAAGTATTAGAGACGCAGCATGAGTTTCCACGGAGGTTAAGTGAGAGAGACTGGGAGATGCAGGGGTAGAAAGGAAAGATGAGAAAACGCAGGGTGTCTAAAAGGGTAGGTTTGCTGCTGCAGCTTGCCAGAATGCATCTGCTTTAAAGAGAAGGAGTGAGCCATAAGCTCCCAAACAGTCACCCATCTGTAAAGGTTGGTTAGGGGCACACTCACCTTCCAGGCTAAAGTATTCCTGCTAACTGGGATCGGAGAAAGATGAAGAGGATAAATCCTTGTCATCTCCTAGGACCCTGGAACCTTTGCCCCCTTTCTGGGCACCATAATAACTTGCTTATATTTCTGAGTAGTACAGAGGGGATTTTAAATGAAAATGTATTAGACAGGTTGCTGTTGAGCACATGCCCAAGTTTATTGTCTTGCTAACCAAGATATTATCTTGCTAGCCAAGGTGTTGTCTTGTTAAGGGAACCAGCAAGATGACAAAAGAATGGACCTTTCAAGTCAACGTCTACCCAAGCAGCCTGTTTAAGAAAATGATAAAAAGAAAACAGCTCATTAACATTGTCCTTTTCTTTCTTTTCTTTTCTTTTTTTTTTTTTTTTTTTAATTTTGCGGACCCACCAAAGAATGCAGCCCTTCTTTTCTCATGGTCATAAAAATATCACATTCGGTTGGGCGCGGTGGCTCATGCCTGTAATCTCAGCACTTTGGGAGGCCGAGGCGGGCGGATCACTTGAGGTCAGGAGTTTGAGACCAGCCTGGCCAATATGGTGAAACTCCGTCTCCAACTAAAAATACAAAAATTATCCGGGTGTAGTGTTACACACCTGTAGTCCCAGCTGCTCGGGAGCCTGAGGCACAAGAATCGAGGTGGAGGTTGCAGTGAGCGAGATCGCACCATTGCACCCCAGCCTGGACAACAGAGTGAGACTCCGTCTCAAAAACAAACAAACAAAAACAAACACATCACATTCTTATTAGTCATTTGAGGGAACCTGGAGCAATATGATCTGAGAGGCTAGGCTTGGCTAATCCCTAGAAAAAGTAGTAATACATCTAAGAAAGAAATCCCTCTTAGGGAACACCCGAGGCTGCCAGGTGACACAACAAAACTTTCTCATAAAAGCGTTTGATTAATCCGATTAACTTGTAAGCAAGCCATGTGGCAGAGGTAAGAGGCCAAACACCAAGGCACCAGTCCTGATTCTAAACAAGTGCTGGTCCATTTCTTAACTTTGGGATCCATTTTTTCTTTGTGATGGAATAGCAAAAGGTCAAAGTGGAGGAGGACTCAGCCCTTGGGTGTCTCCTCAACGAGGGTTTCTCGAAGGTAAATTGGGGAGGAAGGGAGAGCCCACGGCAGGTCAGTCCAACCTGCCAGTCACCACCTCTTTAAGGCCACAGCCCTGCGGGAGCAATCCTTTCAAATCCCCTTCCTTCCTTCTTTTAGAACGCCCCTAGAACGCCGATTAGGACTTCTCATCCCGGTCGGGCCTGCGGCTCTCTGTGACCCCACCTCTGGATTCAGCTTTTCCCAGGGATTCACACTCGGAGCTCAGGAGAGATGCTGCGATTACTCTGGAGACGGGAAGACAGGCGGGGCTGACGGGGCCCAAGGCCCCTAATCATGACCGGGGCCAGCTGGCAGGAGGGTCCTAAGTATACGGAGGGCGGCGGGACCCCCCCCACCACGCCCCTCATTTTCCGGGGTAGCGCACAAAGTCTGTGAGGCACTTACCCGAGTCTCGTGGCCGTCCGAGGGGCGCGGGAATCCCAGCTGAGGCCCGTGACGCGCCGGAGCCCTAGGCGTGGGCAGGGCCAGCACCAGCCCTAAGACAGAGAAGACGAGCGGAGCCCGGCTCCGCCAGGAACAGGAAGGCGAGGGAAGGTGAGGATGCGCTTCCGGGGCTGCAGGCGGGGAGCCGCCCCGAGTCCAAGCCGGAGAGAGCTGGTTCTCCCCCTGGCGATACGTGTGTGAGCCTCTGAGGCCCGCCCTAAGCACTGCTGCCCCGATCTAGCAAGACAAGAAGACAGGAAATTTATGACAGCCTGAAAAAGTCTTTAAAAGATACACACTGGAAGAATTTCGTAGTAAGATGAGGAAAAAAAAACGTGTTTCCGCCCGGTTTCGAACCGGGGACCTTTCGCGTGTGAGGCGAACGTGATAACCACTACACTACGGAAACCCACTAAGGGCTTATTTTTCAGAGTAAATAGTTCTTCCTGCCTAGTTCCGTGTTTCTTCGTTCCAAGTGCGTGTTTTGCTGATGTGCGCGTGCGTCTCTGTACCGACCTCTCAAACCAGAAAAACCAATGAAAAGCTCAGACCCAGCCCCTCCAGTGTTCAAACTGAAGCCATAGAATTTATTCTACAAATGACTGAATAGGGAAGAACACAATAGAGACTTTAATTTAATCTCTGAACGGTCCTTCGTTCTTCGGCCAAAATGGCCAGGCAAGGCTGGGCACAACTTGGGTAGGGCGAGCGTTTCTCTGGCGTAGTTGGCGTTACCACGTGGTCAGTGGCAGAATGCTCCGCAAAGAAATGATAACCCCATATGTTGTCGGGAGCTGCCCCTCTTGCTTCTGAGTCTTCCAGGCAAATTTATCTTGCAGGAATTTCCTTACTCCTGCGGAGTCAGAAAGTTGTAAAACGACCCTGCTTACACCGAGCCAGCCAGGAGTCGAACCTGGAATCTTCTGATCCGTAGTCAGACGCGTTATCCATTGCGCCACTGGCCCTGCGCGTACCTTAGGGGCGAGGTATTTCATAAGAAACTAGGTTGTACCCGTAATATCTGGGTGAACGCCTGTAAGCCGCGTTTGCCCGCTGGTCCAGGCTCGCAGCGCATGGACTCTCTGGTAGCTACTTCTGCACACGCCCCGTGGCCTTCATTCCTTTCTCGGTCTGTCTCTGCCGGCTGAAAAATGGCGGTGAAAAGCAAGCCCTGCATCCTCTCTGCCCCAATATCACCGCTCCATTAATGCGTTCGTTCATTCAACCAGTATTAGTGTTCAAGGCACTGCAGATAACGGTGAAGAAAACATGAGAGACCCTTGCCCTCAAGATTACATGGCAGTGGCGGAAGCGGATAATAAAGCATTAAATAAACAAAATAATAGTGATAAGCGATTGGAGAAAAATAATAATAAAACAGGGAAAGAGGATAGGAAAGGCCAGCAGTGAAAGTGATGAATGAGGGATAAATGCTGATATCGGGGAAATGAGTGATCTGGAACAGGGAAAAATCGCTAGGGAAAAGGCCTGGAGGTGGAAGCAGGCTTGGGAGTTATGTTGAGGAGGCCGGTGCTCAGTGGAGAGGAATAGGAGATCCTGGGAGACCACCTCCAGCTTTATAGGCCCTTGTAAGGACTCTGGCCAGCTTTACAGGCTCTTGTAAGGACTCTGGCTGGTATTCTGTAGGAAACTGGAAGCCGTTGTACGGTGACGTGGTCTGAGTTTTCATTTGTCTCTCTGTGGGTCTTTTTTTTTTTTTCTTCAAATATTTTACTAAGCGAAACTGTGCTAGGCCTCCTCACTGCATGCTGCTTCTACTGCAGGGCCTTGATCTCAGAATTTGACAGCTTTATAAGGAGCATCATCAACCCGGACACTCATATGAATGTTCACTTTTTCACTTTGAAAGCAAACAAACGTCTCATATGTGTGTGTTTTAGTTTGTCCATATTTCTGAGAATAAATCATCCCCATGCCTGGTGAGCATTTTAAATAAGATGAGGTCTACTAAACAGAAGTAAAACTGCCTGATATTGAGAATATACACTTTGAGATTAGAAAATATTTGTTTTCAGTTCATAAGGTTTCAACAGCCGTTACAAAAAATATTCTGCTCTTTCTGCATAAATATTAAGGTAGACCTAGGTTATGGATTACTCCCTAGGCAATAGCATAGGGATCTTCTCGTTAGGTTTTGTACTATGGACCCCAAGGGCAGCTTGGTGATTCTGGACTCTATCTCAGAATAATACTTTTAAATACACGAAAGAAAAGATAAATATGTAAGATTTCAAAAGAAAACTAATTATGTTAAAATAGGTTACCAAAACTTTTTTTTTTTTTTTTTTGGAGACAGAATTTTGCTCTTATTGCCCAGGCTGGAGTGCAATGGCGCGATCTCGGCTCACCGCAACCTCTGCCTCCCGGGTTCAAGCGATTCTCCTGCCTCAGCCTCTCAAGTAGCTGGGATTACAGGCATGCTCCACCACGCCCGGCTAATTTTGTATTTTTAGTAGAGACGGGGTTTCTCCATGCTGGTCAGGCTAGAGCATCCCTGGAAGTCACAGGTCCCACCTAGCACCTTAAAAATGAGCTTTAACCCAGCTGGCTGTAGGCTCTGTCCACATTCAGTCTCCTTAGTGTTTGTCTATAAAAATTTATCTGTGTTTTGCAGGCTTTGAAGACCTCCCTTGGGTGCCTCAAATTTCTTAGCCATATTCACTACAATAAATGCTTTCAGCTGGGCGTGGTGGCTCACGCCTGTAATCCCAGCGCTTTGGGAGGCCGAGGTGGGCGGATCACGAGGTAAGGAAATCGAGACCAGCCTGCCCAACATGGTAAAACCCCGTCTCTACTAAAAATACAAAAAATTAGCCGGACGTGGGTCCCAGCTACTCGGGAAGCTGAGGCAGGAGAATTACTTGAACCCGGGAGGCGGAGGTTGCAGTGAGCCGAGATCGCGCCCATTGCACTCCAGCCCAGGCAATAAGAGCAAAACTCTGTCTCAAAAAAAAAAAAAAAGAAATGCTTTTGCTTTGCTCTTGGAAATCTTTCTACATCTTTTCTGACAGTTCCAGTTTCAACTTCCAGTCTTTTCTTCAGCATATATCGGAGAAAGAGTCCAGATATATAAATCTAGATATATATCTATATATATCTAGGGTGAGGACTGGCAAGTCTGAAACCTGTAGGGTTGTAGGGCAGGCTGGAAACTCTCAGGCAGAAGCTGATGCTGAAGTCTTGAAACAGAATTTCTTCTTCCTTAGGGAGGCCTTTGTTTTGCTCTCAAAGCCTTTTAACTGATTGGATAAGGCCCATCTACATAAGGGAGAATCTTTTTTTAAGGTTAACTGATTGTTAACCACATTTACAAGATAACTTCACAGAAACATGTAGGTTAGTGTTTAATTGAATAACTGGGTAGCCTAAGTTGACACATACAACTATGACAGTGGTGGACTCTTCTCTGTGTTTCAGTGCAGTTTTTTTTAGTTTCACTCCCAGGCACATGGAAAACTACACCATCTGCCACTCTCACATTGTTTTACATGACTGTCGGCAGTCTGTGACACAGCCACCTGCATCCTCTCCAATTTCAGACGTGTGGAGCGGAGCCAATGTGAGGGTTCCATGGTTCCTAATCACAGTCGGAACTGAATAGAAGATATGGTTCACACCAAGAGTTCTGTAAATGATTGCTCAAAGTCTCAATTTGCTTCCAAGGCTCATCTCTGGCTAAACAATTCCTTTGACATTCTAGAAATTCTGTGCAAACTTCGTCAGCTGCCAAAGGAAAAACCAAAATAAAATACTATTGGCTCTGCTGTCTGGGGCCTGCCACAGTTGGGTTAAAGCCATATTAGGTGTGACTGTGCTATTTATGATGATTATATTGGCTCCAAGCACACTAATAATATGATGGCTAATCTTATAATAATAAAGTAATAAGTGCTTATTTCATGAGTCTCAATCAAAGTGAGTGCTGAATTCATAGACTGGCATCTTTTTTTTTTTTTTTTTTTTGAGACGGAGTCTCGCTCTGTCGCCCGGGGTGGAGTGCAGTGGCGCGACCTCAGCTCACTGCAAGCTCTGCCTCCCAGGTTCACGCCATTCGCCTGGCTCAGCCTCCCGAGTAGCTGGGACTACAGGCGCCCACCACCACACCTGGCTAATTTTTTTGTATTTTTAGTAGAGATGGGGTTTCACCGTGTTAGCCAGGATGGTCTCGATCTCCTGACCTCGTGATCCGCCCGCCTCGGCCTCCCAAAGTGCTGGGATTACAGGCGTGAGCCACTGCGCCCGGCCGACTTGCATCTTTTTATAAAAATGAAAACTCTAGTCGGCGTGACCTTTTACTGTTCCCCCCATCGCATACATAGGCAAAGGTACATGCCAATGTCTGCCTTAGACTGTGACAGAGAAATCCTTCAAATATTGATACAGCTAAGGAATACTGAAATGTCTGTTTCAGCATAACCACCAGGACAACAGATTTCAAGTAAAACAGCCAAACATAATTACAGGTTTCATTTGGGAAGTTACTTTCACAGCTGTGCCAACAATTTGTATACTCTTCAGAATTTCATTAAACCCCTTTATTCAAATTATACTCCCAAGATCAGATTTATTTTTAATAGAGAACAGAATAAGTTGGAAACACATAAGCCCCCATGACAATATAGAAATTTTCTCTCTCTCTCTCTCTCTATATATATATAATATATATATACACATACACACACACACACACACACACATATATATAATGCTGATTTGACACATCAAATCAGATCCTTTGGACAAGTATTAGGACAAGAAAGCTTTTCTTTCTGTGTAGCTATACCGGGAAGGGGACTTCTTTATCTCTTTCCAAGATTAAGTTGTTAATTCTTAAATCTTGCATTTTTAAGAAGCAACTCTGGAACCCCATTAGTTAATCTTTAATAAGCAAGAAGCAGGTAGGTGGAGCCCAGTTTTAACGGAAAGAAATGGGGTAAGGAATGACTGGAATTTTAATCTAATTCCAGTTTAATTTAAAAGCCATGAAATAAGAAACAAATAGCTTCCTTCCTGCTAGATCAGTTCTTGGTGCCGTAAGTGTTCTGGTGTAAATGCATTACACGACTCGGAGGAGTGTTCTGTAAATGTGGCTGGCTACCCGCTCTCCTACCCTCTTCTCCCTGAAGCCCGAGGTCATACTTTATCCACGTTAGGATGAGCTGCTTGCTATTTGAGGCAGTTTCTCGGAGGACTCTCCTGTTCGCCCCGGGGCGGGGGTCAGGCTATCGCCAGCCTTTCCCTCACCCCCCACCTCCCCCACGCGAAAAACCTCGTTATCCTGCAGCTGAGCGGTTTCTTAGGTCTTTTGGGGCGAAGCCAAGGTTAATCTTCAGTGTCTGAAGAAGCGTGTAGCTACTTTCAAACCTCAGTAACAAGAAAGTGTATCAATGCACAGAACAAAGGCAAAGATCATCTCTTTTCTATGCTCATTTGTACCACCGCAGGCATGGTGGCTCCGTGGCTTAGCTGGTTAAAGCGCCTGTCTAGTAAACAGGAGATCCTGGGTTCGAATCCCAGCGGGGCCTGTTGTAGTTTTCCTGCATTCAAAGTACCCACGGAACAGTTGAAGTATGCGTGAAAGGTTATTTTCCCCTATGGGGCTCCATCAAAGTGTTTTATATGCGTCCGGTGTGAAACCTCCTTGTTTACGAAAAAGAAGCAAAGATAAATTTGGCTTTCTTTCAGAATAATGAAATTCTGAATTTCTTGCTTTTCTTACACTTTTCTTCCACATGTTATATCTTACAACATGTACGAGAGGAACCAGGGAAAGCAGAAGGCAAACACCAAATTTAAACTACAAGCAACATCATAATCTCTAGTCATTCTATTTTCTTTCCTGGGGAAATCCTAAACAGATTCATTGTCAGAATCTGCAGGTAATGTTTTTAGAAGGTCAATCTTTGGAATGATTCATAATCTGTTGTTGAGAAGGCTGTAGCATCTCTGAAAATTCACAGCAAACAGTAAGATCTGGCCACATAAAACAAGCTGTGATTCGCTATTTAAAAAGATTGCATTGTACTCAGAGTTTTTTGGAAAGGAACAAATCAAAGCAAAAACAAATATTTGTCACCAAGACTTGAGAAAAGAAGCTGTCAGAGAAGCCTCCATTTGCTTATGGGGCCCACTAGAACAGGCTGACTTGAAGAAGTCCAGGAAGGGTTGAGATGCCTTCTCCCAAACTCTCCAAGAGGAAGAAAGAGAAATTGAGAAGTAGGAAAGAAGTCAGTTTTACTCTTAGCAGAAGTTCTCCACATAGAAACACAAGACCAAGGAAATGGAAGTTCACTGTAACTATTACCAACCCTCTCACCCATCTCCCAAGACCCAGCCCACAGCTCACCTGGCACAGAAAGTTCCACTTCTCTGGCTTTTGCTTTCAGAGCATATTATTTTATGTAGATTGTCAAGGCTTGCAATATGATTTCCTGTTCTAGCTCTGGAGACAAAATCCCAACACTTGGAGGAACAGCTCAGAAGCAACTCTACTTTTATGGAGACTTTCTACTCCCATTCCGCAGCTTAATTCCCCACTTTTCTTTTTTGTTGTTGTTTTTTTTTTTTTTTTTGAGACGGAGCCTCGCTCTGTCACCCAGACTGGAGTGCAGTGGTGTGATCTTGGCTCACTGCAACCTCTGCTTCCAGGGTTCAAGCAATTCTCCTGCCTCAGCCTCCCGAGTAGTTGGGATTACAGGCGCCCACTATTATGCCCGGCTAATTTTTGTATTTTTAGTAGAGACGGGGTTTCACCATGCTGGTCAGGCTAGTCTTGAACTCCTGACCTCAGGTGATCTGCCCACCTCGGCCTCCCAAAGTGCTGGGATTACAGGTGTGAACCACCGCCCCCGGCCAATTCCCCACTTTTCTTTATAAACATCAAGCACCAATGGAAAGGCAGACCCTTCTTTTTTTTCACTAGAGCCTTCTATCTTCTGTTCTTTTTCCCTAGGCCCAGATACAAACTTCCCTCAAATGATAAGACAGGCTGGGTCACTGGTGCAGATGTCAACACTAAATCACTAATTCATCCCCTTACCAATCCTGCCTCATTTCCACTCTCCTGCTCCATCAGCTCCAGAAATACCTTTATAGGAGGCTTGTGGCCAAGTGGCCCTCAACAGATTGCATGGTCTGTACACTGAGTTGGCAGTAGTGGTACTGGCTACTGAAGCTATTGAATATTCCAGGTGATGAGTCTCACTATCTTTCCCAAAAGCCTATGTCTTCCTAGTTCTCCATATATGGATACATCATGGAAACAATTTATGTGTAAAAGTGGAAATGGTTTGCAATCAGATGCTTGTTTGTCTAGTGAGTGGCTATTTGTCAATGGCCAATTACTATGTGGCAGTTACCATGCTAATCACACATGGGTGAAGAGGCTGATGGGAAGGGAGAACAATTTAATGGCAGTTATAGTATAGTGGGATGTAATACTATTGGGAGTACAGGGTGCTTTGAGCCACACTTGCCTATTTATTTATTTATTTATTTAGAGATGGAGTCTCGCTCTGTTGCCCAGGCCGGAGTGCAATGGCGCAATCTTGGCTCACTGCTACCTCTGCCTCCTGGGTTCAACGATTCTCCTGCCTCAGCCTCCCGAGTAGCTGGGACTACGGGCACCCACCACCACGCCCGGCTACTTTTTGTATTTTTAGTAGAGACGGGCTTCACCATGTTGGCCAGGCTTGTCTCGAATTCCTGACCTCAAGTGATCCACCTGCCTCGGCCTCCCGAAGTGCTGGGATTACAGGTGTGAGCCACCACGCTCGGCCCCACATTTGCTTATTTATTTATTTTTTTTAGGGACAGAGTCTGGCTCAGTTGCCCAGGCTGGGGTGCAATAGCACAATCCTAACTCACTGCAGTCTTGAACTCCTGGGCTCAAGCAATCCTGCTGCTTCAGCCTCCTTGAGTAGCTAGGCCTACCAGTGTGTGCCACTATGGGTCTGCCACCACGTCCAGGTGATTTTTGTTTTGTTTGTAGAGATAGGGTTTCATAATATTGTCCAGGCTGTTCTCCAACTCCTGGGCTCCAGACATACTCTGGCCTAGGTCTTCCAAAGTGTTGGGATTACAGGCATGGGTCACTGCGCTGGCCTGCAGCCTCATTTGAAAACAAACCTGTCTGTGTGGGGCTGGGTGCAGTGGGGATCACCTCTGTAATCTCAGCACTTTGGGATGCTAAGGTAGGAGGATCACTTGAAGCCAGGAGCTGAAGACCAGCTTGGGCAACATAGTCCATAGTGAGACCACATCTCTACATAAAATAAATTAGCCTGGCATAATGGTGTGTACCTGTAGCCGTAGCTACTCGGGAGGCTGAGGCGGAAGGATCTCTTGAGCTCAGGAGGTTGAGGCTGAAAAAAACAAAACAAAACAGAAAAACAGACAAACAAAAACCCTGATTGGGCGAAGGTGGAAGGAAGACTTTATGGAAGAAGTGATACCCACACTGAGCCATGAGGGAGACACAGAACTTGTCAAGGAAAGAGGATAGACGTGGGAGGAGTAGAATAGATGCCCTGGGCAAAGGGAACAGTGTGTAACTAAAGGTGAGGAAGAGAATGCTCAGTTCAGATAAGTGGAAAGCAGTTAGGTGAGGGTATGTGCAAGTCTTAAAACTGTTTTTTGTCTGGAGATAGGCGGAGAACATTTGACTTGGCAGTTGATAAGTGTCAGGTGTTTCATGCTTTCTTTTAAAAAGACAATGCCTTACCAAAGCAGTTTGGATAGCATTTGAATTTACAAGTTGTGGATTAAGTAGGGCCTCTAGCTCAGCTGCTGAGGTTCTCCTATGGGCAGGTGGAGCTAGAAGGGACTGTGTTTCCCATTGCATTCTAAGTAGCGATGCTCATCTACTTGCTTCATATCTGTCTGAGCTAGCCTGTTTACTTCTCAAGGCAAGGGCTGTGCCTGTCCTCTTCACTGCTGTATCTCCAGAGACCAGCACAGGGCCTGGCCAACAGCAGTGTGATGATTAATATTATGTGTCAATTAGAGTGGTTCATTAGATACTCAGATTACACATTGTTTCTGGCTGGGCTTGGTGGCTCATGCCCGTACTCCCAGCACTTTGGGAGGCCGAGGTAGGAGGATCGCTTGAGCCCAGGAGTTTGAGACCAGCCTGGCCAACATAGTGAGGCCCTCATGTCGCTACAAAAAAAAAAAAATTAAAAATTAGCCAGGTGTGGTGGTACGCACCTGTAGTCCCAGCTACTCATGAGACTGAGGTGGGAGGAATGCTTGAGCCCAGAAGATCGAGGCTGCAGCGAGCCCTGGTTGTGCCACTGCACTCTAGCCTAGGTGACAGAGCGAGACCTTATCTCAGGGTGCTTCTGGATGAGATTATCATCTGAATCAGGGACTCAGTAAAGCAAATTGCCCTCCCGGGTATGATCCCTCCCATTTGTTAAGGGCCTTAATAGAACAAAGGTTGAGGAAGGAGGAATTCACCTCTTCTCCCCCTACCCCACTGATTTACATCTCATTTTTTTTCCTCTTGCTCTTGGACTGGGATTTACTTCGTTGACTCCCGGGGCTTTCAGGCCTGATTGAGACCCAAACTGAATTACACTACCTGTTTTTCTGGGGCTCCAGCTAGCAGATGGCAGATTGTGGGACTTCTCAGCCTCCTCCATAATTGTGTGAACCAATTCCTTATCATAAATTACTGTCTCTCTCTCCATAGACAGGCATAGATAGATAGATACATACACACATACATACATAGTTAATAGATAGATAGACTATTAGTTCGGTATTTCTGAAGGACCCTAATACAAGCAGGTACTCAACTATGAAAAAAAAAATACAATGTATCAGGCATTTGTTGTTTGCCAGACACTCTTCTAAGCTTTTTACATATTCCAAGTCATGTAATCCTTACTGCATAGTTATGAGGAAAGGTACAGTTATTTCCTCCATTTTAAAGAGAAGGGCACTGAGGCACAAGGATGCAAAGTCACTTTCCTGGAAGGTAAGTAGCTGGCAAGTGGCAACGTCCAGAGATGGGCCTAGGCAGCCTGAATTGAATTCGACTAATCTGCTGGCCTTCCAAGCACCTTTAAGTGTTTTTTCTGCTACCCTAGGGGGTACACCTATTTGCCATTTCCTCCTTTCTCTTATGTTGCCACCTCTGAAGGAGGGATTCAAAGCCACGTTTGATCAGAATGTCAGGGTAGGCAGAAATGGAGTGAATATGTGGAGTGAATACTTGGGCAATAAGGGGGACCTTTGTTCTTTTCTAGCCTTGCTGATGATGATATTTCTAACACATATCAATTCATTTTTCTTTTAGTGCATGCTTGAATCTTTTTGTGAAGTTTGAGTGTTTTAGGAGAGAAAGAGGGCAGAAAAATTTTGAATATCAATGATCATAAAACAGATTCACTCTATATTCTGCTTTGGTAACTCAGTAATTAGATTGAATTTCTTTTTTAAAAAGGAATAATGAAGAGAAAATTCCAGTCATCTGAGGTTTTTGATTAATTGAGGCTTTGCAGTAAATTATGAGCTCAAAATAGAAACATTGCCTATTCATGTTTCTAACAGTAGCTATTAATGCTCAGGATGATCAGGCTAGACATTAGGAAACTTCAATTTGAGGAATATTTCTGGAGATGTCATTAAACATGAACTTCTGTGTGTATACATCATGCTCCCTGGGTCCTAGGTCCTGTTCTGAACTGCAAAATTAGTAGATTGTCAGATCTCATGACGTGCAATGTGTTCCTGCTGTATCTCAAGGAAAATCTTACACAGCCTCATAATTGAAATATAGGAAGATGTTCATTGATGGAACCCTTATTTGTAGTGGCAAAGTGGAAGAGTAGGTGACTTCACATTGCAGACCTCTATGTGGCAATGAAAATAGTTGGTTTAGATGTGCACACAGCAACATAGCTCAAAACTGCGGTACCAATGGAATAAGAAAGAGATCTATGACGCAGTACCACTTACATAAAATAAAAACACATTCACCCAAACCAATCGTACCTGTTCTATAAAAGCATATAGAAAGAAAAGGATGCCTTTTCCAGTGATTTTTTTTTTTAAACAGGCTTTTAAAATAACCTTTATTTTAAAAAGTTAATATGTTAATATGTGCATTATAGGAAACTGAAAATCACAAGAAGCAAACAACAAAGTCATTCACAATCACAAGCAGTTTACAGTTTGACATGTTCTTCTAGGTCCTGTGTGTGTGTAGGCACAACATCCCATCTTATGGGACTGAGATTGTACAGTATGTATCATGATTTTTGACACATCATGAATATTTACCAATTCAAAATCCCAAAGCTTTATTAGTATTTTGATAAACAAGAATACACTACACCAACTTAATCTGTTAAAAAAAAATGTAGTCCTACCTTTCTTGGGACAAAAATTTCATAGAAGACAAAAATGACAACACGCCTCTAGATAAAAGCATTGGCAGAGTTCTGATTTAAATGCTGCATTCCCTTAATGCTCAATTAAAATGAAACATACAGCAACAGAATACATTAAGTATAATGTTTCTAAGAGAATTCATTAACAGAGCTATACCATTATAATATTAGCAAGGTATATTTCCATTGAATTACTTAATGTATTCCTATAGTACAGCCAAAAGAGATGCATACATCAATGGCTATCATCAAAATGTAAATATGGACACATATGGACACATCTGCATACATCTCTCCCTGTATACTTCCTTCTGCCCCTCTGCTGCCAACCTAATGAACAAGTCCTGACATATACTGCTCAGAGGCGGTTTAACAATTCCATGTCCAAGATGCATCTTTTCTATCACTTATAAAAAGGTATTTACAAATTGGCTAATTCACTAGCTCTAGTTTTTTTTTTTTTGAGATGGAGTCTTGCTGTGTTGCCCAGGCTGGAGTGCAGTGGCGCAATATTGGCTCACTGCAACCTCCGCCTCCCAGGTTCAAGTGATTCTCCTGCCTCAGCCTCCTGAGAAGCTGGGACTACAGGCACGCGCCACCACGCCCAGCTAATTTTTGTATTTTTAGTAGAGATGGGGTTTCACCATGTTGACCAGGATGGTCTCGATCTCTTGACCTTGTGATCTGCCTGCCTCAGCCTCCCAAAATGTTGGGATTACAGGCATGAGCCACCGCGCCTGGCCCACTAGCTCTAGTTTTTATCACACATTGTCACCTCAGATATTCATAAAGGTTAGATGTTGCAAAATAATAAACTCTGTCCACAATAAACACAGGCACTTTACTAAAAATGCTCATATAGACCTGTGGTTATCATCTAAAACCATCTTCTAGAAATGGAGATACTAGCAAAGAGCCCTTCCCTTCGCCCTTCCTCTTCTCCCTCTTTCACCATCCCCAGTGACTAAGTATAGGACGTCTAGCTCCAAGAAGTGGACTAATAAAGGTCACTCCCAGAAGACAGGCCTTCCTAAAAACTAACAATAGGACATTCACAAAGGGACTGATTCACTACATCTATTTTTAACATACTTTGAGCATTAAGACTTGTTTATCCTTTAATACACAATATTAACACAATAAAATGCATACATAGAACAATGGTTAGACCATCTGAACTAATCTAACTCAGGGGCACAGAACCCTTCTCCCTGCATACCTCCTCCTCCTCCCCACCCCACCACGCAGTGAATAGTCAGCATACGCTCCTAAGCATCAAGTTTTAACAATTCCATTCCCAAATGCAACCACTCCTAGGAAGTACTGAAAACAAATGCTTAGAGGGGTGTTACTTTAGCCCTCTACTTTTAACCTATGTTGTGGAATTTTTTTTTTTTTTTTTTTTTGAGATGGAGTCTTGCTCTGTCGCCATGCTGGAGTGCAGTGGTGTGGTCTCGGCTTACTGCAACCTCTGTCTCCCGGGCTCAAGCGATTCTCCTGCCTCAGCCTCCCGAGTAGCTGGGACTACAGGCATGTGCCACCACGACCAGCTAATTTTTGTATTTTTTGTAGAGATGGGGTTTCACCATGTTGGCCAAGATAGTCTCGATCCCTTGACTTCGTGATCTGCCCACCTCAGCCTCCCAAAGTGCCAGGATTACAGGAGTGAGCCACCGCACCTGACCATTGTGCACTTTTAAACACCTAGAAAGACTAGATGTTTCAAACTGCACTTAAGTTTTCCATTATATACACAGTAGTATTGAATAAATGGCATATATACATAACATAGACTATAATTTGAGTGTCTTCTAAATAGGAACATTCTGGCCTAGAACACTTCCCTTTCTGACCTCTACCAACCCCGTTGACAGCTATAAGCCATCTGTAATGCTTGGGGGCGGGGGGCGTTTAACAATTTTACTTCTGTTTTTAAGAAGTGTTCCTTATGAATTTTAACACAAAGTGTACTCAATGTATTAGTTTACTAACTCTACTTTTGCCATACACTGGCAACCTCTTTAACATCGACTAGATATAAATTAGGACTCCTATGTCTGCTTATATACACAGCACAGTAAACGAAAATGCAGACATAAGGGACAATGGTCAATGTGCCTCATCATAAACACACTGGACACTGGTAGAAAGCCCTTTGAACTTTGTGCTCCTTCTTCCCCCTGAACCAGCACAAATATCATAACGTGTACTTCTCAGAGAATTGATCAATTTCCAAGACAATATTTCATATCAAAATAACTACAAAATGTGTTACTTACTACCTCTACTTTTAACATGCTTTGTGCACTTCTAAACATCTAGAAAGACTAGATATTTCAAATAAGGACTTAAGTGTGTCCACTATATACATAGCACTGTTGAATAAACTACACACATGTAACAATGGTTATATCTGAAAGTGTCTTCTAAATAGGAACATTCTGGTCTAGAACCCTTCATTCCTTCCAACTCCTCTCCACCACCAACCTGGTGGATATAAGCACATGTGTCACTTCGAGCTGATGTTATCATTTCACTTCCAAAAAGTCCTTTTCAGAAGACAGCCTCTCTATGAATTTTAACAAAGTGTACAAAATGCGTTAGTTTACTAACTACTTTTGTCATACACTGGCAACCTCTTTAATAGCTACAGACTAGATATTATAAAATCAGGACTCATTTGTCCAGTATATACACAATATATACAGTATAGCAAAGTTAAATGAAATGCTTGTAACATATAGGCAATGGATTAAGCTGAAATTTTCTAATAAACAATGGCAAAACACCTTTTGCAATTTTTTCCCTCCCACCTCCCAGGTGGTTCAACAAATCCACTTCCAAACAGCATTTCCCATCAGTTTTTAAAAGCTATTTACAAAAAGTGTTATTCTACTACTACTACTTTAAAATACATCAAGCACTTCCAAATATCTAAAGACTAGATATTTCATAGCCTGTCCACCATGTACACGGCACTGTTAAATAAAACTGCACACACATAACAATGGTTATCATCTAAGGTATCTTCTAAATGTGACCATTTTGGCCTTGAATCATTCCCTCTTCTCTTCCTTCTCTGCCTTCAATTCAGTGGACAAGTACACGCATGTGTAATGCTTAGAGATGGCTGAACAAATTCCTATGCAAAAGTCAATTACAGAAGACAAGTTTTCCTATGAATTTCAACACAAAGCATACAAAATATGCTAATTTTACTACTTTGTCATACACTGGCAACCTCTAGATGTTAAAAAATTAAGACTATTTGTCCATTATATACACTATATACAGAGCAAAACAAAATGCACAAAACATACAGAAAAATGGTGTCTGAAAATGTCCAAGTATGAACACACTAGCATATTATCTTTTGCAATTTCTTCCCTCCCACCTCCTCTAAACCATTGAGCAAGTATAGACAGTAATATACTGCTCACAAAGGTGGCTTCACAATTCAACTTCCAAAAGTATTTCCTATGAATTTTAGCAAAAAGATATTTACAAATTGGTATTTTACTACCTCTACATTTAATATACATCGGGCACTTCTAAACATCTAGATAGTCTAAATGTTTCAAGTAAGGAGTTAATTTGTCCACTATGTATGTACACAGCAGTCTCGAATAAACTGCAAACATGTAACAACAGTTATAATTTGAAAGAGTCTTCCAAATGTGAACATTCTGGCCTAGAACCCTTCCCATCTCCATCAACCCAGTGGGCAAGAATGCTCAAATTTTCAGAAGACAGTCTTTCCTAGGACTTGTAAAACAAAATGTACAAAATATATTAGTTTACTAACTCTAGTTTTGTTATACACTGGCAACCTCTTTAACATCCAGAAAGACTAGATGTTGTAAATTAGGACTCGTTTGTCCTTTATGTACATTATATACATAGATAAAACAAAATGCACAGACATAGTGATTCATCTTGCCTCGCTGTAAGCAGGATGGCATAGAGCTCTCTGCACCTCCCCCTCCTCTCTCCTCCCCTGAACTACTGCACAAACACAATGAGTATTACTCAACAGGTGATTTGGCCATTCCCCCCAAAAAACAACATTTCTATGAATTGTAACAAAAAGATATTTACAAAATGTGGTTTTACTACCTCTAATTTTAACATATATCAGACACTTCAGAATATCTAAAAAGAATAGACATTTCAAAAAAGCTTAGCATTGTCAACTACATACATAGTAGTGAGGAAGCGAATGCACACAAAACAATGGATAGAATATGAAAATGTCTTCTAAATATGACCAGTCTAGCATAGAACCTTCTTTTTTTCCTTCTCAGGTCTTCGAGCTCCATGTCATCTAACCCACTGAACAAACGTGAACGTATCGCTTCTAGAGGCCGTCTAACAACTCAGTTTCCAAAAGTCAACTCCGGAAGACATGTATTTTCTATGATTTCTTTTAAACAAATGAGAATTTACAAGATGTGTGACTTTCTAACTCTATCATACGTCGGCAACCTCTTTCCATCTAGAAGGGCTAGATGTGACAAATGTTTTCTATTAAAAGGTTGGGGTGGAGTTGAGAGCAGCTTTTTCATATTATATACACAGGCCTTCCGTAAACGGCCTGTGAATCTTCCCAGAGGATGGAGGGCATTTCCAACGGGCCAAACGTGGCCTGTCATTCTACCATTTGTCTCTTCCGACAGCAAGGTCTGGTAGTACGGAGACCAACCGCCCGATCGCCGCTAACCGTTCCACCCGTCGTCGTTCGGGACTTCGCTCACCTCCCAGGCCCGTTAAGGCCTTTGTCCGTTGTCGTTAGGACTAGGTAGGTCTCGCCCAATGGCGACAGAGTGGTCACCCGGGACCCAGATCTGGCGGCTCCGTGGCCTGAAGAGGCGGCCGAGCCTGCCTGCGTCCCTAGGCCGCCTTCCCGGGCCCTCCATGCCCTAACGCCCTCCGCCGCGCGGCGTTCGAGCGGCCGCCATGCTTCCCGGCACGCTACTCCCGCCGCCACCCAAAGGCGCTGCGTCCAGGCTGCTCGGCGGGGGTTTCGTCCAGGCCCGGCAGGCTTGGGCCGGGAGACCCGACGGCCGGCAGGGTCCGGACTGGGAGAGGCCGCCGCCGCCATCAGTCACCGAGGTAGGGTAGGGAAGAGACGTTCGCCACCGCTTCAAGGCCTGGGCCCAGCCAGTGGGCAGCCACAGCAGAGGCCTCCGGTATCTGCAGGGCAGAGGGCGCGGCCTGTCCCGGGGCGCCCCCTAGCTCACCCGCCGACCCGGGGCCGGAGGGCCTGGAGCGCCCTGGAGGAGCGGCCCGCGCTCTGCGTCTCTCCGCGCTCTCTGCCAGACCGGAACTCTTGCAGTGATTTCTTACGGGGAGTAAGGATGAGGTGGGGAATGAGACTGAAGAAATGGAATTAAAAAGATAACTATAACTAAATAAAGAGGAGCCCTGCAGTAATGTAATGAGCCATGAACTGAAGAGTAACATTTATTCAACTCTGCCTGTGAAGGAGGGAGAGGGAAAGACAACTAGAGACAGAGGAGAAACGGAAAAAGGAGGTGAGATTTCAAAACACCGGTAGGTTCTGAAATTATTTTCGGAGTACAGAGTACTTTTTGCTGTCCTTGGAGTGGCTAATAAAAACAAAGAGTGCTTTTATTCCGGAACTCGGAAAATTTATTTTTTAAAAAGAGAGAAGACCATGTCACAAAGAGCAGGTAGGAAAACGTAGCGTAAACTTAAACTCGATTTGTGTCTAAATACTAAAAGTACGAACTGTCAGGAGTGGGATTCGAACCCACGCCTCCAGGGGAGACTGCGACCTGAACGCAGCGCCTTAGACCGCTCGGCCATCCTGACGCGCTTATGCTACATTGTGCTCAGGACTCACTTCTGTCTCTTGTCTAAACGCTATTAGTTCCCCATCCACCAGCCGCCCCCCTACCCCATGTCCCCACCCCCGCCCACCCCCTTGTTGTTCTTTTTCTCAAGATATGGGCATTCCTGGGTTAAAAGGTAAGCCGCCTCTCCGCGAACTGCCTCGGACGGCGCTGCATAGGACCGGTTGTCCGGGCCACAGAGCGGCGTCTCCCGAGTGAACGCCGAGTCACTCCCAGGCTGCGCGGGGAGGGCTGCGGCGGGTGGGGCGGCGGGCGAGGGAGGGCGGGTCGGGGTAGGGGGAGCGGGACGGGGGCGGGGGCGTGGGAGGGGCGGGGCGGGCGTGGGAGGGGCGGGGAGGGGGCGGGGCGGGCGTGAGCCAGCCCAGGGCCGAGTGACTAAGGCGGAAGACGGCGATGGCGCTCTGCTCTCAACTGAATTCTAGTTAAAATAATGGCAATCCTGTTGAACTCAACATTACTAGAATACCTGGCTTAAATTTACACTTAATTCCCAGGAAGTTTTAGGCTTGCTCCAGTTTTTGCTGGAACAAGGTGCTCGCTAATCCTTCTCCTTTGCGTTGTGCTGCAAATCTCCCAGCACGTGGTTACCCTTGGCAGGGCCGGTGGAGGGGACAGGAGCGTGGGAAGCCTGGCTTGTCTTGCCTCTCTGTCGGAGTTTATGGAGGATTTGCGCACTTTTCGGTGTGGATGTTATACTGTAATAAAAACTTTAAAAAGCAAAAGCAAAAACAGCAACAACAAAAATGGGGAGTAGCTTATGTATTTTACTAAACCTGGCGCAGCGGGTACTTGATAGAAGGCCTTGAGCACAACAACTTTTCTAAACATAAACAAAGGTCAGAGGTGACCTACTTCAAATTTTGTTAGCAAGGGTTAGCAGTCAGGATGCCATGGTCGGAATATCACTGACTGGAAGTCAGGGGACCTGAGTACGAATTTCAGACAGAACTAGAACTGGTCACTACCTGGAGAATCTTAGATAAGTCATTTTGCTTCTGTGGACATTAGAAACAGCTTTCTTAGACACCTATAATACTTTCATCGTGAGTTCAATTGATAGAATACAATGTTTAATCCCTTAAATTAAGCATTAAATCCCCATCTCCAGGGAATCAATTAGAGGCAAATTCTGTTCTTCTCAGGCCTACCGATTCAGAAGTTTTGCTATGTCCAACATGGTGACTATAGTTAATAACAACGTTATTGAATACTTGAAAATTGCTAAGAGAGTGGATTTTAAATGTTCTTGCCACAAAAAGAAAAAGATAAGTATGTGATGTAATGGATATGTTAATTAGCTTGATTTAGCCTTCCCACAATGTACACATAGAACAAAACATCATTTTGTACATCATAAATATATATATCTTTATTTGTTGATTTTAAAAATACAAATAAGTAAATTAAAAAGTTATGAGGATAGAGTCCCACAGTAAGTGTTTAATAAGTCCTCTGCAAGGCCTCTAAAATTCAGTCACCTCTGCTCTTTTCACAGGGTAGTGGTGGATACCAACTTTGGAGATGAGGAGAGAGGCAATTCATCCAACATATAGGAAATATTTATTGGGTACCTACTATGTGCCAGGCAGCATTCTAGGTGCTGGTGATCCAACAGTAAACAAACAGACAGAATAAGCTCCACCATCGAAGGGCTTACACTATAATGGGGCAGTGAGCCCAAGAAACATGAAATAAAATGGACAGAGCTGTGCTCCCTTCGGCAAGCACTTACACTAAAATTGGAGCAATGCAGAGAAGATTAGCATGGCCTTTGCACAAGGATGACAGGCAAATTTGTGAAGCATTCCTTTTTGAGACGAAGTCTCGCTCTCGTTGTCCAGGCTGGAGTGCAATGGCGCGATCTCGGCTCACTGCAACCTCCTCCTCCCGGGTTTAAGCGATTCTCCTGCCTCAGCCTCCCTAGGAGCTGGGATTACAGGCGCCCGCCACCATGCCCGGCTAATTTTTGTATTTTTAGTAGAGACGGGGGTCTCACTGTGTTGGCCAGGCTGGTCTCGAACTCCTGACCTCAGGCGATCCACTCATCTCAGTCTCCCAAAGTGCTGGTATGACAGGCGTGAGCCACTGAGCCCGACGGGAGCATTCTATTTTTTTAAAAAAAGAATAAAAAATTAAAAAAAATAATAAAATGGAGAGAAGCTGAGACCTCTAATAAAGTAGTTATTTTAACTCCAGTCTCTAGGCCTCATGAGAAATCCCAGCTTAGTTCCCCAGTGAAAAATAGAATTGCCCTCTAAAGAAAGAGAAGTGGGGGAGGAAAAGCCCAATTTAGAAACAATACATGTATGTATTTTTTGAGACGGGATCTGGCTCTGTTGCCCGCGCTAGAGAGTAGCAGCATGATCCTGGCTCACTGTAGCCTCGAACTCCCAGGAGGAGTACAGGAGCAAGGATTACAGTAGCTAGGACTACAGGCACACACCAGCTGGCCTGGCTGTTTTTTATTGTTTTGTTATTATGTTGCCCTGGCTAGATAGTTTTATAAAAGGTTGAAAATGGCCAGGTGCAGTGGCTCACACCTGTAATCCCACCATTTTGGGAGGCCGAGGCGGGTGGATCACGTGAAGTCAAGAGTTCGAGACCAGCCTAGCCAGCATGGTGTAAACCCATCTCAACTAAAAATTAAAAAAAAAAAAAAAATTAGCCAGGCGTGGTGGCACACGCTTGTAATCCCAGCTACTTGGAAGGCTGAGGTAGGAGAATCGCTTGAATCCAGGAGGCGGAGGTTGCAGTGAGCCGAGATCGTGCCATTGCACTCCAGCCTGGGCAACAAGAGCAAAATTCCATCTCAAATAAATAAATGGTTAAAAATATAGAAAGCAAAACGAAGGCCAGACGTGGTGGCTTCACGCCTGTAATCCCAGCACTTTGGGAGGCCAAGGCGGGTGGATCACCTGAGGTCAGGAGTTCAAGACTAGCCTGGCCAACATGGGGGGTTTCAACCCCATCTCTACTAAAAATACAAAAATAGCCAGGCGTGGTGATGCATACCTGTAATCCCAGCTACTCGGGAGGCTGAGGCAGGAGAATCGCTTCATCCTGGAAGGTGGAGGTTGCAGTGAGCCGAGACTGCCATTGCACTCCAGCCTGGGCAACAAGAACGAAACTTCCCCCGACTCCCCGCAACCCCGCACCCCCCACTCCCCTACCCCCCACCTCCCCACCCCCCTACCCCCCACCTCCCCACCCCCCGCTCCGGCTGGCTTTGCCTAGGCTCATTTATGCCCACCATTCAGCCAAGATGCTAAGCCTCTCTCTTCATAAAGTCTTTCATTCCCAAGGAGGCTAGACGTGATGGGAAAGCAGTTCCCCGAGGTCTTGCCCCAGTGCCATGTTCTTATCCAACTTCTGCTTGCCTCACATTGGCCAAAGCAAGTCACAGGGCCCAAACTAAAGGCAGTGTAGGGAGAGGGTACTGCAAGAGTGGGGCCCAGGGAGGAAAGGTTTATTGGGTGTATTTGTACAACCATCTACCACAGTAATCTTAAAGAATAGTGAGAAGAAACAAAATTAAGAATTGAAAAACTAAGTTGTAAGACACAAAATTGAAAATCAGGTGAAAGATAAGAAGAGGATAGAGAGTGGGTGTTCATACAAATTTCTTGAGGTAAGCTGTTTTCTGATGAAGCGTGGGGTTTACTCAGCCAGAGGGTATAAGGGCTCAGGGCTCTCAAATAAGATGAAATACAGGATGCATAGTTAAATTAGAATTTCAGCTAAACAATGAATGACTTTTTAGTTTAAGTATGTCCAACATTAAAATACATTACTTTCTGACTCCCAAAGAGGCTGAGTCAATAAAAGCCTACTTGGGAGGTAGGGTTTGGTCTGTCCACACGTGTGTTTGAAAAACAGCCAGCAGCCATCTCTTTCATGTAGTTTAACCATACTTTCCCTGACCTCCAGGTCAGTTTCAAACTTCCTTGAACTTTGCGCACACTCATAACTTAATCTGTCGGTTGATATTTATTGAGCAACTAATATGTGCCAGGTACTTTATTTACAAACAAAGGAAATCTCTGCTTTTGTGGATTCTTGCCTCTGTGATGAAGAAAGACTATTAAAAAAACAAATATGCTTATAGTTTCAAGTATTAATAAGTACTTTCAAGAAAAATAGTAATTGTGCAGGAGTTTTCCCAAAAGAAAAGTAGTGCAGGGTGATGAGTCAGAAAGTAGAAAAGTGTGTGTGTGTGTGTGGGGGGGGGGGGGGTGCTTTTTTACAGAGGGTGGTTAGAGACATCATTTGACCAGAAACCTGAATGAAATGGGGGGCGAGACAAACATATCCAGGGGACACACAGAGGGCACGGCAAGGGCAAAGAACTTGGGGAGAGAATGAAGGAGGAACAAAAGGCTTCTGTGTCTGAAGAGGAGGAATAAGGGAACGAAAGAGATGAAATTGCAAAGATAGCCAAGGACCAGATGGTGTTAGTAGGGCCTGAGTTTAATCCTGAGGCTGCATTGGGAAGCCATTGGAGAATTTTGATAACATAATCTGATTTGTCTTTGAAAACAATACTCTGGGCGGGGCACAGTGGCTCATGCCTGTAATCCCAGCACTTTGGAAGGCTGAGGAGGGCAGATCGCTTGAGCTCAGGAGTTCGAGACCATCCTGGGCAACATAGGGAGATCCTGTCTCTAAAAAAAAAAAAAAAAAAAAAATTAGCCAGCCTGGGCGACAGAGTGAGACTCTATTTCTTTCTTTCTTTTTCTTTTTCATTCTTTTTTTTTTTTTTTTTTTGAGACGGACTCTTGCTCTGTCGCCAGGCTGGAGTGCAGTGGCATGATCTCGGCTCACTCCAACCTCTGCCTCCCTGGTTCAAGCGATTCTCCTGCCTCAGCCTTCAGAGTAGCTGGGACTACAGGCGCACACCACCATGCCCAGCTAATTTTTGTATTTTTTGTAGAGATGTGGTTTCACCATATTGGGCAGGATGGTCTCAATCTCTTGACCTCATGATCCACCTGCCTTGGCCTCCCAAAGTGCTGGGATTTCAGGTGTAAGCCACCACGCCTGGCTGTGAGACTCTATTTCAAAACCAAACCAAACCAAACCAAACCAGACCAGACCAGACGAAACCAAACCAAACCAAACCAAACCAAGCAAAACAATACTCTGGTCTTTGTGGGTAGCTGACCATAGAGGCAAGGGTAGAAGCAGGTGCTATATAAAAAATCCAGGTAAGAAGTGATGATGGCTTAGGGAGCTAGTGGTAAAGAAGGAAAGAAGTGCTCATGTCCAGGATATGTTTTGAAGGCAGAGCTGACAGGACTTACTAGGCGTTTGGAGGTGGAAAATGAGATAAAAAGAGGAATTAGTGCTTATGCCTATATTTTTGGCTCGAGAAAATGGATCACAGAGTCATTAATGGAGTGGAAAAGATTAAGTAAGGTGTAAATTGGTCAGAGGGAATCTAGAGTTGTACTTTGGTCCCCTTAAATTTGAGGTACCTATTATTTGTCACAGAGAAGATGTTCAGGAGTAGAATAAGTAAGGCCATTCTGGAAACCATGTTGGGGCCAGAGTCATCGATTCAGGAGTAGTGAGCCGATAGGTGAGAGTTAATGCTGCAGACGGAGAGAAAAATTAAGTCTTCAGCAGGCTCTTGAAAGGATTAAAAGGCTTTAAACAACAATAAACTAGTCAGCCAGAACTACAATTCAACAACTGCAACAATGTAACAGTGTCTCACTGTGGTTATTACAATCCAAAGCCACTGTCCTGGCACTTGATTATCTTCCACTGCTATTTTGCTGTTTGAATGGAACTGGTGGCTGCCTTCACCTCTCTCTCTTGGAAGAACATGAGGCCAAATTCTTGTACAGTCCAGTACAAGGTCTTTCTGTGGCAGTAGCTTGATGTTATGTTAACTTTCTTACCTCCTACTTGTTCTAAGTTGTATACTGCTTTGTAAACTAACACAAGATTTGCTCAGCTTATAGGAATGTTTGAAAGTCATTTTCTGGACAATGTACTTTGTACCTAACCAACAGCATGGACCGTGGAGTCAGATGGCCTGGAGTCAAATCTCATCTCTGCTTACTCTCTAGCGGGTGATAGAAGCCATTTTATCTCTCTGCTCTTCAGAGTCTTTATTTGTAAAATGGAGACTGCACTGATGCCTACCTACCTCCTAGGGGTCTGAAAAATGGCAGGAATTACAGCACACAAAATACAGGACCTGACGCATAATAAGTACTTTGTTACTGTTAATACTATGAGTATGCATATTCAGTTGCTACGTAAATGCATTTTGCACGATGATCAAAATTTGGAGATATTTCTTGTTCTTTCTTTTTTTTTTCTTGAGATGGAGTCTCGCTCTGTCACCCAGGCTGGAGTGCAATGGTGCAATCTTGGCTACTGCTACCGCTGCCTCCCGGGTTCAAGCAATTCTCCTACCTCAGCCTCCCGAGTAGCTGGCGCCACAGGCGTGGGCCACCACACTCGGCTAATTTTTGTATTTTTAGTAGAGACGGGGTTTTGCCATGTTGGCCAGGCTGGTCTCAAACTCCTGACCTGAGGTGATCCACCGTCTCAGCCTCCCAAAGTGCTGGGATTACAGGCATGAGCCACCGCACCCAGCGAGATATTCCTCTGGAAAGACTCTTGTTACTTCAACTAAGATCTTTAATCCCAAGTAGATGCGTAATATTTTGAAGCATACATCTAGTCTGTTCTCAAACATTAAAGTGCACATGAATCACCATGTTGTTAAATGCAGTTTCTGATTCAGGAGTTCTCAGTGGGATCTAAAGTTCTGTGGTTCTAACAAGACAGTCCAGAATCAGCATGAGTAGCAATGCTTTAAAGTATGCATGGAATCCCTATGCAGTGCTCTCCTCCATGGTCAGCCAGTCTTCTATGATGGATGATTGTTGCTCATCTGACCTTTTCTTGGAAGCTGTTGGCACCACATATATATATTTTATATATATATATAATATATATATGTGCACATATATTATATATGTGTGTGTATATATATGTGTGTGTGTGTGTGCATACATATATATATATGTATTTTAAATGAAAGGATAAACCCAAATATTGGCATTGGTCATATTTGAGTGATGAGATTTGGGACCATTTTTACTTTGTAAAATATACTTTCATGTATTTTTAGGAAAATAAGTTATTTCCATTTTAAAATAATACAATGAGCGCAAGAGTAAATGTGTATGTATTTGGGAGTGGGCTGTCAGGGACTATTGCAAGAGGGGGATTTGAGGAAATATGAGTGCTGTCTGGAGGCAGAAGAGACATGACTCAAGATGTGTGGAGGAATGGCATGGAAGAGCTGCTATTGATTAGGGAAGAGGGAAGTTGTTCAGTTATTTTTCTCACAATCTGAATGTCTGGGCTTAGTTACCTCATAGTCTCTGTTAAATAGAGGCAGGCTCCCAGAAACATGTGACTACCAGAGCTGGCATTTGGCAGTGTGAAATGAAGTCAGCTATTATTATTTTAGGGGTAAGTGCATTTTTAGTATGATTTTTAGTTGTAGGGTGGAAAGGTATTTGTTTCTAGATTAAAAATAAAAACAGACATTAACAAATACTTCAGTTAGTTTCAGTGCTTTTGAACTCATAGTGTCACCTACTTTGCCTGGGTAACTCAGACAGGCTTTGGTAAAGCATTGGCAATGCAACATTTCTTGTCTTTTAGGAGATTTGGAAATAAGGCCAGACATACTGAGACTGATAATTTCCTTATCTCTGGGGCACAATTCTTATAGCTGGTGCCACCAGGACAGGGAGCCAAAGGCAGGTTCTTAGCTCTATCACATAAATTATTTTATTTATTTATTTATTTATTTATTTATTTATTTTTGAGGCAGTGTCTGGTTCTGTCGCCCAGGCTGGAGTGCAGTGGCATGATGTTGGCTCACTGCGACCTCTACCTCCCAGGCTCAAGCCATCCCCCAACCTCAGCCTCCCGAATAGATGGGACTACAGACGTGTGCCACCACGCCTGGCTAATTTTTATATTTTTAGTATAGACAGGGTTTTGCCATGTTGACCAGGCTGGTCTCAGAACTCCTGGCCTCAAGCAATCTGCCCGCCTTGGCCTCCCCAAAGTGCTGGGATTATAGGCATGAGCCACCGCGCCTGGCCCACATAAATTCTTTCTAAGGGGTGTGTGGGGCTGGAGCTGGAGGGAAAAAGGAAGGACATTGTATCTCCTAAGAATCTACCACAAGCTCACTACTGTGCCCAGTGACCATTTTCCTGGAAGGTCATGGGGAAAAAGGAAAGAGGAGTCATAGAGCTGATTATAATCTGTGACTGTTCTTTTTCCCTACTCTCAGAGGGGGATTTCTGTGGCAGTCCATCTATTCTGGGTGAGGTTTAGAGATACATTTTAAGATATACATTCCACATTAAATCAGTAAAGCAACTGCCTGAGGTTCTTAAATATTTATTATTTTTAATAGAATGATTATGAATTGGTTTTATTTTTACTTTGGCATGAGATCTATTCAGAATGGGGGTAAGGAAGGTGTTGAGGTAAAGGCTTGTATCTAAATACACACTTGAATGTAATGTATAACCCCAAGCGAATTCCCATTTGACCCCCTTTTCTCTCCCCTCAGCTCCAGAAACAAGCCCATTTTCCTCTTTCTGGCTGATACCATCCATTCTTCAACTTGAGAGTCCTCTTCTCTGTGGCCCACACTAGAATGCAATGCAGGCTCACAGCTTCTCCACTGCCTACTTGCCCCTAAAAGAAATAGAATGCTTTGGAGGATTTTAATATTGCAGAAATAGATGCTGGATTTAAGCAAGTAAGTGCAGGGAGGATTATAATGTATTCTGAAAGTATTAGAGTGGTATTTACTTTCATAATACATCATAATGTATTATAAATAGATCGAGCAATTTCTTTTAGCTCCTTTTTTTAGTCTTCTCTTTCCTCTTCTCGGAATCCCAGTTTCGTTCAAACATCCCTTTTAAATCCGGGGACTGATGCTACTAAGCCTCCTCCTTCCTTCAATAGACTTTACTCTTGATTTTATCCAACCTATCCTGCAAATACATGTTTACTGATTTATTATAAAGGATATTACAAAGTATACAGATGAAAAGACAGATGGAAAATATGTACAGGGCAAGATGTGTGGGAAGGGGCATGCAGCTCCGAAGCTTTCTCTGTGCACACACTGCCCTCCAGAAACCTCCGTGTGTTCAGCTATCCAAAAGGCCAGAGTGCCAATGGCTACCTACCCTCTGCCCCTGTTTGGGTGGTGAACTTCATTTCTACTACTGTAAAGGTAACCTGGTCAATGGTATAGGTAAGTGAAGCCAACTCTTTAACAGTACTTTTGCAAGAGGAGGAAATATTTGGGAAATCTTTAATGTTAAGGCCTTGTAATTAAAAGAAAAAAAATGGGGTGGGTGATCTTTGGATATTATTTGATATAGTTTGGATCTGAGTCCCCACCCAAATCCCATGTTCAATTGTAATCCCTAATGTTGGAGGTGCAGCCTGTTGGGAGGTAATTAGATCATGGGGGCGGTTTCTCATGAGTGGTTTAGCACCATCCCCTCAGTGCTATTTTTTTGGGAGACAGAGTCTCTCTCTGTCGCCTAGGCTGGAGTGAAGTGAGTGGCATGATCTCGGCTCACTGCAACCTCTGCCTCCCAGGTTCAACCGATTCTCCTGCCTCAGCCTCCCAAGTAGCTGGGACTACAGGCATGTGCCACCAAGCCCGGCTAATTTTTTTGGTATTTTTAGTAGAGACGGGGTTTCACCATGTTAGGCTGGTCTTGAACTCCTGACCTCAGGTGATCTGCCTGCCTCGGCCTTCTAAAGTGCTGGGATTACAGGCGTGAGCCACCATGCCCGGCCAATGCTATTTTTGTGATAGTGAATGAGTGACTAATTATGACATCTGATTGTTTAAGAGTGTGTAGCACATCCCCCGCTCCCCCCTCTCTCCTCCCCCGTCCCTGCTGCTGTCTTCCTTCTGCCATGGCCATGTAAGATGTGCCTGCTTCCCCTTCGCCTTCTGCCATGATTGTAAATTTTCTGAGGCCTCCCCAGAAGCTGAGCAGAAGCTGTCATGCCTACATAACTATGAGCCAATTAAACTTCTTATCTTTTTTTTTTTTTTTTTTTTAAATGGAGTCTTGCTCTGTCACCCAGGCTGGAGTGCAGTGGCGCGATCTCAGCTCACTGCAACCTCTGCCTCCCGGGTTCAAGTGATTCTCCTGCCTCAGCCTTCTGAGCAGCTGGGATTACGGGTGCCTGCCACCACACCCGGCTAATTTTTGTGTTTTTAGTAGAGACGGGGTTTCACCATGTTTGTCAGGCTGGTTTCAAACTCCTGACCTCGTGATCCACCCGCCTCGGCCTTCCAAAGTGCTGGGATTACAGGCATGAGCCACCGTGCCCGGCCTAAACTTCTTATCTTTATAAATTACCCAGTCTCAGGTATTTCTTTACAGAAATATGAGGATGGACTAATAAAAAATTGTTCCTGAGTTGAGATTCTGTATTCCTGCTTGAAGACCCTGGTAAGCAGTTGTTCCCTCATGAGGCATCAGCCCCCATGTGCACCTGCCCTGGTGAGCCCACTGCCATCAGGCCTAGGGATGGGTCTTAGACCACATACAATGGCAAAGCTTTAGACAGCTGCATTCCCATGCAGGTTTCTTGCCCTATGTTTTATTTTGTTTCAGTTGATATTAAAAAAGAAAGGTTAAGAGGTTGCTTTCAGCAATCAGACAAACTTATTTATTAGGTAAAGACGATGAGCAACGTCTATCCTGGAAACTGGAGAATACGATGGAAATGGAAGGTATAAGCCTGGAGTCTATTGGCAAGACAAGCCACATGTGTAAAGGAAAGTGCTCAGGGGCAAATACACAGGTGCAATCAGTCCAGCTGCACTGAACACAATGATGCAGCATTCAGGGGACCCTGAGGAGAGGCAGCATGTAGGAAAGCTGGGTAGGGAAAGTGAAAGGTGCACAGTGTGGAAACGGAGGCAGTTGAAGCTAACTGAAGGTGTGTGTAAGGGGTTTGGGCATTGAGATGAGGGCTGAGGTGACATAAGGTTGAGATGGTGACTGAGCAAGTGGTGATATCACTGAAGGATGACTTCTAGGAATGTCTTTGAAATAGAGAGATGCTATAACAAAAAGAAGAGGACAACTGGAAACTTGTGGATCAACAAATTGAGGGTGGAATGACTTCCAGGCAAGGGAGAAACAGGAGGGCGCAGAGAAAGGAACAGGGTACAAAGAACAGCTGTGCAAACAACTTTTGAGTTTTGTCAAAAATTCTCTCCTCTATCACGCTTTCTGCCTGACCCTTCATCCCTGCTCATCTCAGTTCCTCTCTGCTCTCCCTTTTCCACAGCTCAGACCCATAGAAGTGGGGCCAGTCTCCTCTGTCCTATAGGACGTGGCTTAGAAAATTTGCGATATAGGCTGTGAAAACTCTATGGATGAGCCAGGTGTTCATCATGTGCCTGGATTCACCTCACTTCCCTCCATCATAATATTCCCTCCAAGTTCCTTTATGGGATTTCAGCCTGAGATTGTCCTTTCACAGCACATTTTGAATTTTCCACTTGCCTAAAGCCTGTTTTTCCACATACCCTTATCCTGGATACCAAGATATTTCAACCACAACCCCATGCTAACCTGACCCAATCTCGATCCCTAATCTGTCCTTTGAGTTTGCTCCAAGTAGTTTCCTATAGGTTCTAGTCTTAAGGGATTAGGAGAACACTAGAAGCAGTTTGAGTCACCCCTCCATCCCCCAAATATTGGTACAGAAACAGATTTGGAAGGTGCAATCCCCACCCTCTCTAGCAGCAGCAATGTAACCTTCACAGGATTAATTAATTGCCACCCAACAGGAAGAAACAGACTGGGTAAAGCTAGCAGGTGAAGCCTCAGAAGGCTATGGAGGAGAGGGGTTAGAGGAAAGGAAAACAGATGAGCTGAGATATTCCTTAAGGTGCCCCTTGGCTGGGTTGGGTAGGGATTAGCTTAGAATGGAGAGTGTCTGCATCCCTAGGGGCAGAGTCCTCCCCCATGGGGGACAATGGGATCTCCTTAGAAAGGTCCTGGGCATTAGCAATGACTGTGACCCTCTCAGGCCCATCAGCAATTGGGCAGATGGTCAGGGGCTTTTTACCGCTAGACCATAGGCAAAAGAAGGGCCGGAGGGGGCCAGAGAAAGTGACATTGGAGAAAGTATAGATATCAGATCCATCATTCATGTTGTAGAAGGAGATGTCTCCTGATTCATAGTCTAGGAAAATCCCAACCCGGCGTGGGGGCCCTGCCAATGGGAGAGGGGTCCGGAGAGGAGTGAGGGCCCAGTACCCATTTCCATACAACTCTACAGCCCAGAACCCATTCTCAGGAGTCATGGGGTCAAATCCTTTCTTCATCACATTCTCCCTACACACGCCGATTGCCCAGTCAGTCCTGTCTCCCACCTCCACCTCCCAGTAATGCCTTCCTGAGGTGAAGGTCTCACGGCCCAACACACAGGGCCAGGAGTCAAATCTCTCTGTTTTCTCAGGCAGTTTCTGACGTGAATCTTCCAGTCGAACAGATTTTGAATCCTCATAAAGAAAGAGGTGGGGATGAGCTGTGTCTGGGTCCAGAGTCACATCAACTGGAGAGAAAGAAACAGCAGGTCTGACATCAGTGAATATTACAGGTTGCAGGACTGTCTTTCCTTCTCCTAAGAAACAGAACACTGTTGTAGGAGTTGACAGGTCTTCTGGAGGTGGGGGGATGTTTGGCCTGCTCAGGGGTCTCCATTCACCACAGGATCCCCCCTTACCAGCAGCCAGAGGGTGATGTAAGAGCTAACTGTGCCTAGGGCCTAATGGGACTCTGTCGGAAGTGCCATCTTCCAAGGGTTCTCTATGTGCCTCACAGAAACTGTTGAGGCCATCTGTCATCACCGTTTCCCTTCCTGTCCTCATCACTAAAGTGTTAGTGTTTTCATTTCCAAGTATCATAGCACTTTGAATTCCTAGGGGATAGAGCCTCAGAGCCCTAGAGAAGTTCAGAGCCACTGACCTGCATGCAAGGTAGCCTTTTTCCATTCTGCAACAAAAGAGAAAGATAGTCATTGACAGGTTATATAATAAGAGAGAGAAAACTCTGTGGGTGAAATAACAAGAAGACAGAACTTACTGAGTTCTTCCAGGAGTCTCTCTGGAAAACAAACAAAAATACCTCAATGGCTTTCTATAGTGGACGTAAAGGAGGGGACAAAACTCGTGTGGGAAACACACAAAGGAGGAACTGTTTAATTCATGACTATTTGAATATTGAAGCATTGCCAATAAATCAAGAACAAGGATTTTGTTTTGCTTTGTTTTCGAAGAAAGATGCAGGAAGTTCCTACATATTGGAACTGGCTTGGGATCAGATTTTTTTTTTATAGAATCTCATTCTGTTGCCCAGTCTGGAGTGCAGTGGTGCAATCTCTGCTCACTGTAACCTCCATCTCCCAGGTTCAAGCCATTCTCCCGCCTCAGCCTCCCGAGTAGATGGGACTACAGGTGTGGGCCACGACCCTGGCTAAATTTTGTATTTTCATTAGAGACGGGGTTTCACCATGTTGTCCAGTCTGGTCTTGAACTCCTGGCCTCATGTGTTCCACCCATCTCGGCCTCCCAAAGTGCTAAGATTACTACGGGCATGAGCCACTGCGCCCGGCCTCAGATCTTTAATAATAAGATTGGTACTGGGCAATTGAGTTAAAAGTGGGAGTAGGGTCTGAGGGTGGGTAGTGAGTAAACATCAGCCCTGATATCTTGATTAGACTCTGCCTATGCCCCAATCCTCTGTGCTTCTTCATATTGGCATCTGTGACTTCAGGACCCTTATGATTTCCTCCAATTTTCAGAATTCTAGAATCAAGTATCTTCTACTTTTTTTGAGACGGAGTCTTATTCTGTCGCTCAGGCTAGAGTGCAATGGCACGATCTCGGCTTACTGCAACCTCCACCTCCTGGGTTCAAGCAATTCTCCTGCCTCAGCCTCCCGAGTAGCTGGGATTACAGGCACTCACCAATAAGCCTGGCTAATTTTTGTATTTTTAGTCGAGATGGAGTTTTGCCATGTTGGCCGGGCTGATCTCGAACTCCTGACCTCAGATGATCCACCTACCTCGGCTTCCCAAACCGCTGGGATTACAGGCGTGAGCCACCATGCCCAGCCTCAAATATCTTCCTGTCATCCTAAAATAAGTCATTCTAAAGGACTTGGATCCAGCCTGCCTCTGAAGCACTCCTGACACGTAGCCCTTGTGGATTCTATGGTTTACCTTTAGAGCTGAATTCATTCCTCCTCTCTCTGGGTCTTTCGTTGTATAGTCTCCAAGTGAAAAATATGGACCCAATGGTGAGAAGTCCTAGAACCATCAGGATGACAGCCACAGCCACTATCCAGGGAGTCAGCCTTGGGAGGGAGGAAGCTAAAACAAAATCCCCAAGAAGGACATTAGTTGAGAAATTCTGAGCAAGTCCAGCTTTTCTCCACATTCCAAAGGAGGGTAGAAGAGGTGATGGCCTGGACCACTCTCATCCCTCATATAGCAAAAAAATAGTCACTCCAATGCCACTCTAAACTTTTCAGAAAAAAATTGACTTCAAGCAGGAGTCAGCAGAGAAAGAGAGAAATGACGAGTAATTTTGGGACAGGACCTGTGAAATAATAAATATAATGGACCAATTCATGTCATTATGGAAATTCTTCCTTAACTATCAGTGCAGAATGGGAGCCAAGAGGATGAAGGAGGTAAATAAGGAAGGGGAAGTGTGCCTCTGTATGTAACAGAATGGGACTCATTGACCAAAGAATAAGGAAAGGTTTCTGCCTGAACCAGAGACAGTATCTGGGGAATAATGAGAGGATTTTCTTCCCTGAGGACCCTGGAAACCTAGACAGAGCCCTAGCATGGGATAGGAAGGAGAAGTGAGTATGGGTGGAAATGGCAAAAGTAGAAAAATAACTTAGTCTTTTTTTTTTTTTTTGAGATGCAGTCTCGCTCTGTCACCCAGGCTGGAGTGGAGTTCAGTGGCGCAATCTCAGCTCACTGCAAGCTCTGCCTCCCGGGTTCACACCATTCTCCTGCTTCAGCCTCCCAAGTAGCTGGGACTACAGGCACCCGCCACCATGCCTGGCTAATTTTTTTGTATTTTTAGTAGAGGCGGGGTTTCACCATGTTGGCCAGTATGGTCTCGATCTCCTGACCTTGTGATCTGCCTGTCTCGGCCTCACAAAGTGCTGGGATTACAGGCGTGAGCCACCACGCCCGGCCAACTTAGTCTTTTTGTTTACTTGAGGAGAGAAGGCTCTGGATCAGGAAGGCCTCCAGGGACAAAGCTTCTCTATCTCACTTAGATCTCCTGAAATGGAAAATCTGGAATTTCACTGGGTGTGATGGCTCACACCTATAATCCCAGCACTTTGGGAGGCCGAGGCAGGTGGATTGCTTGAGGCCAGAAGTTCAAGACCAGCCTGGGGAACATGGTGAAACCCTGCCTTCGCTAAAAATACACAAAATTAGTTGGGCACGGTGGTGTGCACTTGTCGTCCCAGCTATTCTGGAGGCTGAGGCAGGAGAATCGCTTGAACCTGGGAAGCGGAGCTTGCAGTGAGCTGAGATCATTCTGCTGCTGCACTCCAGTCTAGGCAACAGAGTGAGACACTGTCTCAAAAAATAAATAGATAAATAATCTGAAATTTATTTGAGATCAAGGTAGGTTTATGTCTTCAGTATCTTAACTCTTCTAATAAAGTTGGTGGGGTTCCCTTAAGTCACTGGAAAAGAGCTTAGGTGGGGAAAGTAGACAACTCTGCCATGAGGTCACATCTGGGCAGGTGTCCCAGGTGGTGTGGCTCTGAAGCTGTGTCAACATAGGAATCCAGCAGCATTGGTTCCACTAACCTGGTATGGATATTTCTACTTTCTTCTCCTGGCCAAGAAGGAGATTCTGGATGTAGCAGGACACATTTTTCGCAGAAGTGTCTCTGATGATCACTGAAGCAGCCACAGTGAACAAACCTTCTTCATCAGGATTCCTGGACTCTGATGTAGATGGAAACTTCTCTCCCTTGGAAGTTCTCCACTGCACCTGGGGCTCTGGGTACCATCCCACTGAGGTGCACTCCAGACAGATTTCTCCATTCTCTTGAACTTGCATACTGATGTGAGGGTCAGAGCCCAGAGCTATGGAGAGAGAATCTGGACTTAATGTTTTAGCGGACCCCTTTTGGGAGCCTTATAACCAGAGAGCTACATAGTTTGAGAAAGAGAGAGACAGAAAGGCACAAGTGGACTAGTAGGGGGAAGAACTCATCTCCATATTTCAATATACAAGGAAACTGAGGGCCAGGCACAGTGGTTTATGTCTGTAATGTCAGCACTTTGGGAGGCTGAGGCAGGATTACTTGAGTCCAGGAGATCAAGACCAGCCTGGGCAACACAATGAGACCCCATCTCTTTGGGCATGGTGGTTCTTGCCTGTATTCCTAGCTACTTGGGAGGCTGAGGTTGGAGGATTGCTTGAGTTCAGGAGTTCAAGGCTGCAGTGAGCTGTGATGGCACCACTGCACTCCAGCCTGGGTGACAGAGTGAAATGCTGTTTCTAAAAAAGTTTTTTTTTTTTTTTAAAGGAAATTGAAGTACCAATAAAAGGAATTTCATATACCTTATCAGAGAAGGATGCCTTGTTGGGATCAAGCCTTTGAAATGTTTGCAGCAGTTTGGTGGGCAGACTTGGGGGTGCTTGTCCAGCCAGCAGGAACACTAAGACCAATAACTCAGAGGTGGGTTAGTGGTCTAGGCTGAGAGCATTATGAGAAGACTTTGGTGGGGAGGAGGAGAAATAGGACTGGGTATTTAAGGATGAACAGAGGAATATCCTTGAGGAGAGGATTGGCGATTCTTTGGCTTGAGATTATAGTTGACAATTTAAGCTTTCTTTATCTATGATGTTGATTCAGAAATTTTCTTAAATGGTCTCAACTTCATATTCCCTCACATAATTGTGGCCTGTTATATATAAACATAAAGCTGCTTTTCTTGTGTGTTTAGCCTATTTTTTTCTGTAATTCCACATGGTACAGAAAAACACTGAGCTGCATAAAAGAGCTCTTAAACACATTTCCACAACCACTGGTTAAAATCCACATTCCAAGAATGTGTGTATATACAAGAATATATATTCTTTTCATGGAAGGAGCTGCCACTTTCAGCAGATTCTCAAGGGTGTCTGCCACTCATAAAAGGTAACACATTTTATGCCATCAAATTTCTATGTTTTTATAATCAAGCTTTAAGATACTTCTTCCCTAAAAACAAAATGTCAAAATTTGAATTATACATGATGCTGCAACTGGGGGACCCTGTTGTGAAGCAGGGACCCACATTTCACCCAAGTATTTTTCAAACTTTATATTTACTTGAATATATATCTATGTATATATATATATAATATATGCATATAGATTTAGATAATATATACATATATGATATATATGTGAAAGGCAATATGTTTGTATATTATATGTTTTAGATCAGTTTAAGGCACAGTATAGTATCTAATAAGTCTATAATGTTTTTAGAATTGGCGAGGTCATTTCTCATATATTGTCTAATTTTATTTTATTCTTTTTTTTTTTGTTAGAGACGAGTCTCACTCTGTTGCCCAGGCTGGAGTGCAGTAGTGCAGTCTCAGCTCACTGCAACCTCTGCCTCCCAGGTTCAAGCGATTTTCCTTGAGTAGCTGGGATTACAGGTATGACCCAGCTAATTTCTTTTTGTATTTTTAGTAGAGATGGGGTTTTGCCATGTTGGCCAGGCTGGTCTTGAATATCCTGATCAAAAGTGAGTCACCCGCCTTGGCCTCCCAAAATGCTGGGATTACAGGCGTGAGACACCACATCCCACTTTTTTTTTTTCTTTTTTTGACAGCACACTCTATTGTCCAGGCTGGAGTGCAGTGGCAACCATCAGCTTACTGTAACCTTGAATTTCTTGGCTCAAGAGATCCTCCTGCCTCTGCTTCCCAAAGCGCTGAGATTATAGGAGTTGGCCACTGGTCCCAGACTATTTTATTCTTGAAAAATAATCTTAGATAAAAACATCCTCAGTTTTACAGTAAAAATCAGAAAGAGATTTGCTTGATGTCATTCACTAGGAATTGAGAAAGTCAGACCTCAATGCGTACTTTCCTCCTCAAAGCTTATTATTTTCTTTATTGTTTCCCTTTGAATTCTGGCTTGAAGCAAAAAAGGGAACAAGAACAGAATCTTTTCTATATGAATCAGGAATGTGACAAACCGCCATGCTCTCTAATCTTAGGATGTCAGTCTTTAGAAACTAATCCATAAGCCAGCCTTAAAGTGTGTGGTATGCTCACCACAGCCATAAGATGTGTAATGGTGAGAAATACAATTTAAATGTACAATTCAGGGACTCGATGAAGTAAATTATGGTGTACTTGTATAAAAGAATGTTATATAACTCTTATATGTATTTAATTATTTCATGAAGAAATGCTTACCCTATTATTGAAAAAGGGCTGGAGATAATTGAAATAAAGTTCTACAATAAAGACATTGCACTGTTCTCTCCATGTTCAACTCAAAACCCTTTCTCACTGATTTCCTACTGTAGGACCTTCAGTACCTTCTAGCTGTGGAGTCCTAATCAGGGGAAAACAAAGAGATAAGGCAGATAAGCTGCAAGTCTGCCTTTCTTCATGGTCCAGTACACAGCCCTCCTGTGCAAATAACTCACAGTCATCCTTCCTGTGTCCAACTATCACCAAACACCTGCAAGTTAGCTCACTGCAACCTTTGCCTTATAGATACTGCACAAAGCCATCTTCAACAGACAGCATAAAAACTATTCTATAAATTATCCAGCAAGCCTTTGTTTCCTGGCAGTCAGCTTCTCTTTTGCTGATCCTGCCTTTTGCCTCCTCGAAAAGTATTTTCATACTTTTAAAAGTAAATCTGCCTTTCTTTACAACTGTCTTGGTAAATTCTTTTACCCCCCCTCGCCTCCCGCCCAGATAGTCGTCCCTCCCCGGCGACATCAACCTAAAAGAGATTTTGAGAATGAATCTGATGGTTTCCAAAGTAACTGATCCATACGAAAGTGTATACAGCAGGGGAGTCGTCGGAGAAAGTCAAAACCCGTCTACTCACCAGCCACCTTCAGATGCACCAGGGCTTCTTCGTAGCTTCCATCCTCCCTGAAAAAGCACGTGTACTCCCCGTCGTCAGAGACTCTGACGCCACGGATCCTCAAGGCCACGCGCCCCTTGGCGATGCCGTCCTGGACCAGCGTCGCCCGCCCGCGGTACTCGGGCATCTGCTCGGCTTCCTGCTCGCGCCCGTCCCTATGCACCAGCACGGCCGGCGAAACCTTCTTTCGGAACCAGCGTAGCTCCAAGTGCTCGGCGCTCGCGTTCGGAGACAGGCGACAGGGCAGCTCGGCGTCCTCACCCACAACGGCCAGGATGGGCTCCGGGGGTCCAATCACGTCAAAGGGAGCTGCCGAAAAACGAGCGGGATCAGACGGGATGTGGAGATGGGAACTACGGACAGACACCGACCAGATTCCCGCCAAAGCGCAGTGCCCCGCGCTCTCTTACTCCTTTGACAGCTGAGTTTGTCTGGATCCAGTGGAGGTCTCCAGGGAGAGCCAAGTGGGATTGTTTATTTTACATTTATTGATATATTTCAACTATGCAGCCCAGAGAGAGAGAGAGACTTACCTGAATCCAGTTTGGGCAGCTGGAGGAGAATGAGGGTGAGCAGACATCTGGGGAGACCGGAGCTTGGGAAAACTGCCATCTCCCACCCTTCTGGAGCAGCAAGATAACTGATGTGAGTCCCCTCAGGAGCTTCAGCCTAGGAGATGAATGGACAGGAGACAACTACCGGCTCTGTCAACCCTCCGCTTTCCAAAGTCCTCTCTACAGTTCTTTCCAGCTGCAAGTGTTCTGGTCATTTGCCCCTGAAACCTCCTCTCAGCCTCCATCCCCAGTATGGATTTTTAGTTTACACTGTGGTTATCACCTTCCCACCCACTACTCTAACTCTAAAACTTAGGAGAAGGGAACTGTGAGGCATAACACTCATTAGTTGGTTGCATATCGATGAACAAATCTTGGAATCACTGCACTAAAAAAAAAGTCTCCTTTTTATTTATTTATTTATTTATTTTTGAGACAGTCTTGCTCTGTTGCCCAGCTTGGAGTGCAGTGGCATGATCTCGGCTCAATGCAACCTCAGCCTCCTGGGTTCAAGCGATTGTTCTGCCTCAGCCTCCGGAGTAGCTGGGACTACAGGCGCGCACCACCATGCCCCGCTATTTTTTGTATTTTCAGTAGAGACGGAGTTTCACCACGTTGGCCAGGCTGGCCTCGAACTCCTGACCTCGTGATCCACCCGCCTTGGCCTCCCAAAGTGCTGGGATTACAGGCGTGAGCCACCGTGCCTGGCCAAAGTCTTTTTTCAAATACAAGAATTTGGTATTTGCTTTTGGCAATGATAATAAAGATAAGGGTATAAAGGCAGAAATGGAGTCCAAGGAAATGAATTGGAGAAGAGAGAAAAGATGGGAGGAGATGGAGCAAGAAGCAGGAGCTGAAGCAAGCAAAAGGGCTTGAAGAGTAGAGGGCCTAGGACCAAGGAGAAAGGAGCTGGAGGGAGAGAAGTATGCTATGCCCCTCTGGCTGCTCACTCCCTCAGGGAGCTGAGAGTAACCACACATACTGACCTGGGTGATCTTGGAGAAAAAGGCACAAGAGGCCACTGCTACCAAGTGAGAAAGCTGGCTGTGGCCCCCGGGGCAAAAGTTAAAAGCCAGCAGGAAAAGGAAGCGGGAGGTGCTCTCAGGAAAGCCTGCCTCCAGGTGGCCTGGTATATTCACTCTGAGGAAAAAAAAAAGGGAGATGAAAAGTTTTTCAGAGAGATGGAAAACTGGATTTGTGGTCTTCAGCTCAGAAATCAAGATATGCATTGATGAGCTGGACCAAATGAAAGGCAGAAAAGAGAAAAAGAGAAGAGAGGCAAGGAAACACACAAATGAGATGTGATGGCTTCAGCCAGTTATTTCCTCTTTCCAAGCCTCAGTTCTTTGATCTCTAAAATGGTAATAATATTGATCATACCTTTCTTGAAGAGGTGTTGGGAGGATTAAGTGAGATTAAGCAGGTAAAGTGCTTAGCACATAGTAGGAACTCAGCGGAGGATAAATTGTTATTCTATTATTATTTCTGCGGGTTGAAAAATGAAAGCCCAGAGGCCAAGGTAGCAGTAGCCTCTGTCTATAGCCATCTTCGTTATTGGAGCGTCCGTCCACCTTAGGTGCTGTGTCTGTTGGAACAACTCCATTAAAGGCCAGTCTTAAGGGTAGGCTGTGAATTCTGTTTACAGGGCCCAAAAGTTGCCTCCCTGACAATTATTTCTTTTGAAGCAACTCATCATGAGGCCTACAATTCCTTAATTTATACTAAACCTACCTCTCATTGTTATGAAAAAATTTAAAAATACAGAAAAATATTTTTATAAAATGGAGGTCACACTTAATCTACTAACTAATGATAGCCTCAATTCACATTTTGGCATAGTCCTTCCAAGATTTATTTTATGCTTATGTATATCATAAAAGCAATCAATTAGACTTTTTGTGTAACTCAAAATATTGTTAATAGTTGTATAATTGCCATGATTGTGGGACATTTGGGATTTTTTTCCTATTGTAAATAATACACTTTATATATAAGTCTTTATTTGCAAATTGGATAATGTCCTGATAAACTGTTTAATAAATTTCCAGAAATAGAGTCATCAGATCAAATGGTATAAGCATATTTCTTTTCTTTTCTTTTTTTTTTTGAGACGGAATCTCACTCTGTCGCCTAGGCTGGAGTGCAGTGGCGTAATCTTGGCTCACTGCAACCTCCGCCTCCAGGGTTCAAAGGATTTTCCTCTTGCCTCAGCCTCCTGAGTAGCTGAGATTACAGGCACGTGCCACCATGCCCAACTAATTTTTGTATTTTAGTGGAGACAGGGTTTCACCATGTTGGCCAGGCTGGTCTCGAACTCCTGAGCTTCAATGATCTGCTTGCCTTGGTCTCCCAAAGTGCTGGGATTACAGGTGTGAGCCACCATGCCCGACCTAGTATCAGCATATTTCTACAGTCCCTTCCTGAAATGTTGAATCCATCACACCCTCAATGGAGGTGCCCTCACCTAATCCCTGCTAGCACTGAGAAGTTATTATTTCACATCCTTACTATTGGGATGGGTCAAGTTAATTAAATTATTATTTATTGTGCCTTTATATGTTAGCGAGGCTGGAGTTTTTTATGTGTTAATTAGACATTTAATACATTCTAGAAATGAGCTGTTCAGGCCAGTTGCCCATTGTTTTCAAGACTGGTCCTGGTGCTAGTTCTTAGCAATCTGTGTGAATTTTAATAACTTAAAAATATCAATCCTGTATTATATTTGTAACAAACATTCTTCCCAGTTTTGTTATTTATCTTTGAGTTGGAATTGTGATTAAGACAAAAGACAGTTGCTCCATTTCACCCACCAGACTGCCAAGAGAATGATCTTTCCCAAATGCAAATCTGATCATATCACTTTTTGCTTAAAAATCCTTCCACATCTCCCTAGTGACTTCAGCATCAAGTTTATGCACCTTAATCTGGTTAGGAAAATACTGTAGGTCTAGCTTGATCTGGTCAAGAAAATACTCTGGCAGTCTCCTTGCTTCTTTCCTGAGGGCTTTTTCTCCATTCCCCTTCTCCTTCCCTGCTTGTCCACCCACAGGCTGAATTTGGAGTGGGTGTGGTTACCTCAACCCACAATGCCTCTCAGGCCTCCAGATAGCAGTGCTTGCCTTCCCCCTTCCAGAATATTCTGTCTCTTCTTAACTTTTTTTTTTTTTTTTTTTTGAGATGGAGTCTCACTTTGTCACCCAGGCTGGAGGGCAGTGGCACAATTTCAGCTCACTGCAACCTCTGACTCCCAGGTTCAAGCATTTCTCCTGCCTTAGCCTCCCAAGTAGCTGGGACTACAGGCGTGCCCCACCACGCCTGGCTTTGTTGGTATTTTTGGTAGAGGTGGGGTTTCCCAATGTTGGCCAGGCTGGTTTTGAACTCCTGACCTCAAGTGATACACCCGCCTCGGTCTCCCAAAGTGCTGGGATTATAGGTGTGAGCCACCGCGACTAGCCTGTTCCCTCTTATCTTTATGATGAACTCCTATTCTTCCCTCAAAAGCTCATGTAAGGGCTGCACCTTCTGCAATGTCTTTCAGACATTGCATCAAGCAGATGCAACCTCACTTCTAGGGCTTCTCCTGATTAGCCTTTGTCCCCTCCAAGAGAAGTAGGCTTTCCTGGAAGATGGGCCAGGTGTATCCTGTGACACTTGGTCCCTTTCTCATGGCAGACACCTGATCTGAGCCCTAGTTTCAGAAGCAGATGTGTTTATTGTCATCTTTTGTTTCCAAGCTTGTCTTCCCCTCTTAAACTGAGCTTTCCTAGTTCTTACTCCCTGTCTTCTCATCAGCACATAGACTGAAATAGAATTTGTGGCTTCATTCAAACCCATCGTTCCTTAGCCTTCCTAGTTTGAAAGGCTCCTGTCCCATTTTCCTCTTCATGCTTAACTTTCTGATCATATCACCTATAATCTATTTCCCCTTCCTCATTTCACTTCTCTTATCAGCCCCTTTCAATGATACTTTTGTCTCATGCTTCATATTCTCATAAGACATTGTTTTCAGGGGGGAAAAAGAGCTTTTACTTGCAACTAACGGAGCCATACTGAAAAGAAAGGGTCTGGGGGAAAGAAGAAGAAAGTACTTGGAGCTCAAGCTATTGCATAACAGACACTATTTTGATTGGATAGCATCTGGGTCTTTTTGACAGAAACCAAGTCATCAGTCTTACACAATGAAAGACAGGATCTCTAAATTTCCCAAGGTTTAGAGAACAGAACCTCTAGGATGCCCCTAGGATGCCCCTGCCTGTCATGGTTCCTGAATGGGAGAGGCCTTGTGAAGTGGTGCTGCTCTTAGGAAGTTCCTGCTCTTCCCAGGCCCACTGCGAGATAGAAACAAAAACTTCTTCTTCTTAGACATGAAATCATTTGGGCTGAGGAATATGATATGCTTCATATGGAACCTAATGATAAAATGTCAGCATTTGTTTCCCCTCCCTGCTTTTCACTATAATCTGTTCAAATTTCTCAGTGTTATCCTCATGTCAAATTCAATGGTTACTCTCGTTCTCATCTTACTTGACTTTCATCACTGAGGCAACCATTTGAGTCTATTTATTTATTTTGAGACGGAGTCTTACTCTGTCGCCCAGGCTGGAGTGCAGTGGCACAATCTCGGCTTACTACAACCTCCTGGGTTAAAGCGATTCTCGTGCCTCAGCCTCCCAAGTAGCTGGGATTATAGACATGCACCACCATGCCTGGCTAATTTTTGTACTTTTAGTAGAGATGGGGTTTCACCGTGTTGGCCAGGCTGGTCTTGAATTCCTGACCTCAAGTGATCTGGCTGCCTTGACCTCCCAAACTGCTGGGAATACAGGTGTGAGCCACCACGCCCAGTCAACGTCTTTTCTTTTTAAATGTGGTTCAGTTGTTTTATGTGGTACTTATCTACATATTTCTCAAGACAATATCATTCTGTCAAAGTTTTTAAAAAAGCTCTTTATATGTATTACATGTATTTAAAAAAAAAACCAAATGGGACAAAGTGCTTTTAAGAAATGTCAGTTCCACTTCCCACTTCCAACCTATTACTCCTGAATCCCCAGAAACAGCTTCTTTAAGTGCTCAGTTGTTTTATCTGGTACTTATCTGCATATTTCTAGAGACAATACCATATTTATGCTGCTATTTCTCTATATATCCATTTCTAGATATTACTTTTCTATACCCTATTATGATCAATTATGATTTAGCTCTCTTATACCACCAGTAGTAATACATCACAAATTCTGTTCCATATTTCCAATACTGTGGCTATGTAACTATAGTTTTACGGGACCAAGTATCATATATGATTACATTTATTTTCATGTACAACCTCTTGTTTTTTTAGGAGTAGGGAGGGGGTGAAATGATTCATTTTTGTTCCTTTGTTTAGTTTTCTTTATTCCCCTCACAGGTTTTTCCCACTCCTCTAATTGACTCTAAGCACAGTTTCCATAGTCAAGCATATCAGGTAATTTATCAATCCCCTCTCTTCATTCTTCCCAGAGCAGCACTTGGGTCTTACTGAAAAAGAGATTCTGATTTAGTAGGTCTGGAATAGGACCAGGATTCTCACTGCTAGTTGCTCTGGTCCACAGGTCCACAGGGCAAGATCTACTGCCTACAGCTCTTTTTTTTTTTCTCTTTCTTGAGTGGGGGTGGTGTTCGGTGTAGGGTGTGGGGTTGGGGGGTGGTCTTGCTATGTTGCCCAGGCTGGACTCAAAATTCCTGGGCTCAAGGGACTTCCCACTTCAGCCTCTCCAGTAGCTAGGAATACAGGCACGTGCCACTGCACCCACCCAGCTATAGCTCTTTATCTTGCTCCTTATTCAGAAGCTTTCTGTGAAGAGGCAGCTACCAGCTTTGCATGAATTATGGAGATGCCTCTGAGGGATGGTTGTGGCTCAAGGTCTTGGGCTTGTTATACATGTGGCCATACTGAGCCAAGACAAAGGACTGGGGTGAATGGGCATCATGTACAATACTGTATTCTTCTGTGGCTTACTAGTGAGCTTTGTGGTCAGCTGCTCTTTCTTGGGGGCACACACTATTGATATGGTAGTAATAATCAGATATGACCTAATGGTGCTTCAACATTATTACAGTGACATAATTCCGCTATTTACCAAGCCCGTGTTAAAATTATACATACAGAGTTTGTATAATGTTATAATTATAATTTGTGTAATTTATGCACAACAGCTTGCATATGTGAAGGTGGAGGGGAAGTGAAGTGAAGATGGTGTGGAGATGAAGATGGTGGACTTCTGTGTGGAAGAGGGGTTAGCAGGGGTTTGCCCTGGGGAAGCAAAAGGCTGAGATCTGGTAGAGTGTGGACGTCCCTGAATTATATTCTTGGAAGTACTTTTGAAATGGAGAGTTCCTAGAACAAGAGGGGTAGACAGGGAACTTATGGGAGCCAATAAATTGAGGTTGGATTGAGTAAGAGAGAAAGAGTTCAGGGAAGGGATCAAGGTTGCGTGGACCACTGTTTGAGTTCTGCCCAGAATTTATCCCATTGCAGCCTCTGAGCTATCTTCCATATCTGTTCATCTTAGTCTTTCTTACTGTTACCTGGTGGGGTAGATCCTTCCAAAACAGGTGTACATTCTCCCGCGCGAGGACAGGCTATGATAAATGTGAAAATGCAAGACTTAGACATCTTAGGAGCAGCCTATGAATTCATTATTGTCCTGACTTCACCCTACTTTCCTTTTTTTGGTAGAGACAGGGTCTCAAATATTCTTCATTTTCATATATCGTGAGGCCTTGAGCCCTTGGGAGGAAGGAGCTCAGAATCCTGGAGAAGTGAAGACTCTCTGACCTGGACACAATTGTGCTCTTTTCCATTTTGCAGTAACGGAGGGGTTTATAAAAGGTTTGTTGTCTGTGGAACAATAGGGGTAAAAACTCAGAATTTTTCAAGCCCTTTGATGAGTGTATTTAGAAAATGAAAAAAAAAATTATCATTTGAGTTAAAGATGTCGGAAGGAAGATGGAATGTGTGCATGAAACACACAATGAAACAACTGTTCCCTTCTGTGAATACCTGATTACTGAAACATTATCAGTAAATCATGAACTTGCTTTTTGTTTCAGTTTTTGTTCTTAGAAATCTGTGGGAAGTTCCTTTTGGCTTTAGATGCTAGGAAATTTTGCTGTACCTGGGAACGAAAAGTCTTAGGGCCAAGTTTGGGGTGGGTAGAGTGGCACTGGGAGGATTATAGTGGGCTCTGACCTGTGGCCGTGCTGAACCTCATCAGCTGGAGCCCCCTGGAGCCCAACCAAGTGGGTTTATGGATACTTGTTACAGCAGCCTGGATTCCACACACTGTGGGCAGATTCCACACACCATGGGGAATTGGAAGGTGGAGCACATCACCCACGAGAAAGTATGGGAGGAATTTGTTGTAGGTGATTTGGGAGATGTTCAAGAAAGCAATGGATTGATCTGGATGAATGTCATGAAGCATTAGACAATGTTTTGTGTGTTTTTGTTTTTGAGACAAGGTGTCACTTTGTCACCCAGGATGGAGTGCAGTGGTGCCATCTCAGGTCACTGAAACCTCCACCTCCCGGGCTCAAGCGATCCTCCCTCCTCAACCTCCTCAGTAACTGGGATTACAGGTGTGTACCATCAAACCCAGCTAATTTTTGTATTTTTGGTAGAAATAGGGTCTCACTATGCTGGTCTTGAACTCCTGGGCTCAAGCTATCCTCCTGCCTCTGCCTCCCAAAGTGCTGGGATTATGGGAGTGAGCCACCGTGCCCGGCCCTATTCCAGTGCTTTTTATTAGGAGGTAGGAGAACAGAGAAGGCTCAAGTTGTAGTTGGTAAAGAAGCAGCAGTTACTCTGGTTAGCCAGGAGAGGGGTATGTATGGTCATTTTGTCTGTGCTCTGGCATGATTATGAAGTGGTCTTGTTTTTATCTCACTCAGTCACAGTCACAGAATAGCCTTGTTTGATATTTAGTGCTCTGTGAAGTTTCTTACTTTCAGTAGGAAACACACAGCCTAGCTGGGAGTGCCTGACCTGTTCTCAGCTGATAGCTGTCAGGCCTGCTTTTTTTCTTTCTCAATCAGAGCCCTCATTCTCTTTCAGGTCTAAAAGGTATTTGGCTTTTTTTTTTTGGAGACAGAGTCTTACTCTGTCCTGCAGGCTGGAGTGCAGTGGCTCGATCTCTGCTCACTGCAACCTCCGCCTCCTGGGATCAAGGGATTCTCTTGCCTCAGCCTCCTGAGTAGGTGGGATTACAGGGGCCCGCCACCACACCTGGCTAATTGTTGTATTTTTAGTAGAGATGGGGTTTCACCATGTTGGCCAGGCTGGTCTCAAATTCCTGATCTCAGGTGATCTGCCCACATTGGCCTCCCAAAGTGTTGGGATTACAGGCTTGAGCCATTGCGCACAGCCATATTTGGCTTTTATAACTTTTATTGTCCCTTCCATTTTGAAAAACCTAGAATCATTTTCTAGATTCCAGATGTATACATTTAGATGACTTTTGATTGGAAATCATCATAAAGTGTGTGAATCCAAGCACATGTTTAAGGTTTAAATCCCCACCAGGATGGAACATTCCTGACAAATAGCCTGGTATGGTGAAATGGACCAGGAAGTAAATTCATCGTTTCTGTTTTCCCCCCATTTCATTTCTGAAAGAAAAATTATTGTCTAAATGGGAAGTCTGAGGCATGTTACAGTCACTGAGCAGAGAATCACTCTTAGAGTAAGGGAGCTAAAACAAAATACCCCAGAAAAGTTGATGAGAAACTCTGAGGAAGTATTTTCCCCCTAATTGCACGATTGGTGTGGGAGTCGGGGGCGACTCAGGGCCTTCTGTGACTGCTGCATCTGTCCTCCAATCCATTCTTCCCTCCTACAGCAAGAAACAGTGGCTCCAAGTCCAACCTGATCATCTCAAAAAAGTTTTGAATCTTTCTGAGAGAGAGAAGGAGGGAGATAAGCAAGAGATATTATGAGAAAGGGCTTGTGAAAAAAAGAAACAAAAAAAATAAACCATTGGAGTTGATGTTTAAATCCCTCCAAGCTAATAAATACAGTATGGGAAATGAGGAGGATCAGGAAAGTGAGAATAAGGGGAGGTGAGTAGGAATGGGGAAAATGTGACATGAAGTGGCAAGGGGTCTCGTCTTTGGAGATTCTTCTGTCTTCCCTTTCTCTACCTTCTCAAGAGTCACACAGAATCAGGAATAAGTCAGCTTCCTGAGGAGCCCCTCTCTGCTTTTTAAACAGGCACTATTGAGATGTTACTTTCCTTCAGGTATTGGTTATTTATTTATTTATTGAGACAGTGTCCTGCTTTGTTGTCCAGGCTTGGTTACTGCAGCTTCAACCTCTGGGCTTAAATGATCCTCCCACCTCAGCCTCCCGAGTAGCTGGGACTAGAGATGTGTGCCACCACACTCGGCTGTTTTTATTTTTTTTATTTTTTGAGATGTAGTCTCACTCTGTCACCCAGGCTGAAGTACAGTTGTGATACCCTACCTTGTTCTAACCTGAATTGACTCTCCCTTAGCTGAGAGAGCCAGACAAACTCCATTTTGGCTTCTTCACCTGCAGCCCCTTACCCACCCCCTTCCTCAAGGAGTTAACTTGTGCAAGCTAACTCCCAGCACATCAAAGAATGCATTTAACTGATAAGATACTGTGGCAAGCTATATCCACAGTTCCCAGGTATTCGCCCGGTTGATAGTACCCTAAGCCCCCACATTTGTATCCGGTTGATGGTATCCAAAAGGCCTGCATCTATCACCTTATGATGGATTTAAAGCCCCTGCACCTGGAACTGTTTGTTTTCCCATAACCATTTGTCTTTTAACTTTTTTTGTCTGTTTTACTTCTGTAAGATTGCTTCAGCTAGGCTCCCCCTCCTCTTTATAAATCAAAGTGTAAAAGAAAATCTAGCCCTTTCTTGGGGGCCAAGAGAATTTTGAGCGCTAGCCATCTCTCAGTTGCCGGCAATAAAGGACTCCTGAATTAGTCTCAAAGTGTGGCATTTCTCTATAACTCGCTTGGTTACAACACAGTGGTGCTATCTCAGCTCACTGCAACCTCTGCCTCCTGGGTTCAAGCAATTCTTCTGCCTCAGCCGCAGGAGTAGCTGGGCCTATAGGCGCGTGCCACCACTCCCAGCTGATATTTGTATTTTTGTAGAGACAGGGTTTCACTATGTTAGCCAGGCTGTTTTTTTTAATTTTTAGTAGAGACAAGGTCTCGCTCTGTTGCCCAGGCTGGTCTTGAACTCCTGAGTTCAAGTGATCCTCCCGCCTTGGCCTCCTAAAGTGCTGTGATTACAGGCCTGAGCCACTGCACCCAATCTGTGTTTTTTGTTTTTGTTTTGTTTTGTTTCTTAATCTTCAGTTTCTTTAAGTGGAGATTTTTGGAGCAAGTTTCATATCTCTAAAAACTCTGGAATAAGTGGCTAACTCTGGCCATGTGGTCACTGCTATGAAGGTGTTGGTTTTGTTTTGTTTTTTTAATTTAGGCAGGTGTTGGAAGGGGGGACCCTGAAGGCATGAGAACTCATCATCAGACTAGATCAGCCACACTCAGCTGAGACCCAAAAGATGAACAATAATAAGAGTTGTTGTAAGTCAGTGAGTTTGGGGTGATTTTTTACTCAGCGATGGCTACACAATACAGAAATTGATACTTGAAAGTGAGGTGTTACAATATTGAAAACCAAAAATACGTGGCATTGATTTTGGATAGGCGGGAGCTAAAAAAAATCTTAATAGGAAGCTGAAAATGGCTGGAAACTGTTATGGAAGGTGTGGTATAATATGAAATATATTTGGTCTTTGTACTGAGAAAAAAACCCTTGAAATGTCCTGAGTGAAAATTCTTAGGAGTGTCTTTTGTTATTCATAGTGAGCCAATTAGATAACACCTGAGCTATTAAATTCGATAAGTTAGGGTAGGGCCCCTAGATAGCCTCAGGACAGGGCCAATCACCAGAAAGACTAAGTGATCAGAGGAGTAGAGGGTTAGAACTTTTAGCACCACTGGCCAACCTCCAGGAAATGGTATGGGGTTTGCAGACAAAGCTCTACACAAACTATACAACTATATAACTGTCACACCTGTCACTGTGAAGAGACCACCAAACAGGCTTTGTGTGAGCAACAAGGCTATTTATTTCACCTGGGTGCAGGCGAGCTGAGTCCGAAAAATGAGTCAGCAAAGGGTGGTGGGGTTATCACTAGTTCTTATAGGTTTGGGATAGGTGTACAAAGTACATTCTTAAGGGTGGGGGAGAATATTACAAAGTACCTTCTTAAGGGCCGGGGAAACTATATCGTATCAGTTAGGGTGGGGCAGCAACAAATCACAATGGTAGAATGTCATCAGTTAAAGCTAGTTTCACTTCTTTTGTGGATCTTCAGTTGCTTCAGGTCATCTGGATGTATACGTGCAGGTCACAGGGGATATGATGGCTTAGCTTGGGCTCAGAGGCCTGACAATAACTATACAACTACAGCTCTCTGTGAGCTTCCAGATTGTTTAGCACATGGAGGTGCTTAGAGAATGGTATGCCCAGAAAGGGCATGGACACTCCGTGTCGCCCTCCCATCCACACACATACCTTGTCCTGTCCATCTCTTCATCTGGCTGTGGAGCTTATCTTTTGTAATATTCTTTACAATAACCCAGTAAATGTCTGCAAGGAGATGTTTAGCAAAAAAAAATAAATAAATAAAAATAAGTGAATAAACAAGTAAATGTAAGTAAGCATTTCTCTGAGTTTTGAGTCATCCTAGCAAATTAATGAACCTCCCTGCTAAAAAGAGGTCGTGGAAACCCTGGTTTGTAGCTGTTGGGTCAGAAGAATGGGTGGCGCAGATTTTAGAATGGCATCTGAAGTGGGTGCAGTCTTATTGGACCCAGCCCCCAACTTGTGAGATCTGTCACTATCTCCAGGTAGATGGTGTCAGAATAGAATTATAAGATACCCAATTGGTGTCCACTGGATAATTGCCTTGTGGTTAGCAGAGGCCAACCCCATATGTCTGATCACAAAAGTGTTCTGTGTTTGAGTGTGTGAGTAGAGGGAGAGAAAACCTGCTTTTTTCCCTCAGAGAAGGCTAGAAGAAATGGCGACCTGTGTTATGTATTTACCAAATATTTATTCAAACTGTTGCCTGTAGAACTTGAGAGATATAAAATGTCATCTAATGAACTTTTGGATTTAGGCAAAGAAATTTCCAGGCAAAATGTTGGATATGTGAGTTAATTGCTTTTAGTTGCATACAAGATACTGCAGGAAAGAGGTGGGCTCAGGAAAGAATGGGCAAGTTTTGTTTTTTTTGAGACAGGGTCTTGCCCTGTCACCCAGGCTGGAGTGCACTGGTGCAATATCGATCTCGCTCACTGCAACCTCTGCCTCCCAGGCTCAAGTGATTCTTGTGCCTCAGCCTCCCTAGTAGCCGGGACTACAGGGATGCACCACCACACCCGGCTAATTTTTGTATTTTTAGTAGAGACAGGGTTTTGCCATGTTGCCCAGGCTGGTCTTGAACTCTTGGCCTCAAGCAATCCACCCTCCTCGCCCTCCCAAGGTACTAGGATTATAGGTGTGAGCCACTGGGCACGGCCCAGGCAAGCTTTTAAGTAGAATTTAGAAGATAAAGAACTTTGAGCTTCTGGGTTGAAAAATAAAACTGTTTTTCATCTATGAGTGTAGATGAGACAGTAGATCTCCAGCCAGCAGTTGACATACTCTGGGAGCAAAGATGAAATTCAGGGACTGCCATGTAAGATATGGCTTCTGGCTTAAGATCAAATGATGGGTGTGGCTGTAACATACTTCTTTATTATTATTATTACTGTTATTATTACAGCCCAGTGTAGACCAAAATACTTTTCAAATCCCTTGAAAGGAATAAGGTAATGTACAAGAGGGTTTCTGGGTAGCTTAAAGGGTGTGGACCCATAACAGCTTGCTGTACCCCAAATAAGATTTAGAGAAAGAGGTATTTCTCTAAAATAATTTGGGTGTTGCTTTTGACATGCGAGTGAACTCAAATCAAATACAAAGAAAACTCACAAAGCCTTGAGAAAACTGTATTGACAAAGTCAGCCTACATTAGAAGAGACTGAGATTGTTTGGACTCCCAATTTTGAATGCCATGAAGCTGGCCGAGAAAGTTACTCAGCAGACCAAAATGGTTTATTCTCTAAAGTTCTCTTCAGAAGGGGCTGAGGAGGATGGAAAATGAAGACTCTCCCAAAGGGTGGAACCAAGAGCTGTGGAGGACAAGGACACCAGAGCCACTCCCAGTGAACAGAACCACAGCCTAATCAAGGAACAGACTCTATCACAAAGTAAGGAAGAATGGCAACATTTGCCCAGTGGGATTTCATTTCATAATTGCTGTGGAACTGTGACAGCTATGGGTCTCCAATAATTCTCTCTCAAACGGAAGTTAATGTGGTAATTCTGCCTCTATTCCACCATTGTACATTGGGTGTGTGTGTGTAATGCAGGGATCTATGCTGATGGTGGATGGACTTACCCTTTTTTTGTTCATTGGTCTCCAGATCAAGAGGAGCTGGATCAAGCCTCAGGTAGAACATGAGGTGCTGGACTTTAAGAATGATGACAGGATGGGTAAGACTTTTGAAGGTCCCGTGATTGGGATTGAATGTATTGATATTTTTGTATGTGTGAGAGACATGAATAATTATGGCCTAGAGATAGGTTGTGGTTGAAGGACTTATTGGCCATCCCTGAAACCTTTGCAATGCTTCTTCATGGGTGAAATATATGTCCTACCTCTTGACTCTAGGCTTGCCCATATGACTTTTTTGGCCAGTAGCATGTGGGTGAGAATGATAGTGTGCCAGTTCTAATCATAGGACTTAAAAGCCTCACGACTGTCACTTCTCATCCTCTTCTGTCTCTGCTGGCAGCATGAGAAGTAGATACCTTGGCTTGCTTACTGGTCCCAGGAGGTTGGTAGATTCATAGAGCAGAGGTATTCCAGTTGACACATAAACTGGCAGGTGAGAAGTAGAGCACCCTATCTGAACTTAACTTAGATTAGCCAAACCCAAGTCATCTTGTAGAAATGTAAGCAATAGATATGCTTGCTTTTTAAAGCCACTGAGTTTTTGAATGGTTTACTAAGCAACAATAGCTAATTGATATAGATGAGTAGGATTTAGAAAAGAAAAAACAAAACAGTTTCTTTTTTATTTTATCTGGAAATATTCAGAAACGAAAAGACTTAAATTTTCCAGACCTCAGTTTTATCAACCACAATATGGACTTAATAATCTCTATCTCAGCCTGGGCAACATAGTGAGACCCTGTTTCCACAAAAAAATAAAAAATTAGCTAGGTGCGGTGGCATGCGCTTCCCACCCCAACTACTCAGGAGGCTGAGGTGGGAGGATTGCTTGAGCCCAGGAAGTTGAGGCTGCAATGAACCATGATTGTACCACAGCACTCAAGCCTGGGCAAGAACGAGACTCTGTCTCAAAGAAAAAAATAAAATAAAATAAAATAAATAAACTGTCTCACAGGGTTGTCATGAGAACTCTAAAAGAGTGAATAGAAACATTCTATAACTTAAACACACATGCACACACAAATTCATTTTAAAAAGTCCTCAGGTTTAACTCTCTTTGTACAGATGAAGAAACAGAGACACCATGAAGATAAGACTGATATGGTTTGGATCTGTGTCCCCACTCAAATCTCATCTTTAATTTTAATCCCCATGTGTTGAAGAAGGGACGTGACGGGAGGTGATTGGATCATGGGGGCAGTTTCCACCATGCTGTTCTCGTGATAGTGAATGAGTTCTTACGAGATCTGATGGTTTAAAAGTGTGACACTTTCCCTCTCACCCCTCCCTCTCTCTCTCCTGCTGCCTTGTGAAGAAGGTGCTTGCTTTTCCTTCACCTTTTGCCACAACTGTAAGTTTCCCGAGGCCTCACAGCCATGCAGAACTGTGAGTCAATTAAATCTCTTTTATTTATAAATTACCCAGTCTCAAATAGTTCTTTATAGCAATGTGAAAATGGTCTAATAAAATGACTTTTTAAAAATACAACCAGCGAGACCACGGCTGAATTTCTCTCTTCCTGAAACTTAGTGTTGTACCCTTTCTTTAAACAAAACTGTTCAAAGAGTATCAGCAATACCAGAAATAAATGAAAAAAGCATACAACTCCTCTAGAGCTGCAGCCATAAAAGACCGGTTTTTATACTTTCCTATTAAATATTTCCAGATCTGACTACTGCATTAATGATGGTTTTGACCAACATTGATAAGTTTATTTTTTTAAAACATTTTTTTTCCAGGTCATTATTACAAAAATGCATTATTGAATTGGTTTGAATCCAAAACACTACCCTTGAAGCCATCACTTTAGATGCCCGGCTCACTTTTAGTCCCCTCCAGCTACTGAGGATGAACCTAATGATAGCCCGGGTTCACTACTTACTTGCTTGCCAGTAAGCTCAAACTCAGGTCATGGGTAACCATGCCTACAGCCTTAGTTATTCTAGGATCACCTGAACCAAGTCAGCTTATCATGAGTTTGTTCTCCTGGAAACTTAGAGTACAATATTCCTTCATCCCAGTTCTAGGCCTGGAGATTTCCAGCGTGGACTGGAAATCTTTGAGGTTGGGTGGAAATGGGCTGTCAACTCCTGGGCCTCATAGCTGTCATGGTGGGATTTAATCAGGCTCACAGCTGTTTCCCTCTCCCAGCTTTCTATCCACTTCTGTCTCTGACCTTCATTTGTGGTTTCCTCTTCTCCTTAGGAGGCCCCGTAGTTCTCTCTCTGTCTCTCTCTCTCTCCCCCCACCCCCCCCCCATATATATAGAGAGAGGACTGTAAGTCCAAGCGTACAGTGTCAATCAAGCATTAGGTTGAATGTGCCACCCTGATGTTAAAGCAAGTGGTTTACAACATGTCATTTTCTCACACTTTTCTCCTTGGTTGACAACCCTGTGGCAGCAATAGTTTCCCTGAGACGGGACTTCGCCCTATGGTTATAAGCTAATGAGCTACTAAGGCAACAGTTTAATCGGGAAGAGAGGTGGGTTTGGGGCCTAAAATGGGTGTCAATGGGGCAACTGGAAGAGGTCCTTTTATGTGACCAGAGGGAAGAGCTCATTTACCACCAGGCATGGGGTAGAGTGTGCTGTGCTGTGGTAGTCAAGATGGCCAGGCCCTCTCTACATGACTCTGAGACCAGGAATTTGGTGGTGGTGGCAGTGGGTCCCCATCCTGTGAAGGATGAGGCCACACAGAGCCTCAAGATCAGCTAGAGTGAGAACTTAGGGCCTTCTCAGGTCTTTCCAGAGCACACACACAGCCCTGGGCATGTGCACAACCCTATGTATATGTGTGGACTTCTAGAATCCAAGAAATACGTCAGAGATTTTCAAAGCCCTCTGTATATATTTCACTCCTCAGCCTTTCCTATTAAGCTTTTTAGTTATTGTTTGCTCCAATGATTACCCACCATCTCAGACAGCTGTGATGTTAAACAATTGTCACTGGTTATTGTCAACAAATGCTCCCAGAGAAAACCCTGTTCACACTTGGTGAGCTTTGCGTCAGATCAAATAAGGACAAAGCTTGCAAGTGACGTCTTCTGGGTGCTGAGTTTCAGGACACACCATCCAAAAATATGAGTGCAGGAGACCAGAATATGCCATCTCAAAATATGCCACCCTGGCATACTGATCTTTTTGAGCTAAAAGAAATTAAAGACCAGCCAACATAGAAAAATCTCCTTGCCTTCCCCTCAACTGTCTGAAATGAATTATAAAACACCCCTTTTGTAAAGAAAAATTTACATCTATAAAAGAAATTTTTACTAGTAGAGGTATTTATACCAGGAAGAGAACTGCTTTGAGACAAGTTTTACCACTTGGGGAACTTTTATCTGTAACAAGGTAACCTTTACTCACCATACATTTTCTTCTCTCACCATCCCATAATTTGTCTCCATCGTTTCCCAGAAGCCCTGACTTCCTCCTTTCTGTAGCTCAGGATGCTATATTAACTTCAATCATCCGGCCCTTCTTTGAGTCTCATATTTTGAGATTTGAGGGACTCCTGTACATATGCATGTAATTAAAATGGTTTTTCTCCTATTAATCTGTTTTAGATAAATTTAATTAATAGCCTAGCCAAATAACCTAGAGGGGTAAAGAGAAGCAGATTTTTCCCTCCCCTACACAAGGAACAACCAGGCATGTCTAGTAATGACAATTCTCTAGGAATGGGGTTTTGAAGGAGCCCCAACCCCTTTCTATTCCCTCCAGTGACTGTCAGGCGCTGTTTTTCACTGTGATTGTGGGGTGGTTTCTAGGCTACTGCAGAGCTGTGGTGGGGTGGTGGTAGTGTAATAGGACATGTTAAAATGCCTATAAAACGTACTGTTCTTACTGAGGTTCAGCCATTTTTCTTGAATAAAATTCACTCTGATTGCTGCAAGCCTTAGGTTAATTTACAGAGTTCTGAGAAAGTTGATTCTGGCAATTTTTTTTTTTTTTGAGATGGAGTTTCACTCTTGTTGCCCAGGCTAGAGTGCAAGGGCACGATCTTGGCTCACTGCAACTTCTGCCTCCTGGGTTCAAGAGATTCTCCTGCCTCAGCCTCCTGAGTGGCTGGGATTACAGGCATGCACCACAATGCCTGGCTAATTTTGTATTTTTAGTAGAGATGGGGTTTCTCCATGTTGGTCAGGCTGGTCTCGAAATCCCAACCTCAGTTGATTCGCCCGCCTTGGCCTCCCAGAGTGCAGGGGATTACAGGCGTGACCCACTGCACCTGGCCTTTTCTGCCAATCTTTGCCAGTGTTTACTGCTTTTATGGAGGGAGGGATTTTCAGAAGTCCTCACTTAACCATTCTCACTGACTTCTCTACGTGTGTGTGTGCGTGCATGCACACGTGTTTAATGTCTAAAAATATAATTTGAAAATAACTTGTGCTTTAAAACCTCAGCCTTTTCCTCCCAGGGTAGATTTGGTTATCTTAGAGCAGCAATTCTCAGATGTTTTGGTCTCATGACCTTCTTATACTCTTGAAAATAATTGAGAATCCCAGAGAGTTTTTATTTATGTGAGTTATATCTATCAACACTTAGCATTTAAAAATTAAAACTGGGCTGGGTGTGGTGGTGCACATCTGTAACTCCAGCACGTTGGGAGGCCAAGGTGGGTGGATCGCTTGAGCTCAGGAGTTCGAGACAAGCCTGGGCAACATAGTGAGACCTTGTCTCTACAAAAAAATACAAAAATTAGCTATGTGTGGTGGCATGCACCTGTAATTTCAGCTACGTGGGAGGCTGAGGCAGGAACATCACTTGAGCCTGGGAGGTGAAGGTTGCAGTGAGTCTAGATGGCACCACTACTCTCCAGCCTAGGCGAATGATTGAGACCCTGTCTCAAATAAATAAATAAAACAGGTTTTTTTTTTTTTTTTAAATGAGAGTCTCGCTCTGTTGCCCTGGCTGGAGTGTAGTGGTACAATCTCGGCTCACTGCAACCTCCGCCTCCCAAATTCAAGTGATTCTCCTGCCTCAGTTTCCTAGTAGCTGGGATTACAGGCATGCACCACCATGTCTGGCTAATTTTTTTATTTTTCATAGAGACAAGGTTTCACCATGTTGGCCAGGTCTGACTCCTGGGCTCAAGTGATCGGCTTGCCTCGGCCTCCCTGAGTGCTGGGATTACAGGTGTGAGCCACCATGCCCGGCCCTTAAAACACAGCATTTTAAACACAATAATACACATTGTGACATACATTCCAATAGGTGTCAGAGGGATGATGTCATCATGTCTTCAACATCTGGAAAACTCCAATGCACACATGTGAGAGTATGTGAGTAAAAGAGGCAAATAACTTAAAAAAAATTTATTTATTTATTTTTAAAAATAGAGATGGGGGTCTCACTATGTTGTCCAGGCTGGTCTTGAATTCCTGGGCTCAAGTGATCCTCTCGCTTCTTTTTTTTTTGAAACAGAGTTCTCACTCTGTCACCCAAGCTGGAGTGTAGAGGCGTGATCATGGCTCACTGCATCCTCGACTTCCGAGGCTCAGGTGATCCTCCCACATCAGCCTCCTGAGTAGCTGGGACTACAGGAACTCACCACCATGCCCAGATAATTTTATGTATTTTTTGTAGAGATCAGGGTTTCACCATGTTGCCCAGGCAGGTCTCAAACTTCTGGCATCAAGTGATCTGCCTGCCTTGGTCTCCCAAAGCGTTGGGATTACAGGCATGAGCCACCATGCCCAGCCACAAATAACATTTTAGTATCATTATAAACATTGTCTTGGCCAGGTGCGGTGGCTCACACCTGTAATCTCAGCACTTTGGGAGGCAGAGATGGGTGGATCACCTGAGGTCAGGAGTTTGAGACCAGCTTGACCAATATGGTGAAACTCCATCTCTACTAAAAATATAAAAATTAGGCAGGAGTGGTGGCTACTCGGGAAGCTGAGACAGGAGAATAGCTTGAACCCAGGAGGCAGAGGTTGCAGTGAGCTGAGATCGTACCACTGCACTCCAGCCTGGGTGACAGAGTGAGACTCCATCTCAAAAAAAAAAAAAAAAAAAAGTCTTCACCTCATGGATCCCCTGAAAGAATCTTAGGGTCAGACCACACTTTTAAGAATCCCTGTCTTTGGTGGTTCCAGAGAAATAGACTATAGGACATCCACTGGAGAGCCCCGCAGCATCAATACCTTGAGGAAGTTAAGGAAAGAGGATAGACAGAAGGAAAAGTTGAAATATAATGCAGTCTCACAATGAACTCTGGAACTGGGGTGACCCTTCAGAGTTGTGTACCTTGTGCAAGGGGTCCAGGACCTTTACACCTATGTTTTCCAGTCATTGGATGTGGTCCACTCACTGAGAGGTGGAATAACCTTGGGCAACAGGGCTCTCTTTGGCTCTTTAACAATTCATGGTATGGAGTCAGCTGAGGGCCCTGAGCCACCAACACTCTCTGCAGCTGGTTGATTGTGTGTCTCAGTCCAACACGGAGTGACCAGGGCAGGGCACCACAGCATCCACCTCAGTGGGGAAATGAGAATGGAGTTGGACAGTTTGTGTGGAAGGGGGCAGGCAGAGAGAAGAAAAGGTTTTGGTGCTGGAAATAGTATAAAATGAAGGAGGAAGGAATATTTCTCTTTGTTTCTCAGGTACAGCTTTCAGTTCTATCCAAAGTTGGCCCCTGAGTTCATGTGAGAGAAATCACGTTATTTCTCTCCCTCTGCATAAGAAATCCTTGAACCAATGGGGACATGCTCATGGATTTCCCTAGAGAACTTTCTGACAACTCTGGCTCCAGATTAGTTTAATCTGTTCTCATTCCCATTTGTAGTTCAGTCATTTTACTGCATGAATAGCTGGGAGACTGGTTTACTTGCAGCTCAGTCACTTACTATGTGTTTTTAACTAAATACTTTCACTTTTCTTGGCCTCAACTTCCTCATCTCTAAAAAAAAACAAAAACAAAAACAAAAAAACGATGCTTGAAATTCTGGAACCAAGCATTTATGGGATTTTAGAGAAAATAAAGTATGTGTTCTGCAATAACCCAACATATTATTTTCCTGGAAAAAAAAAACAACAAACACCTTGAATTCTGCAAAATCATGCAACAAAAACACCAGGGCTTACAAAAAAATAGAGTTGGGCTTAGACAACTAAAAACCCATGCAGGTTTGTTTCCAAAACACTAATAAAGCCAACCAATCAGCAGCACCCATTCCCTAATGCCCACCAAATTGTCCATAAAAACCCTTAAAAAGAGAAAAAAAGAACACTAATAAAAACATCAATGATAGTAATACTTTTAGCACAGTTACCCAAACTCCTAATAACTAAACGTGTTTAATAGTAAATGTAGGGCTTTACCTGAAGGTAGGTGAATGTAGCTTAATAGAAAGAAGTATACTGGCTGGGTGTGGTGGCTCACACCTGTAATCCCAGCAGTTTGGGAGGCCGAGGCAGGCGGATCACCTGAGGTCGGGAGTTTGAGACCAGCCTGACTAACATGGAGAAACCCCGTCTCTACTAAAAATACAAAATTAGCCAAGCATGGTGGCACATGCCTGCAATCCCAGCTACTCGGGAGGCTGAGGCAGGAAAATCGCTTGAATCTGGGAGGCAGAGATTGCGATGAGTTGAGAACACACCATTGCACTCTAGCCTGGGCAACAAGAGCAAAACTCCATCTCAAAAAGAAGTATACCAAAAAGATGAGTTTGCTGAATTTGGGAACAAAGCAATGGTGGGCTAATAAATCGTATGCAGGAAGAAATGCCTTGTTTAGTATTGTTTGGCAATTTCTGTGGTGTAAATACTCCTACTATGAGTGATTTTTGCTCACTACTTTCCTGAAAATTTAACAATCACCTCTCCTAAACTGGTGCAAGCTGGCTGGCTCTAGGACACCAACAGGAGTAAGGGCTAACATTGTGACAACAGGCTAAAGGTGGAGAAGTTGTCATCTTTGTACAAAATGTGATCTACAAAGCTATGGTCTTGTGTTTCTTTTAAGCCAAAAGGAAAACCATGGGGCAAAAAGGCATTACATATGCTAGTGCATTTCTCTGTGGTTTTCTGAGCTTAGCTACTGGTGTATTTTGTACTCAAATAACTCTTCCTCAATGGCATAACACATTAATTTGGGAGAAAATTGAGTATGAGTAAAAGGAACACCGACATTATAATGCTGTCATAATTCCAGGATTAACAAAAAGCACATGAGCTAATTCCTATTACAGAAACACAATCTGTAGGTAGAAGAGGTTTTGTATATGTGAAGGGTGGGCTGGGGATGGGCTGTGTGAAAGATGGTGACTAATTTGACAGCATGTCTGTCGGAGTGGTGTAGCCCAGGGATGTTAGGCTAAATCGGCCTGGGGAGCAGGAAGCTGAGCTTTCATAGAGATGATGCATTGCAAAAAGATTCCTGAAAATGCCTCTAAAATGGAGGGTTGCTAAATCCACAGGGGAAGAGATCAGAGAACTTCTTGGACACAATGAAGTGAAGTTACATTGAGATCTAAGCAAGGGTTGGACAGGCAGACGATGGAGGGATCAGGGTTGGATATCAGTTACACAGATCACTGTGGAGTTCTGCTCAGAATCTCTTCAACACTGTCACTCTTGAGCTCCTCCTCATCTCTGCATCTCCCGACCCCTTGTCTTTCTGTTAGCACGATATGGAGACTCAAAAGAAGAAGTGCTGGATTTTGCTGCTCTGTTGGACACAGAACCATAAACTTGAGAATGCAAGTTCTTGAAATTCCAAGGCAACTTCCTAATTTCACTGTCAGCTGGGTTTCATGTCATCTTCTGCTAACACAACTGTTTCTGTGTTTCCTCTGTGTACCTTTCTTGGACTTCAGCTTGGGGTGTTTTCTTTCCCAGTAATGATTTTTTTTTCCTTTTTTTCTTTTTACATGCATAACACAGAGAATACCCCTCCACATCAACCCTGTTCTCAACATCAAGATATTTCCTCTCACACTCCTAAGTCACTCAGTCTCAATCCTTTATATGCCCTCAGACTTATTCCCAAACTCCCAGAACCTGTTTTCAGAGATAAGGCAGCAATAAAAGCACATTAAGAAGTCCCCCATATCTGCCAATCTAAATGCATCTCCATTTTCTCAAGCCTAATCCCTGTTCATCAGAAGTAACTGAGGGTCTGACAGTAATAGCTGAAGCCTCAGGAGACGAAATGGACTTTGGAGGAGAGAGGCTAGAGAGCAAAGACTATTAGTTGACATGAGGTGGCTGCTTAAGGGAGCCTATGGCTACATTGTGTTGTCACTTGTTTAGAAAAGAGCATATTTGTATTTCTGGAGGCAGAATTTTCTGAATTCTGGACAACAGAATCTCCTTAGGCCCCAGGCTTCACAAGACTGTGACCTCCTGAAAGTCCATCAACAATTGGGCAGGTGGTCAGGGGCTTTTTATCGCATGACCACAAGAAGAATAAAGGCTGAAGGGAGCCAGAGAAAGAGCCTTTGGGGAAAGCATAGATAAGGGGTTCTGTCACTCATGTTGTAGAAGGAGATGCCTCCTGCTTCATAGTCCAGGAAAATCTCAACCAGGGGGCTGGGATCTGACAAGAAGAGAAGGGTCTTGAGTGGGGAGAGGGCCCAGTACCCATTTACAGATGACTCCACAGCCCAGATCCCATTCTTAAGAGCAAGGAGAATTTTCTTCATCACATTCTTCCTACAGACTCCAACCAACCATTATTTCCCATCTCCCACCTCCACTTCCTGGTAATGTCTCTCCGAGGTGAAGGCTTCCAGGCCTAGCACACAGGGCCAGGAGTCACATCTCTCTGGTTTTTCAGGCAGTTTCTGACATGAATCTTCCAGTCAAACAGATTTGAATCCTAATAAAGAAAGAGGTGAGGGAGGGCTATGTTTGGGTCCAGAGTCACTTCAACTGGAGAGAAAGACAGAAACAAAAAGTCTGACCATTGGTGAGTGTTATGGTTACAGGACTATTTTTGCTTCTAAGAAACAGAGCACTGCTGTAGGAGTTGATAGGTCTCCTCAGGGGGAGGGCTGTTTGGCCTGCTAAGGGGTCTCCATTCCCCCAGGCTCCCTCTGTCACCAGCAGCCAGAGGGTGATGTTAAGAGTTGACTGTGCCCAGGCTTGTAATGCCTCGTGAGATAATCTCACAGGAAGCTGGACTCTTGGCCATCTTCCAAAGCCCCTCTCTGTGTTCCAAGGAAGTATTAGGCTTTCTTTCTTTTTTTTTTCCCCACAACTTAAAATCTCTGTGTTCATCACTAAAAGGGTATCAGCATTTTTCATTTCCACTTATTTTAGGTCTTTGGATACCTCAGAGGTTAAATCTCAGCACCCAGAGCAGTGCCCAGCCACTAACCTGCACAAGATCGAGCCAGTTTCCATTCTATAATAAAACAGAAACAAGAGTCATTGCCAGGTTAAAGAGAAAATCAGCTGGGTACGGTGGCTCACACCTGTAATCCCAGCACTTTGGGAGGCCAATGCAGGAAGATCACTTGAGCCAACTAAGGAGTTCGAGCGAGACTCCATCTCTACAAACAATTTAAAATAATAAAGAGACAGAGAGAGAAAGAAAAAAAAATCTTGTGTAATTTAAAGTAAAAGACAAAACTAAACTTCCTCCTTTGTATAGTGGTGTGAAGAAGAAGAAGAGGAAGAAGAAAAAGAGGAAGAAGAAGAAGGAGGAAAATAAAAAGACAAAACTAACATAAAAATTTCAGGAGCTTCTTTGTAAAATGAATAGAAATTCTTCAATAGGCCTCTGGGGCTGAGATGTGAGGAGGAGGAGGAAGAAAATGAGAGTGGGAAGGACGCACTGGAGGACTGTTACTATCTGAATCCTATCGCCTACAAAACATCAACTGATCAATCAGGCACAAGAAAGTGTTCTGCTTCTTTCTGTCACCTTAGAAATAACCTGGACGTCAAACATCGGTGAAAAGAAGAGAAAAAAAGGAAAATGAAATAACCTGGAAGCTCCTGATGATTTGAGATCAGATCTTTACATACTAAGAGATGGTTGCTATATCTGGGGGCCTTGAGTGAAAGGCAGCAGTGGGAGCCCAGCACCCATTTCCAGACAACTCCACAGCCCAGAGCCCAAACTCAGCAGTTATGAGTTGAATTTATTTTGTCAAACAAAAAGAGTCAAACTCTGTAAAATATTGCAAGAGATTTATTCTCAGCCAGATATGAGTGCCCAGTGGCTTGTGACACAGCCCCGAGATCCTGTGAACATGTGCCGAAGTGGTTGGGCTCCAGCTTCTTTTTATACTTTATATTTATTGAGATGTTTTAACTCTGCAGGCCAGAGAGAGAGACCTATCTGAAACCAGCTTGGGCAGCTGGAGAAGAATGAGGGTGAGCAGACATCTGGGCAAGCCGGAGTTTGGGAAAACTGCCATCTTCGACCTTTCTGGAGCAGCAAGATACTGGTGTGAGTCTGTCAGGAGCTTCAGCCTAGCTGATGAATAGACAGGAGAGAGCGATGGGCTCTACAGACCCGCTCAGCAGTTCTTTCCAACTTGGAGTGCTCTGGTCATTTGCATCTGAATCCTGCTGTGTCTTCTCTCCAGTGGAGATTTTCAAACCAGGCTGCCATCAGCACCCACTCACCACCCTAAGTTTGGTAAATGATATATAAAGCTTCAAACTGGCCCTACAACTCAAAAGGAGACATAGGAGAAGGGAGGCGTTCATGGGTTGCATATAAATGAGCACAGTTTGAAATCACTACACTAAAAAAAAATCTTTCAACTATAATAATATGTTATTTACTTTCAGCAATGAGTCAGTCAGGAATTTAGCCCAGGAAATCAACAGAAAAATAGACTCCTCCCTCCCCTGAGATGCTGCCTGCACTGGATTCATGTAAATTTAAATATAAATTTAGATTGATGTTCTTTCACCATCCTCCCCCATTATCCTTCTCTCACTTCAATCATAAATGCTCTTCTGTTTGCATCATAAATTTTTCCCCTCAATCCAGTACATTTTTCTTTTTTCCTTGTATTTATTTTATTTTATTTTAATTTTTTAGAGATGAAGTCTCACTATGTTTCCCAGTCTGATCTTGAACTTTTGGGCTCAAGTGATCCTCCCAACTCAGCCTCTCAAAGTGCTGAAATTACAGGCGTGAGCCACTATGCCCTGCTGATCCTGTACATTTTTTGAGTTCATTGTACCAATAGTTCCTCCATTAGCTTGGTTAAACATTCACAAAACAAAACAAAATGCCCCCAAATGTGACAGCTGAGTCCTTGTAGGAAAAAATCCTTAAGTGAAGCTTAGTATCCTGGGGTTCATTGCATATTCATATATACATACTTGGGGACCCATGCACTAAAAAGACAGACTCCTTTTGTTTACAATAATTCAGCCTTTGCTGTTAAGGTGATTAAGGCAAGTAGGTGTGGGTGGAGAGATAGTGACAAAGGAAGTGAACTAGAGGAATAAAGATCAAAAGATGGGAGGAGGTCACTAGGTCACAGTTAAGCAAGGGCAAGCAGGCAGGAACCAGCCCTGTTGCACTGGTGTACTTGGTCACCTGGGCAGGGTGTTGACGGGCTGTTGTGGGGATGTTGGGGACATCTAGAAAATATGGAGTTGAAAATTTACAATATACATATGAATCTTTAAGGCACATCTCTTTTTAGAACCTTTTGGAATATGTTCCTAAACATAACCAGGAGATATTTTAGGAGTCTTTTCGTCTCCTGGCTGGGGGCAGTGGCTCATGCCTGTAATCACAGCACTTTGGGAGGCCAAGGTGGGTGGATCACTTGAGGTCAGGAGTTCAGTACCAGCCTGGCCGGCCAGCCTGGCCAACATGGTGAAACCCCGTCTCTATTAAAAATACAAAAAATTTGCCAGGTGTGGTGGCGTATGCCTGTATTCCCAGCTACTCCGGAGGCTGAGGCCAGAGAATTGCTTGGCTGGGAAGGTGGATGCTGCAGTGAGCCGAGATTGTGTCACTGCACTCCAGCCTGGGCAACAGTGAGACTCTGACAAAAAAAAAAAAAAGGAGTCTTTGCTCCTTTCTGACTGTAATTAGTTCCTAAGAACATGCAGTTGGAAGGTTTCTCTATTCAGGTTGTCCCTCTTCAGCCAAATCTCAGCCTCTTCAGGTCCTTACTCTTTGCATTCTACCCTCTCCATCCTCACCCCTTTCTCTGTGCCAGTTCCCCTCTCAGCTTTTCAGTCCCTTTTCTTCCAGGCCTTGTAGCCCTGGCTCTAAGCAATTTTCCCCACTTACTCCTTAATATTCCTATCTGAAAATCATAGCCCACAAAAAAAGGTAATCAATAGTTTTCTGTTGTTAATAAAAACTTTAGACAAATTAAATTTAGCAGGGTTTAATTTGAACAAAGAACAATTTGCAAACCATCAGAACGATCGGGCAGCCATCAGAGAGGTTCAGTGAGCTCCATTCCACAAGGGAAGTGACACACAGAAACAGCTTAATTGGTTACAGCTCAGAGTTGGCCTTATTTGAACATAGTCTGATCACTTGGCTGCAGGGTTGACTGCCGCCGACTGAAGTTCGGCTACTGGGATTGGCTGAGACTCAGCTATTTGTTACAAAAGTATACTCCCATGCCTTAAGCTTTCAGTTAGTTTACATACTAAGTTAGGTTGCAGTTCATTATTTAAGGGCTCAAGAGCCATCCCTCAGGCTAAATGTATACATATCTCATACCAAATTTAGTTTAATTTAACACAATTATTTCTGCTTTAGTTAAGATTCTCTGATCCAGAATAAAGGAAAAGAAAGCATGTGCTGTACACTCGGTCCGAGAAACACTAAGAGAATCCTCTTTGTAGGAATTCGTGTTTTGATTGGCTCAGAGGTACCATTTCTCATCAGTTGCTGGGCAGAAGCCACTGGGGACGGTTAGAATGAAAACTGAAACGATATTGAATTGTACACATTGACGAAAAGTTTCAGCCCTACCTCTCAAAGTGTTTGCAGCTCTCTGTGTTTACATATTTGAATCATTAATGTGTGTGTTACGTGTACAATCAGTGTTTCTTCACATTCAGCTGTCTTTTATATCATAACAGAAATATCAGGAGAACTGAGTGGAAAAATGAAAAGATTTTAAGAAGAGAAGATAGGTATTAATTAAAATGATACTGTGGCAGTTTGCAGACATCCCCTTGCATGTAATTGTTACATGGAGGATATTATCATCTTTTGTTTTGGATATTATCATCTTTTACCACAGAGCCAAATGAAAGTATGAACATAATGAAAACTAGATCTATTGCATCTATTTTAGTACCTCCAAAATTCAGGTCTCAGATCCATTACCGAATTATAGAATTTTCTGGTATCCAGAGTTAGTGCTGTCTATAACTGCATATTTTATATTTTTCACAAAATTATTTTGGGTGTGACTGAAGCTTTCTTCACCTCTTGCTCCTTATTTGTGCCATACTGTATTTTCATGTGTATTTGTTTCTCACTCTGACAATGAAATATGTTCTAAGGTTAACCTTTGGGTAGACTGTGGGGGATGTCTTTGTAAGGGGTCCTTGCTACAAACCTTGGGACCTAGTGATAGCAGACAGGAGGCAGTCAGATGCCTAGGCAGGTAGCAATGGGTCCCCAGTGATACCCCACCTCCAAGCTGAAGACAGTTTAAAGCCTGAAAGCCAAACTACAAGGTAAATCCTCAGCCCAAATTGAGAACTTGTTGAGAACTTGTCTTCCTGTTTGGTGCACTTTCCTCTGATTGGTCCCCACCCTTCAACTACTTTCCATATACCCACACTTTCCTAATTGTTTTTTTACACTGTTGTGGCCATCTTTGAGTGGTGTCTTCACTTTAACCTTTTTTGCATACTCACAAACCATTCAGCACACACTTCCCATTCTGAGTCCATAAAACAGGCCTGGACCCAGCCACACAGGGGGAGCTTTCCTGCCTTCAGGTAGGGGTGCCAGCATCCCCTCTCTGCTGAGAGCTGTTCAGTCGCTTGATAAAATTCTTCTCAGCCCTCCTCACCCTTCAACGTCTAGTGTATCCTCATTCTTCTTGGGCATGGTACAAGAGCTCAGGAACTGCTGAACGTGGGTATAAGCTATAACACAGGTGAGCTGGGGCATGCCAGTTTAGCCAAGCGAGGCTTGGGTGGGGTGTTGCTGGCCAGAGGTCCCCTGCTTGCAAAGTGACAAATAAAAATCCTGTATCACTAGCACTTGCAACTTTAGTTGGGTCACAAATAAAATATAAAGGCCTATCATTTGTTTATGTTATAAAACAGACCCTTAAAGTAATTAAAACTCCTAGGACTTAGCTGAAACCTTGGCTGGTAGAAAATGATACTACAACAGTTTGAATTTAGGCTCTGTGGTAGAGTTGGCTGGCTGCTTGTTCAATAACAGATCTACTTTTCTCAGTAATAAAATCCCATTTTCTTATTGCAAGGTGTCCATCTCATTTGTAGACAGGGGAAGCCAAGGGACTAAGTTTGAGCCAATTGCTTGAGGGTGGAAGTTTATCAGACAGATTATTTAAGGGGAGGCTAAAACAGCTGGTAGACCCTTACACTCCCCTTACTTTCTACTTCCTCTTATCTAGAATATGGACTTTGGAGCTGGGCAGCCCTTTTGTGACCATGAGGCAACATTGAAGATGCAAGCCACATGCTAAGACAGAAGAAAATAAAGACAGAACTAAGCTGGGGCATGTATGACATTTCAAGCTCTCAGATCAGCCCTTGATGGCCACCATCCATATTTATTGACATGAAAAGAAGTCCTCATTTTGTCAAAGCCAATGATATTCAGGACTGTTATTAATAACAAAATACAATTCTTCCCTCTACCCACTACAGTGTATCATGAAACTCTTCAAACATATAGGAAAGTTGAGTATGGAATCTCTATCTCCAGCCTTGAGGTCTCACCTGGACTCTTGGTTATTCAATGGACTACTCTGCATCTCCATGTGCATCTCTAATATAGACTCCTCAACCTTAATGTATCCACAACTGAACCTTTGGTTCTGTACCACTCCCGTCTTGCTCCTTGTCTCTCCGTTTCCCCATCTCAGAAATTAACAACTTCATCTTTCCAGTTACTTTTCCTTCCTTCCTTCCTTCCTTCCTTTCCTTCCTTCCTTCTCTCTCTTTTCTTTTTTGAGAGTCTCACTCTGCCACTCAGGCTAGAGTGCAGTGGTGCACTGCAACCTCCACCTTCTGGGTTTTAGTACAGACAGGGTTTTACCATGTTGGCCAGGCTGTTCACGAACTCCTCACCTTAAGTGATCCACCTGCCTTGGCCTCCCAAAGTGCTGGGATGACGGGCGTGAGCCACCGTGCCCGGCCCATCTTTCCAGTTTCTTGGGACAAAAACCAAAGATCTACTTTTCTCCTTTGCCATATGAGGACACATTTAAAAGGCTGTGAACAAGGATGCAGGCTCTTACCAGTTACCAAACTGCTGGTGCCTTGGTCTTACATTTCCCAGCCCCCAGAGTGCAAGAAAAAAAATTTTGGTTGTTTATAAACGACTCAGTCTTGGTATATTTGTCATAGCTGTCTGGGCAGACTAAAACATGCACATAAACAACCCTGTTTTCTGCCTTAACAAATCAGGTATTTAAATATATGTTCCTGATTCTTCCCATAATGTGTCATTTGTAATTTCAGTAATATAATTTCAGACTGTTTAAAAAGCTTTTTGTTCAACCCAGTTTTACAACTGGATTACTGAGTTGTCTAAAATCCAAAACACTATCATTTAAGCCAGCATTTTAGATGCCTGATCGTTTCAGTCAGGGTTCTCCAGAGAGACAGAACCAATAGGGGATACAGACATGAGAGGGCATTTATTAAGGGAATTGACTCATGCAATTATGTAGCCTGAGAAATCCCATGACGGGCCATCTGCAAGCTGGAGACCCTGAGATTCTGGCAGCATGGCTCAGTCAAAGTGTGACAGCCTCAGAACCAAGCTGATGGCGTAACTCAGTCCAAAGACCCAAGGCCTGAGAACCTCAGGGCCACTGGTATAAGTCCCAAAGACCAAAGGCCGGAGAGCCTGGAGTTGTGATATTGAAGAGCAAGAGAAGAGTGTTCCAGAGAGACAGAGAGAGAGAGAGAATTCACCTTTCCTCTGCCTTTTGCTCTGTTGGGCTCACAGCTGATTGGAAGGTGCCCAAAGATATTGATGGCAGATCTCTTCCACTCAGTCCACTGACTCACATACCAGTCTCCCCTGGAAACACCCTCAGAGACACATCCAGAAATAATGCTCCATCAGTTGTCTAGGTATTCCTTAACCCAATCAAGTTGACACCTAAAATTAACCATCACATTGATTTACTTCCCGAATCCTCTATCCCAACTCTCAAATATGGTTTCAGGATTCCTGGGGTGGGGTGGGGGGGGTCTCTGACATAAGTTCCCTCCCCCTCTTTGTTTGAGACGGGAGTTTCACTCTTTCACCCAGGCTGGAGTGAAGCAGCACGATCTTGGCTCACTGCAACCTCCACCCCACTGGGGTTCAAGGATTCCCTGTCTCAGCCTCCTGAGTAGCTGGGATTATAGGTGCCCGCCACCATGCCTGGCTAATTTTTGTATTTTTAGTGAGATGGGGTTTTGCCATGTTGACCAGGCTGGTCTTGAACTCCTGACCTCAGGTGATCCACCCACCTCGGCTTCCTAAAGTGCTGGGATTACAGGCGTGAGCCACCGTGCCCGACCTGTGTTTTGGTTTTTTGAGGCAGAGTCTCACTCTGTTGCCTAGGCTGGAGTGCAATGGCAGGATCACAGCTCATTGCAAACTCCAACTCCTGGCTCAAGCAAGGAGTTGGAGTTAGTCTTTTTAGTCTCCTGAAGCAGGGACTACAGGCGTGCGCTACCACACCTAATTTTTTTTGTTTGTTTTTGGTAGAGACAAGGTCTCAGTTAACCAGAACTGTTTTAAGGGGCCTGCAAGGTTAATAATCGTATTTTCATATTAATAATAAAACACAGTTTGTTGTTTTTAATCTCATTCTGTCACTAGGATAAAGTTTTCTTGAGCCTATATAGTCTATGATATCTCAACAGAGTGAGTATAAAGGCAGATATGAGAATCCAGTCATATTCTTTCAAGCCACACATTAGATCTGGAAAAAGTTAATCAATGCCACACTTCACAATAAAATTTATTTTGCTTTGGATACCATACTTATTTTTCACAAACATTCTACTTATATTAACCTATAATTGGCTTATTCATGCTATTTTAATATAAATTAATAAATGTTGTAAATGTATGTATGTAATGTAAATAAATGTTGTAAAGGTAATAAATTAAAACATTTCTTAGTTTCAATCTCAAATGCCATAAATACCAACAAATATTAACCCAAATAAACAAAAACTCTTTGGAATCCTCCATCATTTGTAAGGCGTCTCAAGATATCATGAAACCAGGAAGTTTGAAGCCACTGGTGTCCCCACTGAACTTGAATACTGAGGTAGATCTGGTCCATTACTCCTTGGCTCAGCCAGGACCTCAAATTTCAGCCACACTCAGGGACTGAGTACTGACTCCTTGCCAACTGCAGGGACACCTGAGCCAAACTACATCCACGTGCATCCATGTTCTTCATTCATCTTCATCCCAGGTCCAGGCCTGTGGATGTGCGCTCTGGAAATCCTGGGGCTGGGTGGAAATGAGCCATCATCTCCCAGGTCCCCTTAGCTGTTATGGTGGGACTTAGCCACCCTTACAACCTTGGTCCCTCCCAGCTCTCTGGTTCCACTTCCTCTATCTCTGATCTGCATATCTGGTTCCCTCTCCTCTCTGGTGGTCCTGTGGATTCCTCTCTCCTCTTACATCCTGGTGAACCCTGTAGGCCTCATTCCAAGTCCATATCTTCTGGTGCCAACTGGAATACTGGGCTTAATGTGGTCACCCTGATGTTAAACAGCAGGTTTGCTGCCCATCAACTTCTCACACTTTCTTCTTGGCTGGGAGCTGTGTAACAACTAGTTCCCTATGCCTGGATCCCATCCCATAGTTACAAGCAAAGGAACTACTAAAAACACAGCCTAGTGAGGAGGAGAAAACTGGGGCTGAGGTCTGTAGTGGGTGTGAAAGAGGCAGCTGGAAGATGTTCTCTTGTGTGACCAGAGGGGAGGAGGGCGTGTCTTCCACCAGGGGTGTTGTGCGGTGGCTGCTGAGATGACCAGGGCTTGTCTACATGGCTGTGAGACCAAGGAATTGATTCTATAGGCTCTGGTGGGTCCCCACTCTGTGAAGTGTCAGGCCCTCTTCAGGCACCGTGACCCCATTGGCTCCTGTGAGTGCAGGGCAGATGAAGATGGGGCTGTCCTCACACCCCAACCTGAAGAAGGGCCTCACAGGCACGGAAAAGGCTGAACGGGGACATGTGTAGATGTGCGATCTGTCCCTCATGTTGTAGAAGGAGACATCTCCAGCTTCATAGTCCAGGAAGACGCCCACCCGGCAAAGGGACTCCTTCAAAGGGAGAATCCTATCAGGGGAGGACACGGCCCGGTATTGCCCTTTATGCATCTCCAAGGTCCAGAAGCCATTCTGAGGAATCAGCAGGACCTCCCCTTTCCTCTCAACACTGTCTCTACAGACCCCCACAGTCCACTCAATCACGTTTTCCACCTCCACCTCCCAGTAATGTTTCCCTGAAGCGAAGCTCTCCCGGCCTAGGACACAAGGCTGACTGTCGAATCTCTCTGGGTTGTCAGGCACGCTCTCCCCTAGGTGCCTGAAGGGGCACCTTCTCACACTTCTCCGGTCCTCTGACAGGAAGAGATCGGGATGAGCGGTGTCTGGATCCAGGACCACATCAACTGCAGAGGAAGTCTCAGGTTTAGGCCTGGGGTCTCAGGAACCCTGGGGATTGTGTGGTTCCTGATCCCCAGAGAGGTCTCAGATATCTCTGAAGGGATCCCCACGTAGTGGCCACTTCCATGAAGGCTCTCTGATCCTAGGCAGCTCACACACTGAGAATTACTGAAGCTGCACTTCTGTCTCTCCAGAGACAGAAGCAGTTCTCTCAGTTTGAGAAGAATTGGAGCTCTAAGAAATCCGGAAAGTTTAGCAAATGAAGTAAAATCAATCATTCTTATACTTTCTCTCAGCATTCTAAGATGTGTTCCCTTTTCTATCCAAGACATATGATCTCTGGCCAGGCGTGGTGACTCACGCCTGTAATCCCAGAACTTTGGGAGGCTGAGGCAGGTGGATCACCTGAGGTCAGGAGTTCGAGACCAGCCTGGACAACATGGTGAAACCCCATCTCTACTAAAAATACAAAAATTAGCCGGGCATGGTGGTGCACACCTGTAATCCCAGCTACTCAGGAGGCTGAGGCACGAGAATTGCTTGAACCCGGGAGGCAGAGGTTGCAGTGAGCCCAGATTGTGCCATGGCACTCCAGCCTGGGTGACAGAGCAAGACATCATCTCAAAACAAAACAAAACAAAACCCCAAATGAAGACCTATGATCTCTGGGATTTTCTTTACTTAGAAACTTTCCAACTTGGCTTAAACCAGCACAAAGGCTTTATGTCCTGCTCCTCCTCTCCCCGGTGGATCAACTAAGGTGAGTCTTTCCCTTCACACTGTCCTGGAGGATAAAGGGTCTCTTCATTGGTCCTATGTGTTCCTTTTACCAGATCACAACTGACTTAAATGACTAACAAGGGCACCCTTCAAAAAATGAAGAAGGAGAATAAATGTCCCCAAAAGAAAACCTGTTGCCTGAGGGGTCTGTGGGCAAATGTAGGGAGTAACTATTCCCATCCAGTTTTGCTTCAACAACATGGGTCTGATGTCTTCACATATCACTTCTGTAGGTACAAGAAATGCTCCAGACTCCGGGCATTCTGCAGACCTCTCCCATCTGTATTTATTCTTACTTATTCAGTCTACTTTTCTATTGTGTTAAAATGATTTCCTCCATTCCCCAAGTTAATATGTCTGGCTGTGACAATTTGCTATTTTGTCCCAAGTTGACAGTGGCAATTTTGAAATTCACCTAAAGAGGAAAGGTCCATGTGCCATGGTATCTGGTAAAGCTTGGATTCTGTGGTGCTTATGGGCAGAGGGGCTGAATCATAAGATGAAAAGTGCTCACTGGGAGTGGGCAATTGGGTTCTGTGCTCTCCCACCCACCTGAAATCCCTCCCACGGCAGGCTATACACAAAGTATTAGTGTTCTCTTAAGAGCAGAAAGGCATTTCTGGCCACCTATTGGTACACCCTTATGTCAGGCTTACTAGGGACCCTCCTGGCCTCTTCCCTACATGGGTCTTCAACTTGGCACAGTCTACACCATCCCCAGGATATAAGCTGCTAAGATAGCATTGTCTTTTTTCAAATTCATCCAGGATCAAAGAACAACAACTACTGAAATGTAACTCTTAGGAAGGCTACTATATATGGGACACCTCTGGTAATCATGCATTAAATTACTCCAAAAGATAAAGGATCCTGGGATGTAAACCATAGGGTGGATTGAGAGCTGCTGGGATTCCCTGACAGAAGAGACATGATGCATCATTGCTGGGACACTGTTGATGAACTGACCCCCGTTCCCTGCTGTCCCCACCTTGCCCTGGGCCCCTTGCTCATCTCCTCTAAGGAGTCCTGTTAGCTGGCTAGTGTGGAGAAAGCTGAGATCTGAGGGAACATCAGAGGCACTCACCAGCATGTAAGAATGTTCTTCTCCATCCTGCAAGGGACAGACAGAGACGAATGTCATGAGATGTTGCTGAGCAGAACTCAAATTGTACATGTAGTTAAGGAAAGGCTAAACTTACGCAATTCTTCTTGAAGTTTCTCTGAAAAACAAACAAAGAAAATCATGTCTTTGACAGAAGAACTAAAAGAAGTTGGGTTTTTAGTAAACAATGCAGGAACCGTCCTTTCTATGAACAGCAACATCTCCCTTCCCTCATGCCTAGGGCACTGTCAGAAACCAGAAATTATGTATGATCAGGTGGCTGGGTAGTACCAGCACATTGTTACACTTGCTTTTGCTCAACCATTTAGTACTTTATGTAGCCAGATGAATGAATGCAAGGTGGGCAGAGTGAAAGAATGAAAGCTCTGAGAGATTCATTCCAAGGACATGAGAGTTCCAAGTCCTTGCTGCTGCTGTGCATTTCCTCTCTCTTCTGTATGCTGGTACCTGGGAGAGCTGTGTCCTTTCTATGGTGGTGAACTGTCCTTCTACTCTTTTTCTTTTCTTTTTTTTTTTAATTAAACAGGGTCTCACTTTATCGCCCAGGCTGGTCTCGAACTCCAGGGCTCAAGTGATCTGCCTGCCTCAGCCTCCCACAGTGCTGGGATTCAAGCCATGAGCCACCATACTCAGCCTCTTTTACCTTTTACTTGAAGTTCTTCCTCTTTTTGCACACGTTCTTTCTCCAGTTCCTTTAGAGCAATTTCTCTTGTTTCCCGTTCAAACTCCTTTTCCCCTGACAGAATCTTTTTTTCCTTTTGGAGTTTGTTGATCCAATAGATGCATACGGCAATGGGTATCATCAGAATAACCACAATGATAGGCAGGGCCACTGCACAGGGAGACACACTGGGCATAAAGGATTCTGAAAAGGCAGCCAGAAATATCCACTTAGTTTGAAACAGAACATCTGGGGTAAGAGTGCCCCTAGGAGCACACTTGAAGAGCTCCTCAGCCACCTGCTCTCCTGCTTTCTCCCTCAGAAAACTCAGATGGAGAAAGTGATGCTGGCTCACACCTGGCTGACACCTCAATGGCTTCCAGGGCCAAGGCCCAGAGGTAGCAAACCAGTCACCATGGGAAGGACCAGGATGAATAAAGCTAACCCGTCATGCTGAGTCGGCACAGCCACCACCCTGCCTCAAGCTACCATCACTCACGCCTGGAATACTGCGGTGCCCTCCTTCTTATTCTGCCCTTACCTTCTGTAGTCTATTTTCAACAGACCAGCCCTAGTGTGATCATGATACTTCTTAGCTCAAAACCTTCCAACGCTTTCCACGTCACTCGCCCTAAAAACCAAAGACTGTTTGTGGCTTACAATGCCATGTTTAATGTGTTTTCATTGCCTCTGTGAATTCATCTCCTTTCACTTCCTGCACTCACTCCATTTCAGCCACACCAGCATCACCTTCTGGGGGTCCTGGAAACTGCCAGAGATGTTCCTTCCCCAGGCCCTTTGCATATGCTCTTCCTGTAGCTGGGTTGTTCAGTCCTTAAGCATCTGATGACTCCTTGCCATCAGATGGGATGGCTCAATTCCCATCTTTACAGTGAAGTCTTCCCTGACCATTCTGTTAAGAATTGCAATGTCTCACATTGCCTCTTTATTCCTTCCTTGCTTAATGTTTCCTATAGATGTTCATTACCATCTGATAGAATATATGGTTAGCTAACTAATCACTTTTTGAGGGAAGAGTTCTTAATATAATTTGTTCAATGATTTACCCTTGGTAGAACAGTGTTTTGAACATACGATATGCTTCTTGACCATTTGTTGAATGAATTGTGAGTGTGTGTCTATAGGGAATTTCCACAGCTCTGTCCTGTGGAAAATCCCCTGCACAGGAAGGGATGGCTACAGCATACAGGAACACCAAGTGTAGAGAGTCACTTATCCACACCACCCTCCATATGTTATGGTTGTTTTCAATGTCTAAAAATTGCTGGCCGGGTATGGTGGCTCACGCCTGTAATCCTAGCACTTTGGAAGGCTGAGGCAGGTGGATCACTTGAGGTCAGGAGTTCGAGAACAGCCTGGTCAACAAGGTGAAATCCCCATCTCTACTAAAAATACAAAAATTAGCCGGGTGTGGTGGCGTGTGCCTGTAGTCCTAGCCTTCGGGAGGCTGAGGTATGAGAATTGCTTGAACCTGGGAGGAGGAGGTTGCAGTGAGCCAAGATTGTGCCACTGCATGCTAGCCTGTGTGACAGAGCAAGAACTTGTCTTAAAAAAAAATTGCAGCAGTGTAAGGACCTTATTGGGGGGAAAAACAACAACAACAACAACAACAACAACAAAAACAGGTTTACCCTCAGAGAAGAGGCTCCTACTCCTGAGTTTTGGGACACTTTGATTCTCCTTTTGTGAGAAGCGGAAAGGCTTCACTCAGCTGCAGCCTCCAGGTCCTTAGGGCCCAGGACTATTTCACCCACACTGCTGCCCCCATCCCCGTTCTGGGCTCCATCTGTGTGCTGAGGATCCCCCATGCACTCGACGAGTCTCAGAGGGCAGAGAACTAACCTGGAATAAAAATGACACTTTCTTTCTTCTGGCCGAGCAGGGTGTTGTTGATAGAGCAGGACATGTTCCTCACAGACTTGTCTCTGATGATCACAGCCGTGGTGACCATGAAGAGGCCGTCTGCATCAGGCATGGAGACCTCTTTCAGGGCAGGCGCAACCCCACCGTAGGGGTCCCTCCACACTGTGAGGGGCTTTGGGTACCACCCTCTAGATATGCACTCCAGCCGGATGCCCCCGTCTTCATGGCCCCTCATTGAAATGAGGGGCTTAGAGCCTAGTCCTGTGGAGAGATATCAGGGTTCAGGCAAAAGTCAGTGCCTTTTGCATCTCTTCTGTGCCTATTGCATCTCTTCTGTGAAGCTAGAAAGTAAAGGTAAAAAAGAGGGAGATAGGAAACAAGAAATAGGAAGGAAGAAAAAAAGGATGAGGGTAAGGAAGAAAGAACATTGATGTTGGAGAACACCAGCAGGCCAATGGGCCACATAAACTGTGAGCTCTCTAAGAGGAAAGGATCCCATTGCACCCTTTTCTTTGCGGTCCACCTATAGGCCCCATCACAGCACCAAGCATCTATCTGTCTGCCATAAATGCTTGTTCAATTTATCCTGCCAGACTAATTTTCTCACTTTGAGATGGGTGTGTCGACTCCAACTTCAAACAGGCAGGTTTTGGATTTCACTTTCTGCTTCTGGGACGACTTCTCAGTAGACCTCAGCTTCCAGAAGCTCTAGAATAATAACGAGAAGGACGAAAGTCTGCCAGGCGGGCAGAATCCTAAGAAACCTTTTGATCCAAAGACATTGACCCTTCTGTCTAGTTCAGAACTTCACATAACCACCGCTTTCTACCACCCATAGGAGGTGATGGTTTTTAGGAGACTTGACAGATCTAGCCTGCAAATCCAACTCTAATCCTAATTCACACTGTTTACCTCCCAGAGGCTCCATCCATTAGGCAGTATTGCTTTTGTTGTTTTAGGGACAGGGTTTTAGCTCTGCTGTCCAGGTTGGAGTGCAGTGGCAAAATCATAGCTCACTGTGCCTTGTACTCCTGGGCTCAAGAGATCCTCCTGCTTCAGTCTCCCAACTAGCTAGGATTACAGGCATTTTCCACCATTCTTGGCTAACATGTTGCCCAGGCTGGGTGATTTTCTTATAGTACTTGGAGAACATCAACTTATTAGAAAGATCTGGATGATCCAGGGACTAAGATAACCATACCACTTTTTCAATATCAGAGATCATCACCAAAAATCCTAAGAAACTAGACTCACCCTAACTACAATCCATCTTTAAATGAATCTTCCATAAGAGTGAACACCAGGTATGAAAGAGCTGCAAAAGCGTGGTCCTGGGAGACCTTTCAGCCATGTGTGACCATCTAAACTTCTTCTGAGTAATTCCTTTGTAAAGTCTCCCAAAGAATTTTACCAAAGACAGGAAATTAAATCAATAACTTAAGTCTGGTGCTTTGGCTCAATTTAATAAAAAAAAATTTTTTTTTTTGACACAGTCTCACTCTATCGCCTGGGCTGGAATGCAGAAGCATGATCATGGCTCACTGCATCCTCGATTTCTGAGGGTCAGGTGATCCTCCCACCTCAGCCTCCCAAGTAGCTGAGACTACAGGCATGTGCCACCATGCCCAGCTACTTTTTTTTTGTATCTTTTTGTAGAGACTGGATTTTGCCATGTTGCCCAGGCTTATTTTTATTTATTTATTTATTTATTGATTTATTTTTTAGACAGAGTCTTGCTCTGTAGCCCAGGCTAGAGTGAAATGGTAGGATCTCAGCTCATTGCAACCTAGGCCACCTGAATTCAAGTGATTCTCTGGCCTCAGCCTCCCAAGTAGCTGGGACTACAGGCATGTGCCACCATGCCTGGATACTTTTTGTAATTTTAGTAAAGACAGGGTTTCACCATGTTGGCCAGGCTGGTCTCCAGCGCCTGACCTCGGATGACCCACCCGCCTTGGCCTCCCAAAATGCTAGGATTACAGGCATGAATCACTGCACTCGGCCCAGGGTCACTTTAATTTTTATCAAGAGATAAAACTACTTGTACATTTAAAGGCTCAGTGGAATAAGAATTAAAATAACTCAGCAAATTGGAAAACGAAATTCTTCAAAACATTCTATGAGGTTCAATACAGGCAAGCATGACAAAATAGATTTAAGGGCAAAATCAGCCACCAACCAACCTAACAAAGAGAATACAATGAACAAACAAACAAAAAGTCCTAAGCAATCCAATTCAGAGTGGGAAAGGCCAGGCCACTGTCAGTTTTATAGGCAAAGAATGGCAGATTCCTGCCGCGCAGAAACCATAACTGGTCAACCCTGGAGTGCTGCTATGAACACAGTCATGATGCAGGGTCAAGAAACCCTCCTTCCATGATATTCTGCTTTAATCAGATGCAAGGTTGCCTTTGTGTGTAGCAAAGATGGGGTCTCCTACCTGTTATGATTTGAGGCCCCCAGGGAAAGACCCAATTCCCTAGTCCTCACCTCCTCTGTCTGGTCTGATGGAGTGAAATGCCACCACAGATTATCCTGCACCTTAAAGGCTTTTTCAGTCCTCAAATATATCTTTTTTGTTGTTGTTTAATTTTTGATACAGAGTCTTGCTCTGTCGCCCAGGCTGGAGTGATGTGGTAAGATCTCGGCTCCCTGCAACCTCTGCCTCCTGGGTTCAAGCAATTCTTGTGCCTCAGCCTCCCAAGAAGCTCAGATTACAGGCACACTCCACAAAGCCTGGCTAATGTTTCTGTATTTTTAGTAGAGATGGGGTTGCACCATGCTGGCCAGGCTGGTCTCGAACTCCTGGCCTCAAGTAATCCACCTGCCTCTGCCTCCCAAAGTGCTCGTATTACAGGTATGAGCCACCACGCCCAGCCCAAATATATCTTTTAAAGCATAATACACTAACCCCAAAACTGAAGTAATCACTTAATGTCATTTTAACAAATTCCTAGAAATCCCAGTTTAAATGCATTTTTATGTGGAAGGCTTCCCTATTACCTCCCAGCAAAATTCGTAGTCTTTCTCTATGGAGTTAGCAGGAACTATATATAATTTTGCTTCTGTATTTCGTCTTGGTTTAATAAAACCATCTATTTACAATAAGTCACTCTCTCTGCAATCAGCATTTTGGGAAAGATGAAGTAAAGATTAATATTTATCAAGAAATAAGATTTGATATGTTGTAGTTCTCTGGGTAATCAGTTTATTCCAGTTGTCTTGGAACAATTATTGACAGTGTCTCCTCTCACTCTCAGAAGTGCAACCTGGGAGGCAGAGGTTGCAGTGAGACAAGATCGTGCCAGCGAGGGTACAACAGAGCAAGACTCTGTCTCAAAAAGAAAAAAAAAACCCAAAAGAAGTGCACAGTTCAATCCTAAGGCAGGTATAAGACTTCTCTTCCGAGACTGACCATTTTCCCCTGCTCACGGCCTCAGCTGAATTCTGCATGTGCTTCTCAAGAAGTGAAGCCCTTAGCTTAGCAGGGCAAACCCACTCATGTGTCCCTTGTGCAGGAGGAAGGATTTTTCCCTGGAATTCCGTTTCCACAGGGAGAGTGGAAAAGGGAGTCCAGACAAAAATTTGCTGGTCTGCAATGGGCCTGAGGTTAGGAGAGAAACTTTCCCCAAAGTCACACTGTGCCAAAGTAACAAAGCAAAATGAAGCGACGCACCTGCCACTACGAGGTGCAGGATGGCCTCATCGTAGGACCTGCCTTCTTGGAAGTAACAGCGGTAGGTGCCGTTTTCCTGGGCTGTGATGTTGTGTATGACCAGGGCCACGCTGCCCCTGCTGATGTCTTTGCTCACAAAGGTGGTTCTTCCTCGGTACTCCTCCATCTGCTCCTCTGTTCTCTCTCTGCCACCTTTATACACAAACACTGCGGGGGAGAACTGAGACCGGAACCACCGCACCTCCATGTCCTCAGCATTTTTCTCGGGTGACAGATGGCAGCGTAACGTAGTGTTTTCTCCAACCGTGGCCAAGATGGGATCAGTGGGCCCCACGACAATAAACTGGGCTGTTCAACAAAGGGGTAGAGTCAGACAAAGACACCAGCCATCACATCTCTAAGGCAAGAAAGGAAGCAGATATTCTAGGGACAAACTTATTTTTTCCATGGCCATAGGGTCTCTTTGGGCTGAGAAATCTGGGGACCAGTAGCTGTGGCTAGTCGACAGCACCCCTGGGAGCAGTAACTATAAAGTGTGCTTCTGCTTCATGAAGGAAACCCTGAGGAACCTGCCCTGAGCACCCTCTGTCCACCCTGTGCCCTTGAGGGGATTTTCCTCGATTTCCCAATCTAGTGCTGTGCCTGAGTGTACTGTAAACTTGAGCCGTGCAATAGGACACATATCCACTAGCTAGTTCCAACTGAAATGAGCTGTAAGTGTAAAATACACACAGGATTATGAAGATTTAAAATTTCAAAATGTTGACTATCTCATTGGTAATATGGTATATTAACTAAGTATTTAAATATTCGTATTTGATTATTTGGGGCGAAACAAAATATAGTATACAAATTTATTTCATGTTTCTTTTTACTTTTTAAAATAAAAAGTAAAATTTAATTTTTTTTGAAAATTTGCAATTGTACATGCACTCGGCCTTTGTGCCTCACTGTATTCCTTTTGGACAGTGCTGGTATAAATTCAATGAACATGTTCAGAATGAAAGGGTAAGTCAACAACTCCACAGTCCTTCTTTCTTTCCCTTTGCAGACTACAGGGTTGATGTTCCTTTCTGATAGGTGACAGCAGCAAGTGGCACACATCCCTACCTGAGACCAGTGCACACAGGCTGAGGAGGAGGAGGAGGAGGGAGGCTGGCCGGGAGAAGTGCAGGGCAGCAGCTGATTCCATGAGCACCCAGAGCAGGCAGGGACAGGAGGCCTAGGGTTACAGAGGAGAATCAGCCTAGGAGTCTTGGCACCTCAGTGCTGGTCGGGCCCAACCTCTCCCGTCACTCAAGTAGGTCTCATCAGTGCCCCAACTTCAGGGAGTCCCCTGCATCCGAAGGCTCAGGTATGTCCCGAGAGAGGGATTCCTTAAACATTCCATGAAGTAAGCCATCAATGCCAAGATCAAGGGGGCCTTTTTCCGCCCTCCTCGGCTCACTTCTCTGGCCAGAATGCAGTTTCTTCAGTTGTCGCTGGATTCTACCACACCCTCCTCCCTTCACTTCCTCCTCCCCGCGACCCAGGCCGGGCAGCCTGAGGCAAAGACAGGCGAGGCCGCGCCTCCCCACCGGTGGGCTTTCCCTGTCCCAGGACCCCGTCTCGTGTCCACAGCAGACCCCGCTTCCCCCACCTACTGTGCCCACCCCGGAGCTGTAGCGCCTCCCCTCCGTTTCCTACCTTCTAGAATTAAACGTTGCTTTTTCTTTTCTCCGCTGGTTCTCGACGATTCTCCAGTCGTCCCTCTTCTCTCCAATCTGCCCAGGGGCACAGGCACTACTAGACACAAACCTTCCCAAAAGAGGAGAAAAAATTGTTCTTCCCCTTCTCCTAGGTCGCCATGTTTGGAGATGCAGGAAACGAAATCTGGTCTCCTGGGCTTCCACAGTCCCAAGAGTTCCCTAAGTATTTTAGAGCCCAGGATTGGCCGGGTGTGAGTGAACCAGCCAATGGTGTCGAACCTTATTTCTCAGCAGTTGCTGGGTAGAATACACCGAATCACAAATTTCAAGCAGCAAATAACCTTTTGAGATTATCGGGTCTTTTTATTTCCTTTTTCTTTGTTCGAAAGCAAGACTCTCTCTCTCTCTCTTTCTCTCTCAAGACTCTCTCTCTCTCTCTCGCTTTGAGATTCCTTGGGGAGATTCCCTGGGGTTTGTCACTGAGGTCGGTGGCTTTGCTGGTGTCCACAAGGAGAGGCCTCTCTATGTAGAGGGCAATTTTGCTGGGGAGGAAACATGAGCAGGAAAACGTAAGCCGCCCCCTTTCCAAAGCCAGAGGACTCCTGTTCAAGTTGCTGGCTTTGGAGGTTGGGCCTGGAGCGCAGGAGGGCTTGGGGGAAGCTGGCATGGCTGGAGCGGGAGGGGTAGCAAAGGAAAGGAGACAGCAGTTGCAGTGGCTGTTATGAAGGCCTTGCCATTCATTCCAAAGCTATCGGATAAGAGGTGCTGAGAATCCTGACTGAGGATCAAAAACCTTTTCCCTCAGGGAGGTGGCATTCTGGTGGTGGCAGAAGATGGAATTGAGCAAAACTTTCTAGTTGTCCTTCACCTTCTAGATAGTAGGTGGTCAGGTTGGGTCCAAGAGCCACACACAGACACACACACTAGCACACATACCATCCTCCCGTAAACATCATCCCTCTCCCAAAGGCTCCAATCTTGTAATTGTAAAGATATCTTCCAGAATAATCTTCCCGAGGCCCAGTTGTCAATATTCCCCTCAAGTGTCTAAATGCTTAGTCTGGAGGCCTCCAATTCCCTTCTGATTCAATTCAAAACTTTGCAGTTAATACGCTAGCAATGGCTCCACAGTGGCCTTGCATCACAACGTTGCACTCCCTGTGGCCAGTGCTCCTTTTCCCATGCCATGGCTTTCATTTCAATTGCTTGCTCCATCTCTGCCCCGTGAAATCCTGCCCAGCCTTCGTGCCTACTTCCTCCAAGAACAACTCTGAATGTTCCTGCCTGAAGTGTTCTCGGCCTCTTCTGACACCCAAATCTTTTGCTGTTCCCACGTCCTGTCTTGTATTATTGTTACTCAGGTATCCACTGTGTCTCTGCTGTGACAGGAGTACCTGCTTCTCAGGACAGACTTCTGCAGGATGTGATTCCTCTCACCTTACAGGGCCCAGCTCTAAGCTCTAAGCTCTGCTCTTAGCTGTTGTTCAATGCATGAGTGACATGCTCAGGGTAAGGTCATTCCCACCACATCATGGCCCAGTTCCTGGAGTCATTTGGCACCAGAGTGCGAGAGAGAGGTGCTAGCAGGATTAAGCCACTCTAGGTCAGGATTTCTAGGACTGGAAAGGAGGAACCAGTAGGTTCCTTCTGCAGAGAAAGCTCTTTGATGAGAATAAGCTAAAGAAAGCTCTGAGAACTCTTTTTTCCATTGGACTGACCCTTAAACTGTCTCTTTCTCATACAGTAGTCTCACACGTCACCTGATGTTTCTGGATTATAATTCAAATAAGATTCTGGGTTGAGTGGCTTATGAGGGTAAATACATCAGTATTAGAACTGTATGTATATGAATTCCAAACAGGACTGGGCAGCTGTTGAGAAGAGGCAGAAGAGAAGGATGAAAGGGTCTAACAGCATGGCCAGCCAGGATGAGATCTGACTTTATATTTTTTTACCTGAAGAAATAAGGCCCAGGGCTTTGAAGTAGCCCTTTTGCCAGAAGCATCCAGCTAAGCCAGGCTTCAGCCTCTGCCAAAGTTGATCTGAGCTAGAGGGAAACGTGTGTGTTCTGAGAAGGAAGAGGATCAGTTGACGATGGGGTAGCTTAGAAAGAAATCAGGCTCTACTGGGGTGTGCCCGGTTAGATAGTAACAACCTAACCCAATCATGCTCTGTAGTGGGAGGGATAGAGACAGGAAGGGTCACGTTGGCAAGGTTCTTTATGGACCTGCCAACCCTGGAAGAACCAGGATACAGGGTAAGCATTGATTTCCTTTTGCTTTACAATAAACTACAGTCTGTGAAGGTAATATAGCTGTGTCATCTCCAGCTATGGAGTACTCCCAGGGGAGGCCTAGACATGTTGACATACAGAAAATCCATTCCTACTCTGCCCTGTTCAAATTCTAGATTCCTGACTCACAGAATCACTGAACATATTATAATAGTTGCATAAGCTTCTGAATATTAGGACTACAAGCAATATTAACGAGTACATTTATCTTGCCTCAAAAGAACACATTTTTTCAAAAAGAAGAAATGATACTGGGCTTCTAAAAGAACCAAACGTGAGAAATTTGCCTAAACTCTTTCCATCTTGTAGCCTTCTCTCTGCTCATCTGCTTTGGTCTTCTCTGCAATCCACCATTGTTTAGTCCACACCATGAATGGAGCATTTCTTCCCACAGCTCCCATGCACATCTGCTACAGGAGTAACTAGCCACATGTCACTTGGTCCTCTGGCCTAGCCTGGGTCAGGTGTCCATCCCAGACCCAGTCCATGTGGTGAGGCTGCAGGGCCATGTGATGTGGGCATGTATTGGAAGAGAAGAGGTCACTAATGCTAAATGTGGTACAGCGAGGGCAGAGAGACCTTGAAAGGCATTCACTATATTCTCAGAGGCAGAGCCCTTATAACAGACGCTGTTGATGCCCCATCCCATATTCTCTTGGCCTATCACAGTTTGCCAATAGCTGAGGCACAGTTTTCTGCAAGGATGACAACCTTTCCACCTCCAGTGAGTATCTCCCTTCTCCTTTGCCTGTGAGCTTTATCACACCCGTGATAGTTGCTTTTCTGCAGTTACATAGCCCAATCTTAAAGTGCATTAGAATTAACACTCCCAGGCCAACCTTCAACCAATTCAAGCAAAGGAGGATGGGAAGTGGAGATAAAGTCCCAGGCCCTGTAGTCCTTAGGAAGATTCTGAGCTATATCACACATTTCATATGGTTTCTTAGAGAGTCCTAAAAGGGATTCAGCCAAGTTATCCACATGGTAACTGACTCATGAGTGAACCCTTTATCCCATTTGTCATGTAATTGGCTTTTTTTCATTTCTCAATTTGTTTCTGCACTTGTGTTTCCTGGAATCACTTCCCAAATCAGTGTGGTGAGCTGAATAGTGCTCCCCGCACCCACCCTTTGAGCTATATTCACTATGAAAGTTATGAAAAGAATGTATAACACAGTAAAATGAATTTTACACAGAATTAAGGTTATGGACCTTAAAATAGAGAGATTATTCTAAATTGTCTGGGTGATCTCAGTTTAATCATAGGAGTCTTTAAAAGTAAAAGGCAGACTGAGCGTGGTGGCTCATGCCTATAATCCCAGCACTTTGGGAGACCAAGGTGGGCAGATTGCTTGAGCTCAGGAGTTTGAGACCAGCCTGGGCAACATGGCAAGACCCTGTCTCTACAAGAAAATACCCAGGCATGGTGATGTGGCTCTGTGCTCCCAGCTGCTTGAGAAGCTAAGATGGGTGGATTGCTTGAGCCCAGGGGACAATGTGGTGAGCTGAGATCACGCCACTGCACTTCAGCCTGGGTGACAGAGCGAGTCCTTGTCAAAGAAGAAAAAAAAAAAAAAAAGAAAGGAAGGAAAAAAAGGAGAAGGTAAAAGAATCAGAGAGACACAATGGAGAAAAAGACCTAGGAGATGAGCCTCAATGCGCTGTTGCTGCTTTGAAGATACAGGAAGGGAGCTAGGAGCCAGAGTGTGGCAGCCTCTAGAAGTGGGTACAGCCCTTAGCTAAAAACCAGGGAACAACTGGGACGTCAGTCCTATAAATGAAAGGAACTGATTCTGCCAATAGTCTGAATAAGCAAGGAAACAGATTCTTCCTTAGAGACTCCAGAAAGGAATCCAGCCTGCAGACACCTTGATTCTAGCCTGGTGAGATCCCTGTGGGACTTCTGACTTCTCACCTACAGAACAGTGAGATAATAAATTTGTGTTGCTTTAAGTTCATGAATTTCTGAAGCCAGGCGCGGTGGCTCATACCTGTAATCCCAGCACTTTGGGAGGCCGAGGTGGGTG